>NC_000007.14:69476475-69779506 GCF_000001405.40 Homo sapiens
CGGGCCTGAAGTATATCCAGGTGCCACCTCACAGCAGGTAAAAGGAATTCCAGACCTGACCTCAGTAGAGACACGGGACTGAAGCAGTGAGAGCACACCAAGTACTCGCCAATCTACTCACATTCAAAACATTGCAAAATGCTAGAGTCTTCCCATTCCTGTATTCAGTTCAAAACTATTTCATGGGTAAGCACATTTCTGGAAAAAGAAAAAACAACTATTTCAAGCATGATGATAAACTTCTCTCAATACAAAACTCCTTTTTGTTTTTTTTTGAGGCAGAGTCTTGCTCTGTCGCCCAGGCTGGAGTACAGTGGTGCGATCTCAGCTCACTGCAACTTCTGCCTCCAGGTTCAAGTGATTCTCCTGCCTCAGCCTCCCAAGAAGCTGGGACTACAGGCGAGCCCTACCATAGCCAGCTGATTTTTTGTATTTTTAGTAGAGACGGGGTTGCACCATGTTACCCAAGCTGATCTTGAACTCCTGAGTTCAGGCAATCTGCCCATCTCGGCCCCCCAAAGTGCTAGGATTACAGGCGTGAGCCACCATGACCAGTCACAAAGCTCCTTTTAAAAATTATTATGTGACCTACGAGAAATAAAAGTGTTCCAGCCATCTCAAGTTTCAGTCCTGAAATTAGAATTTGCTTCTTCTGAGAAACAGTGAACTTTACATGTCCAAAGTCAAATCAACCTCTTGGATGACGAATCTTATAATCACACTTAAATAATGGCTCAGCAAAGCGTTGTAGGATAAGTTAGTGTAAAAAAAAAAGCAAATTAGAAATCACTTGAGGAGGAGGACAACATCGTGGTTAAGAGGACAGGCATTGGTAACAGGCTGAACTAGATACAGATCCTGAGTTCACCACTGACTAGCAGTCTGATCCTAGGCAACTTACTAAATCTCTCACATCCTCCATTTCCTAGTCTGCAAAATTAGGTTTAAAAAAATAGCTGGACCAGGCTCAGTGGCTCATACCTGTAATCCCACCACTTTGGGAGGCTGAGGTGGGCAGATCACCTGAGGTCAGGAGTTGGAGACCAGCCTGGCCAACGTGGTGAAACCCTGTCTCTACTACAAATACAAAAATTAGCCGGGCGTGGTGGTGGGCACCTGTAATCCCAGCTACTCTGGAGGCTGAGTCAGGACTTGAATCTGGGAGGCAGAGGTTGCTGTGAGCAGAGATGGCACCATTCCACTCCAGCCTGGGTGACAAGAGTGAGACTCCATCTAAAAAAAAACTAGCCAAGACTGATGCCTCACACCTGTAATCCCAACACTTTGGGAGGCTGAGAGGATCACTTGAGCCCAGGAGTTCGAGACCAGCCTGGGCAACATAGTGAGACTCCATCTCTACAGATAAAAAATTTTAAAAATTAGCTGGGTATGGTGGTACATCCCTGTAGTCTCAGCTACTCGGGAAGCCAAGACAGGAGGATTGCTTGAGCCCCAGAGTGGGAGGCCACAGTGAGCTATGATCGTACCACTGCACTCCAGCCTGGGTGACAGAGCCAGACTCTGCCTGAAAAAAATTAAAATAAATAAATAAAAATAGTGCATATATATAGTACCCCACAGAAGAGTTATTGTGAGAAATGAATGAGCTATAATGTCTGGCATGCACTAAGTCCTTAAATAAGTGTTTATTCATAGTGGTAGCAGTCTGGTAGTAGTAGTAGTATTTGCATACTTAGTATGATAGAGAATTATGATATGCAGGAAACTAAGTTTCTTGAATTAGTGCAGAAATGTTTTTAGTTACACAGTCACTCATCAGCTTGCCAAGACCGTACAATATTTTACAGTAAATAAGTAATAAAACATTGAATTAATTCATTTTGTCACCAGTTTATGACTTTAGGGAAAAGCAGGCTGGTTTACAAGAGGAAAAAAAGTGAATTGGTTATTTCTTTTTATTTATTTTTTCAGAAAGCTAGCATTTTTAAACCCTCATTTTGAAAGGAAAAGTCAGTCTCGCGGCAGTGGTTTTCCCCACTTTTGTAGAAAAACAAGGGTTTGTTTGTTTTTTTTTTTGAGACAGAGTTTCGCTCTGTCACTCAGGCTGGAGTGCAGTGGCCCGATCTCAGCTCACTGCAACCTCAATCTCCCAGTTTCAAGCAATTCTCCTGTCTCAGCCTCCCGAGTAGCTGGGATTACAGGCGCGCACCATCACGCCCAGCTAATTTTTGTATTTTTAGTAGAGATGGGGTTTCACCATGTTGGCCAGGCTAGTCTCCAACTCCTGACCTCAGGTGATCCGCCCGCCTCAGCCTCCCAGAGTGCTGGGATTACAGGCGTGAGCCACCCTGCCTGGCCAAAACAGGGCTTTCTTAACTTCCAAGAAGGGCTCCAAAAGGAAGCTAAGGTGATGCAGGCAGTGTAGCCACGGACTTTCTGCAAAAAACTTGATGATCTAGTCAGGCCAAACAGAAAGAAATGCTGTAGGCAAGATTACCCCGTTTGTAAAACATCAGCAGAAACAAATCCCACCTATTTACAGGATGACATGTGATGGAAGCACAATGGAGTCAGCTCTCTTTACAACAAAAGTTTAAAGGCAGTTACCTTGCAGGCAAAGAAAGAACATGTAATTAATTAATGCCAGAGATTGTTGTCCATAATGAAGAAGACACAATGTACCGCCATTAGCCTCATTTGCATTCGATTCAGAAGACTCTTCTCATGCAAACACACCCGTTTTATTTTAGATTATTATTTAGGTGATGGATTAAAACCAGGAAGCTTGAACATAGCAAGAAACATTTTCTTCCAGTGCCTTTCACACATATCCAGTTTGGCATTCTGCACATTGTAGGCAGCTGAGAACAGTTGAAGATTTTGACCTTGAGATGAGTAATTAGAAGAGAAATCAATTCTAAATCATGAATGTCAACAAATACTTTAAAATATTATAATTGATTTTGGTCGGGCGTGGTGGCTCGTGCCTGTAATCCCAGCACTTTGGGAGGTTGAGGTGGGTGGATCACTTGATGTCAGGAGTTCGAGACCAGCCTGGCCAACATAGTGAAATCCCGTCTCTACTAAAAATACAAAAATTAGCTGGGCGTGGTGGCACATGCCTGTAATCCCAGCTACTCAGGAGGCTGAAGCAGGAGAATTGCTTGAACCTGGGAGGCAGAGGTTGCAGTGAGCTGAGATGGCGCCACTGTACTCCAGCCTGGGCGACAGACCAAGACTCCGTCTCAAAAAAAGAAAAAAAAAAAGATTTCATAGATGGAGGACAAAATAGAGCAAGGATTAAAAGCCACTCAATAGCTGCAAAATTGTGGACGCCTGAGCCTGGAATTCATTATCTGCAAAGTGGGAATATCATAACAGGGCCTACACTATGAACTTGTTCCCAGGATTGAGAGCTTTTGCATCATACTCTGCCCAGGAACTGAAAAAAACATAAGCAATCAATAAATAGTCCTGTTTATATTGGGTTGGTGCAAAAGTGATTGCAGTTTTTGCAATTTACTTTTAATGGCAAAAACCGCAGTGACTTTTGCACCAACCTATAATATTAGTCCTCTTTGGAAATAATTAGAAAATAGCCCTCAGGGGTTGCTGTAGTGGGGGTTAAATTTCTCCTCTACTCTCCTAGGATCTCCAGCTGGGCCTTAGAATTACACTGACATAAAACACATTAACAGGACCAAAGCCTGCAAATTCTATTTAATAATTTTTACATACATGGGAGGCTACGCAAGAAAAATCAAGACCCAAAGGAGTTAGGGTCTGTGGACTCAGAAAATCTGAGACAGGTCTCAGTTAATTTAGAAAGTTTTTTTTGCCAAGGCTGAGGACACACGTCTGTGACAGCCTCAGGAGGTCCCGATGACACATGCCCAAGATGGTCGGGGCACAGCTTGGTTATATACATTTTAGGGAGCCATTGGTTCGGTCTGGAAAGACGGATGCATCGTTTTTTTGTTTTGTTTTGTTTTGATATGGAGTCTTGCTCTGTCGCCCAGGCTGGAGTGCAGTGGCGCGATCTCGGCTCACTGCAAGCTCTGCCTCCCAGGTTCACGCCATTCTCCTGCCTCAGCCTCCCAAGTAGCTGGGACTACAGGCGCCCACCACCATGCCCGGCTAATTTTTTGTATTTTTAGTAGAGACGGGGTTCCACCGTGTTAGCCAGAATGGTCTCAATCTCCTGACCTCGTGATCCGCCCGCCTTGGCCTCCCAAAGTGCTGGGATTACAGGCGTGAGCCACCACGCCCGGCCAGTTGCATTCTTTTGAGTTTCTGATTAACGTTTCCAAAGGAGGCAATCAGATACGCATTTATCTCAGTGAGCAGAAGGATAACTTTGGATAGAAAGGGAGGCAGGCTTTATCCGAAGCAGTTCCCAGCTCAAATTTTCCCTTTAGCTTGGTGATTTTGGGGGCCCAAGATATTTTTCTTTCACAGGCCCAAAATTTATACATTAGGTTTGACAAAAAAGTAGTAAATTGTGAAAATGTGACAAGAAAAAGTGGTTTACTTGGGCCAGGGTAGTTAATTGTGGAAAAGTAACCAGGAAGATAAGGGTTCATTTAGCAAGGTTTGTTTGTATGAGTTTCTCTCAGCCTCAACTCTCCACCTCTAGTGATGACTGTCTTCCTCCTGGTACAGAAAGGGCACCTTTCACACAGTTTTACCTCCTACTTTAATAAAGAAGAAAAAAGGAAGATCAGAGTGTGTCATTACATCTGCAGTTTTTTCAAGTGCCTTTAATTCAAAATAATCAATATACCAAAGTGGTCTATTTTGGGGGGAACATATTCTGACATCCTTTATTGCTTTCACACATGGGGTACAACCCAAGTCAAAGGCAATAAGTATACTTAAGATAAACATCAGACAGAGAAAGGATCCCCTTTTAGGGTCCTGCAGGGTCCCAAGCATGGAAATAAAGGAAAATCTTGAATTCCATCCAGGGAAATTCCAGGCACCTAGCTTACCCTGAGAAGTAAATGAACAACTTGGTAAGTAAGCAAGAAGGTAATGGTAGCTTAAAACAATAGCCAAGGAAGTTAGAGTCTGGAGATGTTTGGTTTCCTATAGAAACTAAACATAACATTTTAGCATATGTCCCTGAGTTGTTTTTCAGAAACCCGGACCCCCACACAATGGATCTGCTGGCACACAGATCTCAGATAAGGAGAAACTGAGGCCTGAACTCTAACCTCCGTTTTTTTGCTCTAAACTTCTTCCTGAGGAGCTTGGAGGCAGTCACACGCACGAACCAGAGCTAACATTCTTTTCTGCTGATCCCAATTTTTTAGACAAAGCTTTGCCTCCTGAATCAATCGCAAGTCAAAAAGTCCTTGAATCCATCTATGACGTGTGGGCCTCCTGCTTTGAGAGATATCCTGTCTTTTTAGGTCAAACCAATGTATAGCCTCCATTTATTTATTTATTTATTTATTTATTTATTTATTTATTTAGAGATGGAGTTTCGCTCTTGCCTCCCAGGCTGGAGTGCAATGGTGCAATCTCGGCTCACTGCAACCTCCACCTCCTGGATTCGAGTGATTCTCCTGCCTCAGACTCCCAAGTAACTGGGATTACAGGAGCCTGCCACCATGCCCAACTAATTTTTGTATTTTTAGTAGAGAAGGGGTTTCTCCATGTTGGTTAGGTGGGTCTCGAACTCCTGACCTCAGGTGATCCACACGACTTGGCCTCCCAAAGTGCTGGCAGTATAGGAGTGAGCCACCGCACCTGACCTCCATGTATTGATTTATGATTTTGCCTGTAGCTTCTGCTTTCTTGGAAATTACCCCTGCCTTTAAAAACCCTTATCTGCAAGCCATCCGCAAGTTCAGGTCTTAAGCATGAGCTGCCCTGATTCTCCTTGCTTTGTACCTGCAAATAAGCAACTCCCTCTATGCCAATGCAAAACCCCAGTGTGGATATCTGGTCTTACTGTGCCGGGCAAGCAGACCCCAGTTTGGTTCTGAGAGACAGGACTAGCTGGATTTCCTAGGCCGACTAAGAATTCCTAAACCTAACACTGGGGAATGTGACCGCACCTACCTTTAAACACGGGGCTTGTAACTCAGCTCACACCCAACCAATCAGGTAGTAAAGAGGGCTCACTAAAATACAAATTAGGCTAAAGCAGGAGGTAAAGAAATAGTCAAATCATATATCGCCAGACAGCACAGTGGGAGGGACAGTGATCGGGATATAAACCCGGGCATTTGAGCAGGGAGCGGCAACCCCCTTTGGGTCCCCTCCCATTGTATGGGAGCTCTGTTTTCACTCTATTAAATCTTGCAACTGCACACTCTTCCGGTCAGTGTTTGTTACCGCTCGAGCTGAGTTTTCGCTCACCGTCCACCACCGCTGTTTGCCGCCATCGCAGACCCACAGCTGACTTCCACCCCTCCAGATCCGGCAGGGCGTCCGCTGGGCTACTGATCCAGCGAGGCGCCCATTGCCGCTCCCCATGGGGCTAAGGGCTCTCCATTGTTCCTGCGCGGCTAAGTGCCCTGGTTCATCCTAATTGAGCTGAACACTAGTCCCTGGGTTCCATGGCTCTCAGTGACCCATGGCTTCTAATAGAGCTGTAACACTTACTGCATCGCCCAAGGTTCCATTCCTTGGAATCCGTGAGGCCAAGAACCCCAGGTCAGAGAACAAAAGGCTTGCCGCCATGTTGGGAGTGGTCCGCTGCCATCTTGGGAGCTCTAAGAACAAAGACCTGCCGGTAACAGTTCTATAACAAGAACTGCCTTGCAAGGTAGGAACTCTGGTTATATATCCATTTTACCCATGAGGAAACTGAGATGAAGAGAGGTTAAATGACTTGCCTAAGGGCACACAGAACCAGAATTTGAACCCAACTTCCTCTGCACTATTCCATGACTATTTCTGTTGGAACGGGGCTTGAAGGTACTAATGATATATTTCCCACTGTCTGCAAAACTTTCAGGGCAAGGAAGAAGGGGTGGATTTGGGAACGGAATAGGTCATCAGGAGCCATTTTAGAACCCTCCACAAAGATAGCTAATAGGATCCCTGTGGGATCAAAGACAAAGCTCAATGACCCTCAGCCCCAAAGATCCACAGACAGCCAGGGTTCTAAAGCTGCCCAGACAAGGGCAGAGAAAAGAAGCCCAGGAGAAAAAAGATGGGGCTGTCTGGAACTCAGCCCATTCCTAGCCTAAAGGTGGAAGGAAAGGCTGGGCGCGGTGGCTCACGCCTGTAATCCCAACACTTTGGGAGGCTGAGGCAGGTGCATCACATGAGATCAGGTGTTCAAGACCAGTCTGGGCAACAGGCAAAATCCCGTCTCTTCAAAAAATTAACTGGACATGGTCACACACACCTGTAGTCCCAGCTACTCAAAAGGCTAAGCAGGGAGGATGTCTTGAGCCTGGGAGGGGAGGTTGCAGTGAGCTGAGAAAGTGCCACTGCACTCCAACCTGGGTGATGGAGCAAGACCCTGTCTCAAAAAAAAGGGGGGGGAGGGGGAGGACAGATAATATTGTGCATTAGGGTCATTGTAATACATGATTTTCTTTTTCTTTTTTCTTTTTTTTTCTTTTTTTTTTTTGAGACAGAATTTTGCTCTTGTCTCCCAGGCTGGAGTGCAATGGCACGATCTCAGCTCACCGCAACCTCCACCTCCTGGGTTCAAATGATTCTCCTACCTGAGCCTCCCAAGTAAGTAGCTGAGATTACAGGTGTGCGCCACCACATCTGGCTAATTTTTGTACTTTTAGTAGAGATGGGGTTTCACCATGTTGGCCAAGCTGGTCTTAAACTCCTGACCTCAAGTAATTCACCCACCTCGTCCTCCCAAAGTGCTGGGATTATGGGCGTGAGCCACCACGGCCGGCCCATTGTAATACATGAATTTCATGAAGGATTTTTCTCAAACCATATTTTTATCTGGTTACACAAGTAATACATATTTATTAGAATTATCTTGGGAAATATACACAAGTAAAAATAATACCACCACCAGACACAACCACATTTAATAGTCTGATGTATTCATTTCTGTTTTGTTTTATCTAAATACATACATTTTAATACCAAAAAATGCTATTATCCTGTTCTTGCTATTCTGTAGCCTGCTTTTCCAGGTAATATTTCATTCACCTTTTCCCAAAGCATGAGTGTTTCCCCCTGAGTTCCATTTAACAACTGCAGTTCCCCCTGAGCACATTTAACAACTGCAGGTACAGTAGGTCCCCAGCTTTGCACATGTATTCGGACTTACTTAAACAGTCTAATTTTGAGATGTCAGGGTGGCTTCTAGATTTTTTTTGCTATTATGAACAATGCTTCTTGTACAAACATATTTACCAAAGTCATGATTATCTCCCTAGAATAAATTCCTAGATGAAACTGCTAGGCCAAACGACATGCTTGTTTTCAAGGCTTAAATGAATTCTGCCAAATGTATTGAATTGAAATGAACACTGCACTTCAGTAAAGATGCTCTGATTTATATTCCCACTAGCAATGTATGAGGATGCTCTCTTCAAAACCAAGGTGTGAAAAGCTGCTTGGTTATTGAATGCTAGCAGCTCTGTTAATGTAGATTAATAGTTAAAATACAACTAGATTAGAGCAAGAACAAGTCTGTTCTGTCCTCTCTAAAGGGTTTACTCACCTACCTCCCGGGTTTTTTTGCTTTTGTTTTTGTTTTTGTTTTTGAGACAGGATCTCATTCTTTCGCCCAGGCTGGAGTGCAGTGGCACAGCCTCGACTTACTGCAGTGTTGACCTCCTGGGCTCAAGCAATCCTCCCACCTCAGCCTCCCAAGTAGTTGGGACCACAGGCATATGCCACCATGCCCAGCTAATTTTTGTATTTTTTGTAGAGATGGGGTTTCACCATGTTGCCTAGGCTGGGCTCAAGCGATCCGCTCTACTTAGTCTTCCGAAGTGTTGGGATTACAAGTAGGAGCCACCGCACCAGGCCCCTTTCTTCTTCCTATATCTTTATTACTTCGGATAAAAAGAACAGCCCTAATTCTATCATTGGTTTACACAGGAAACAATGGTACCCACTTCCTATAGGACGCTGGGTGCTGCTGAGGTAATCCATTATCTAGATTTTATCTAACTTTGTAAATTCTTATCCTTTTAAAGGCATGTTGCTAATTAAGGGAACATTACTTTGAAGGTAAGAACTCTATTGACATATTAAACAACAGGACTCCTGGACAAATCACCCATCAGCTCCAAGAATCCCTCTTCCTGGATAACTACTTTAACTATCTGACACTATATAAAAATTCACATCTTAAATCACAACAGGGGCTGGGCATGGTGGCTCAAGCCTGTAATCCCAGCCCTTGGGGAGGCTGAGGTGGGCGGATAGCTTGAGCTCAGGAGTTGGAGACTAGCCTGGGCAACATGGCGAAACCCCATCTCTACAAAATAAAAAAATACAAAAATTAGCCTGGCGTGGTGGCATGCATCTGTAGTCCCAGCTATTCAGGAGGCTGAGGCAGGGGGATGGCTTGAACCTGGGAGGCAGAGGTGGTAGTGAACTGAGATTGCACCACTGCACTCCAGCCTGGGCGACAGAGTGAGACCCTATCTCAAATAAATAAATAAAATAAAATAAAATAAAATCCCAGCAGGTATGACCTCTTTGGGTTCCTTTACTGATAAGAAAGACTCTTTGATTCCAAAAGCCTAAAAAGTCCAGGATCATAGTAAGGAAGGATTGGAAGCTACTGATCAAATACTTGGTGGAGTTCCAGGATCAATCTATTTCCAGTGTGTTGCAGAAAAGTTAATTTATGGCAGAAAACCATGATTAATTTCAGAATAAACAATATTCAGACTCAAAGTGAGTTATGAGTTACTGGAGAGAGGAGGCACATTTAGTAGAACATGACTTATTCAGACATGTAATTCTTTCCTTAGCTCAGTAAAGCTAAGTATGGCAAAAATGCCAGAAACAGCTTTGCAATGGGAATATGCAATTTAAAATAAGTAAAGATTATTCCCAGGTAGTTTATTGCTTTAACTACATTGAGGCATGTCCCTGTAGCAGACAGCATAATGGCTCTCATTTCATTTTTGGTTTGTGCCAAATATCTTCAGTTAGTTTTGCTTTATTGGCTTCATGCAATTTATTGCAGCTCTAGAATGCGATTGTAATGCAACTAGTATTTTAGTTTTATCTTCCACTGGTAATTTTTCTTCTTTATGGTAACTATACTGTCTGCATTAATACAAGCCATAGAAATTATACAGTGTGGAACCTTGTTTTCAGCAGCTTCCTCTCTCATGAAGAGCAGAACCACAAGAGCCAACTCCCATAACCCAGTGATAGCCAAGGATGTGCCAGGGGATGACATAATGAACAGCATTTGCAATTCAGTAAAGTGTTTTATTTGATGAAGAGTTGCTAGAAAGCCTAATTTTCTCATTGATTCAAAAAGAGGCAAGATGTTCTTCAAGATCTTCTAAGTATTCCTCAAATCAATCCCTGGAATACAAACCCAGTAGCCAAGGTGGCAGCATTTGGGGAAGATGAGGACTCTTCTGTTATTCTTTGAAAATACATTTATTTAGCCTGGTTTGCATTTATTGATTTGACCAACCTTAGAACAGCACTGTAATCTGCTAAGGAATTATTTAACCATTTCCAATTTCCTGAAAGTTGCGTAAGTGATGTGCTAAATGTAATTTTACCTATAGCTAGCCCAGATCAATAATACACATCATTTCCTTAGGGGGTGGTTTTCTGTGAAAAGATGGAAGAGGACTCAATCTTCCAGTCCTCAGAACTTCTTATTCTAGGCACCTTTGCAGAGCTGGTACAATAAAGAAACCAAATTAAGGCAGATAAATCATTTGGGCCCTCCTGAAAACATATTTCTCAACTTTTGTCCTTGTATCCTGCCAAAATTTTGCTGAGTAATTCATCCCACAGGCTATGGTGTATGTCTTTTTTTTTTCTATAGAGATAGGGTCTCACTACATTGCCCAGGCTGATCTGGTCCTCCTGGGCTCAAGTGATCCTCCCACCTTGGCCTCTCAAAGTGCTGGTATTGCAGGCATGAGCCACCATGCCTGGCCTAAGGTGTATATCTTAAAGGATCCCCTATTAAAATCCATATTTCCAGGGAGGTGTAACACAGCAAACTATTATCAGTCATTACTTTTTAATAAAATGACATCATTAACTTGATGTAAAAATACATAGCAGAGCTATGATAGAATAGCTCTGAAGGAGGATAGGATACTTATGTTTTGAGTGCAGAAGGAAATATAGGATACTTACGGGATACTTAGGTTTTGAGTGCAGAAGTGAAAATTCAAAACATGAGCTTTGCACACAGTAATCTCAGCACAGTCCGTTGGGGGTCCAGAGACAGCCATGAAACATCCCAGAAGAGTGAGCACTCACGGACAGGAGGTAGACAGTTTGACTAAACCGTGACTGTTCTTGCCCTAACCAAACATCCGGTCCTAACTTACAACCTATCTGCCATCCTGTCTTTTTTTTTTTTTTTTTTTTTTTGAGACGGAATTTCACTCTTATTGCCCAGACTGGAGTGTAATGGTATGATCTTGGCTCACTGCAACCTCCACCTCCCAGGTTCAAGCAATTCTCCTGCCTCAGCTTCCCAAGTAGCTGGGATTACAGGCATGTGCCACCACACCCAGCTTATTTTGTATTTTTAGTAGAGATGGGGTTTCACCATGTTGGTCAGGCTGGTCTCGAACTCCTGACCTCAGGTGATCTGCCTGCCTCAGCCTCCCAAAATGCTGGGATTACAGGCGTGAGCCACCACACTCGGCCATCCTGTCTTGCTGTGAGTAAACACCCATGTCTTCCAAATAAGTTCCAAATTTTAAGTTTTAAAAAATAATATTCTGGGCTGGGTATGGTGGTTCATGCCTGTAATCCCAGCACTTTGGGAGGCCAAAACAGGAAGGTTTCTTGAGGCCAGGGGTTCAAGACCAACCTGGGCAACATAGTGAGTCTCTACAAATTATAAACATAAATAAATAAATAATAAGATATATTCTTGGGTCCAAAGGATTCAAAAAATATAACAACAAGGAAAACAATTCCTGATCATACATTAGAGGCAGACTAAACATATTCCTGATTGTCATCTAACACACCTGAGCCACCAGGAGAATGGTGACTTGGTCTTTTAGTTTGAATGTCAAGGAAGAAAAAATACAAACTTGGCAAAATTAGGGAATTGGCATCAACATTGGAACCTAGAGGAAGCAACATAGAAATTTGTCAAGTTCAAAGCCTCTCATAAATAACGTCATTTGCCAAAAAATTTACTTTTAATGGAATTTGGACTTAGCTTCAGTAGATTTGGAAGTCACATTTGGCTGCCCATAACGTGACTTCTGTAAGAAACTGTAAAATAACAAATAACTACTGACAACAGAGAGAGTTAGTCTTTTGAAGCTCACAGTCTGAAGATGACCTCTCCATGTTTCATTCATTTTCATTTCATTCATTCCCAGAATTCTCTATAGCTGAGTATAGGAAACTCCTCTACTACAGTACACCTCATTATCTCTAAGGCAAAGTGTAGATGTCTACCCCAACTCTTACTGAAACTTCTACACAAAATGACTCTTCAGATTACAGAGCCTTCAGAGTGAACATAAAGAGTTCACTCCCTCTTCAAATAGAGCTTTCTGTTATCTCTCAAAGATGATAGACTTGTTAACTTGCTAGATTTATCCTCAGAATTTCATACTGTCTTTCTTCTCAGCAAGCCACAGAACTGGTCCCCTCTCTCTCTCGCTCTTTTTTTTTTTTTTTTTTTTTTTGAGACAGGGTCTCACTCTGTCACCCAGGCTGGAGCATGGTGGTATAATCTCAGCTCACTGCAGCCTCGACCTCCTGGGCTCAAGTGATCCTCCTGCCTCATCCTCCCAAGTACCTGGGACCACAGGCATGCACCACCATACCTGGCTAATTTTTGTATTTCTTGTAGAGACAGGGTTTCACCATGTTGCCCAGGCTGGTCTCGAACTCCTGGGCTCAAGCTATCCTCTGGCCTCACCCAAAATGCTGGGACCCAGATAGAGCTGGTCCTCTCAACCAACATATTGTATCAGGAACAAAAACGTTCTAGGTACAACTTATCCTCGAGTACAACTCTACACTCCGCTTGCTGCATATGATACATCTTCTTGAGGAGTTAGTTATGAACAATGTAAGACTTCCTAACACATTATTTGTTAGTCTGTCTTCAGCTCTTGATTCTGTGGACAGGGGCTATCTTTGCACTAAATTTGATGATCTTGGCAAAAATCCCAGGTGATTAACACTCCCTAAACCTGTATCATAATACCACTGCCAGAATCAGAATGACTAGGAATGATCTTAGGCCAGACAAAATTCCATTTATTTATTTATTTATTTATTTATTTATTTAGAGAAGGAGGATTTTGCTCTTGTCATCCAGGCTGGAGTGCAATGACATGATCTTGGTTCACTGCAACCTCCGCCTCCTGGGTTCAAGTGATTCTCCTGCCTCAGCCTCCCTAGTAGCTGGGATTACAGGCTCCCACCACCACGCCTGGCTAATTTTTGTATTTTTAGTAGAGATAAGGTTTCACTATGTTGGCTAGGCTAGTCTCGAACTCCTGACCTCAGGTGATCTGCCCGCCTCAGCCTCCCAAAGTGCTGGGATTGCAGGTGTGAGCCACCATGCCCGGCCGAAATTCCATTTTTAAACAGAATAAAACAGGACTGTCTGAGTTCTACTTCATTTTAAACTTGTACCTATGATGCAACTTTATTCCTATCAGCGATGCACGGGATGCCTGCCCTCCCACCGCCATTAATAAGAAGATGGATGACTACATCAGTGGGGAAGCTTTACAACACGAAGAGGCTTAAGATCCAGGTCAAACTGTCGACTAATCGCCATCAAAAAGAGCAATTCAAATTCAACTATGCCAAAAAGAAATGATTGATTTGGGCAGGAGTCTGTCAATGTTCAAATGGACAACACTACAAACCTCCATCCATCAAGTTAAATGCAGGCTGTAATCTGAGGCTACAAGTTTTAGCTAATTCATCCTGGTGGCCTTATCAGCAGGCTGTGTGCTTCCAAAGAGGCTTCTAAAGGGACTCTCCGGAGGCCACTTCGTGTCATGGAAGTCTTTTGATTCTCCTGGCCAAAATGCTCCCTTCCTGGTTCTATGATGGGAAATTATGGAGTTTCAAATGAGAACTTCTCTGAGTATTGAAATCCTAGCTTCATTTTGAGGGAAATGTTTTCTTTTTCTTTGTTTTTTTGAGACAGGGTCTCACTCTGTTGCCCAGACTGGATGGAGTGCAGTGGCCCAGTCTGAGCTCACTGCAGCCTCAACTTCCTGGGCTCAAGCAATCCTCCTGCCTCAACCTCCCAAGTAGCTGGGACTCCAGGAATGTGCCATCTTGCCTGGCTATTTCTTTTTTTTTTTTTTTTTCTGGCTATTTCTTTTTTTAGAGATGGGATCTTACTATGTTGTCCAGGCCAGTCTCAAACTCCTGGCCTCAAGTGATCCTCCCACCTCAGCCTCCTGAGGAGCTGGGATTACAGATGTAAACCACTGAGCCTAGCCAAGGGAAATGTTTTCTTATCTGTAACCTCCCCTGTGAGTTATACCCATGCAAAGGGAAAGTAATCTCTGCTTCAGGGCAAAAGCAAAGGCTTTACAACTTTGTTCCTGAATAGAAAGTAATCTTTGTCAACTGGGATCTAACATATAAAATACATGTCTATTACTTGACTGGATGACAACACAATGGATCCTTCCTTGAAAACTTATACCCTAAAGCTAACTCTGCACAATCAATCAGAAAAGGAGGAACTTTTTGTTTGTTTCTTTGTGGGTTGTCTGTTTATCTTAAGGAAATTGATTAACTCTTTGAGTCACCATGGGATGGTGAATCGGGTTTGAAATTCAGCTTCCAGGAGCCATCCCCAAAATCACACCGCAGAACTGAACTGATGAGGGAACCATTGGGAGTGACCCTGAGCTCTGGACACTTCAATTGGCCCCTCCACTTTAACACAAGGAACTTCACCCACCCTGCCACTACTACTGCTGCCTTCAGTACTGAGAGAGCTCCACACCCCTGCCTTGTAACTTTGGGACCAGAGCCAGTTTGACATGGTTATAACCAATGGCACAGCCTAAGTCACATGCCTGAACGCTAGTTTCAAAGGACACTAGGAAAACAAATTTAGATTATTTTTAAGGACCTGGCATGTTCAGTCATGCCTGTAATCCCAGCATTTTGGGAGGCCAAGGCAAGAGGATCACTTGAGGCCAGGAGTTCAAGACCAGCCTGGACAACATAGCAAGACTCCATTTCTACAAAAAAAAAAAAAAAATTAATCAGCCAGGTGTAATGATGCACACTTGTAGTCCCAGACACTCAGGAGGCTGAGGTGGGACAATCTCTTAAGCCCAGGAGTTCGAGGCTTCAGTGAGCTATGATTGCACCACTGCACTCCAGCCTGGCTGACAGAGCGAGACTCTTGTCTCTAAAAGAAAAAAAGTGGGCCGGGCGCGGTGGCTCACGTCTGTAATCCCAGCACTTTGGGAGGCCGAGGCAGGCAGATCACGAGGTCAGGAGATCGAGACCATCCTGGCTAACATGGTGAAACCCCGTCTCTACTAAAAATACAAAAAAATTAGCCGGGCTTGGTGGCGGGAGCCTGTAGTCCCAGCTACTCAGGAGGCTGAGGCAAGAGAATGGCGTGAACCTGGGAGGTGGAGCTTGCAGTGAGCCGAGATCGCACCACCGCATTCCAGCCTGGGTGACAGAGCAAGACTTTGTCTCAAAATTAAATAAATAAATGAATAAATAAATAAATGAAAAAAAGTGATAGTTTTAGGGCTTATACAGGGTAGTTTTTGCCCTAAACCAAGATTCAAAAAATGAGGCTTTTCCTAAGCAGAGAATGGGATTCAGTTGCTACATGACTGTGATGAATGACAAATATCCACCCCAAGTACCATTCAGGAACTATACTTCCAAAGTCTCATTTTTATAATAACTGGTCCTGTATTTATGAATAAGAATGTATACACAGCACAAGCTGGCCATAGGTCAACAATGTCAGTGGTTCCAAAACCTAACTATTCATCAGAATGATTAGAGGATCTTTGTTCAGGCTCCAGGTATAGAGATTCTGATTCAGGGGGTCTAAATCAGGGCTTCAGAATGTGCACTTTTAACAAATCCCCCAGGTAACTCAAACATGATCAGGCTCCAGTCATTTGGAAACTAGATTTTTTTTCTTTCTAAAAAATTTTTATATTTTTTAATAAATAGAAACGGGGTTTTACTGTGTTGCCCAGGATGGTCTCCAACTCCTGGGCTCAAGCGACCCACCTGCCTTGGCCTCCCAAAGTGCTAGGATTACAGTTGTGAGCCACCTCACCCAGTCTGAAAACTACTTGAAACCCTGTCCCTACACTCACAGCCAACAGAAAGCAAATACTGGCCTAACATTAGTTTTGCTCCTAAAGTCCAAGAAATGGCCACATAAAGAATCCATTCTCATATTCTATAAATTTACTATAAAAGATATCAAATTCAGGGAAAACTAATAGGTAATTAATAATTTAAGCTTGTCTATATGATGAATTTTTGTGTGGAATTTTATTTTTATTTTTATTTATTTATTTATTTATTTATTTTGAGACAGAGTCTAGCTCTGTCACCCAGGCTGGAGTGCAGTGGTGCAATCTCGGCTCACTGCAACCTTCGCCTCCCAGGTTCAAGCAATTCTCCTGCCTCAGCCTCCTGAGTAACTGGGATTACAGGCATGTGCTGCCATACCTGGCTAATTTTTGTATTTTTAGTAAAGGTGGGGTTTCACCATGTTGTCCAGGCTAGTCTCAAAGTCCTGACCTCAAGTAATCTGCCTGCCTTGGCCTCCCAAAGTGCTAGGATTACAGGCATGAGCCACTGCGCCTGGCCAAATGCAAAATTTTTAAATGGTCATTGCAAATAGTTTTTTCGTTTGTTTGTTTGTTTTTTTTGAGACAGGGTCTCACTTTGTCACCCAAGCTGGAAAGCAGCCACGCAATCTCAGTTCACTATAACTTCCACCTCCTGGACTCAAGTGATCCTCCCACCTCAGCCTTCTGAGTAGTTGGGACCACAGGTGTGCGCCACCATGCCCAGCTAATTTTTGTGTTTTTTTTAGAGACAGGGTTTTGCCATGTTGCCCCGGCTGATCTTGAACTGGCCACAAGCAATCCACCTGCTTTGGCCTCCCAAAATGCTGGGGTTACAGGAGTAAGCCACCATGCCTGGCCTGCAAATAGTTTTTAATAGCATGAGAAAGTGTTTATTATACAATATTAAGAGAAAAAATCATGACACTCAATATTATGTGTGTGGGCGGGGGGGTAGGGGAGTTGGTATATAACATGCTTCCAACCATGTAAAATAAATGTATGCATAAATAACAAAAGCAAGATTTAATATGTGTATTCCATGCCTTCCCTTCTCCACCCACTAATGGCAAAGAGGCCAAAAAAAAAAAAAAATTAAGAGGAGGATTGAAGTAAAGAAGCTAAGTCTGTCAAGATAATAAAAGGCTGGGGAAGAAGGGGAAGTAAACAGTAAAGACTGCAGTTGCAAAGGAGAGGAAGTATCTTTTGAAAAGAGGATCTGTTGCCAGGTGCGGTGGTTCATGCCCATAATCCCAGCACTCTGGGAGGCCGAGGCAGGGGGGTCACTTGAGGTCAGGAGTTTGAGAACAGCATGGCCAACGTGGTGAAACCTTGTCTCTACTAAAAATACAAAAATTAGCCAGGCGTGGCAGCAGGTGCCTGTAATCCCAGCTATTCGGGAGGCTGAGGCAGGAACCCGGGAAACGGAGGTTGCAGTGAGCTGAGATCATGCCACTGCACTCCAGCCTGGGTGACAGAAGGAGACTCTGTCTCAAAAAAAAAAAAAAGGTAGACATGACCTATCACACTGATCTTTTTTTTTTTTTTTTTTTTTTTGAAACGGAGTCTCGCTCTGTCGCCCAGGCTGGAGCAGTGGCACGATCTTGGCTCACTGCAACCTCCGCCTCCCGGGTTCAGGCCATTCTCCTGCCTCAGCCTCCCAAGTAGCTGGGACTACAGGCGCCTGCAACCACACCTGGCTAACTTTTTGTATTTTTAGTAGAGACGGGGTTTCACCGTGTTAGCCAGGATGGTCTCGATCTCCTGACCTCGTGATCTGCCCGCCTTGGCCTCCCAAAGTGCTGGGATTACAGGCATGAGCCACCGTGCCCAGCCCACACTGATCTAATCAAGAATTTTTCATGGGAATTCTGGAATATAGATTCTCTCTTCTCTACTGAACATGGAAGAGGAAGCTTGCAGACCTGGGACAGAGTTTCTCAATCTCAGCAGCACTGACATTATGGGCTGAGCAATTCTTTGATGTGCTGTCCTGTACATTAAGGGATGTTTAGCAGCACCCCTGTTCTCTACCCACCAGATGCTAGCAGCATCACATCCCTTTCCCAGAGTTGTAACAAGCAAAAGTGTTTCCCGACATTGCCAAATGTCCCCTAAGGGGAAATATAAAATCACCCCCAGTTGAGAGCCACTGTCCTGGAAGTAGCTGAGTGTCAACCTAGGACGAAGAGTCGGAAGCCCTGCTGAGAACAGAGCCAGCTTGGAACAAACCGAGCTGAGACATGGAGGAGGGAGGAAGAGTGGGAGTCGGCCTGGTGCAGTGGCTCACGCCTGTAATCCCAGCACTTTGAAAGGCCGAGGCGGACAGATCACCTGAGGTCAGGTGTTCAAGACCAGCCTGGCCAACATGGTGAAACCCCGTCTCTACTAAAAATACGAAAATTAGGCCGGGTGCGGTGGCTCAGGCCTGAAATCCCAGCACTTTGGGAGGCCGAAGCGGGCGGATCACCTGAGGTTAGGAGTTCGAGAGCAGCCTGGCCGACATAGTGAAACTTGGTCTCTACTAAAAATACAAAAATTAGCCAGACGCAGTGGTGCTCACCTGTAGTCCCAGTTACTTGGGAGGCTGAGGCTGGAGAATCGCTTGAACCCGGGAGGCAGAGGTTGCACTGAGCTGAGATCGCACCACTGCACTCCAGCCTGGGTGACAGAGTGAGACTCTGTCTCAAAAAAAAAAAAAATTAGCTGGCGTCGTGGCGCCTGTAATCCCAGCTACTCAGGAGGCTGAGACAGGAGAATCGCTTGAACCCGGGAGGCAGAGGTTGCAGTGAGCCAAGATCATGCCACTGCACTCCAGCCTGGGCAACAGAGCCAGACTTCACGTCAGAAAAAGAGTGAGAGTCACATTGTTTACGTCCAGAAAAAGCCTCCCCTGAAGCCAGAATTAATTCTCACCTCTGTTATCAAATTGAACTGGGGTTCACTCACCCAGTGCAATATGACCACAACATCCACACCAAGGTTTGCAGCAGAAGAACGGAAGGCATTTATTTGCAAGCTCCAAGCAAGGAAAATCAAGCAGCTCATGCTTAAGACCCGAACTCCCTGATGGCTTACAGGTAAGGGTTTTTAAAGGCTAGGAGGCAGAGGCTACAGGCAAAGTTATAAATCAATACACAGAGGCTACACATTGGTTTGACCTAAACAGGCAGGCAGACATCTCAAAATGGGGGCCCATAGGTCATAGGTGGATTCAAATATTTTTCTGATTTGCGATTGGTTAAGGAAGCAAAACCTTATCTAAAAGTTTGGGATCAGTAGAAAAGAACGTTAGCTCTGGCTCACAGGTGTGACTTCCTCTAGGCCCCTCAGGAAGAAATTTAGAACAGAGAATAATGGTCAGGGTTCAGGCCTCAGTATCTGAGGTCTACATTCCAGAGGATCTGTCTGATGGGGGTCCGGATTTCTGAAAAGCAACTCGGAGACATACGTGAAGATGTTATCTTTATTTCTATAGGGGGTCAAACATCTCATGATTTTAACTTCCGTGGCTATTGTTTAAAGCTACGATTACTTTTTTGCTTATCAAGTTGCTCATTGACTTCTCAGGGCTAGCTAGGTGCCTGGAAATTCCCTTGAAGGAACTCAAGATTTTTCTTCATTTCCTGCAGGGATCTGTGCTCCGTCTCACCTCTACATAAACTTAGAAATCCCCCTCTTAAGTTTTATAATTAAGCTAGTTTAGGTTGAATTTTCTGTTGTTTGCATCAGAAATCACCCTCTCTAATGCCCTTAAAGGTTTTCAAGAGAATCAAGTAAAGTCTTGTGGCGAAATTGAATAAAAGAATTAGAAACCCTAAAAGCATCCTCAGCTGGTTAAAGGGATGGATTATCTGTCTGGAGTTCCAGGTAGTAAAAGAGTCACCTGAAATATATCAAAATTCCAAGGTAGTACTATTTGCAGGAGTAGAGACCATGTTCACAACCACTCATAGGATGCAGGAACCATGTACTGAGAGTTCGATATACACACTAGCCTGGAACCTACAAAATCCAAAGGGTAAACATAGAATCATCTAGTAGAGACACCTCTAAAACTCACGGCAAATGGGTCACCCAAACCATTGGATTGATCACCCAATCCATTTCCACTCAAGATGGGCTCTCAGTAAATATACATAGGTATATTTAACAGGTTGAGATCCTATATTGATAGATACAGGATCCCAAAGTAAGTTGTAAGGCAGCTAGGCAGCTCTTTATGTAGAAATTTCTTCTTTTTTTTTTTTTTTGAAATGGAGTTTCACTCTTGTCGCCCAGTCTGCAATGGCGCTATCTCGGCTACCTGCAACCTCCGCCTTCCAGGTTCAAGAGATGATTCTCCTGCCTCAGCCTCCTGAGTAGCTGAGATTACAGGTGCCTGCCACCAAGCCCAACTAATTTTTGTATTTTTAGTAGAGACGGGGTTTTGCCATGTTGGCCAGGCTGGTCTCGAACTCCTGACCTCAGGCAATCCACCCACCTTGGCCTCCCAAAGTGCTGGGATTACAGGTGTGAGCCACCGCACCTGGCCCTATGTAGAAATTTCTAAGTGTTACCAAATGCTAGAGATTTGGTCTAGGTCCTGTTGCTCACTGCACAGAAAGCCAATCACTGAGACAACGAATATTGCCAGGGAAGCGATGCTTTATTCAGGTGACATCAGCCAGGAGATGGGAGATAAGTCTCAAATTCGTCTCCTCAACCAACTAAAATTGTGGGTTTATATAGCAGGGAAGGAATGTGACTGTGTGCAGAAAAACAGGAATTAGAGAGGGGTAAGGAGGCAATTATGATGATGAGGGATCTGGCATCTCATCATCTGGATGTGATGATCTGGTGAGTTCCAGTACGTTGATACTATCTGGTATCTACTGAGGGTTGATTCCCTGAGAAAGGATCTCGGATAAGACAAATGTTAAGCTTCACGCTTTAAGATCAAGATGGCCCGGCCAGACGCACTGGCTCATGCCTATAATCCCAGCATTTTGGGACAGACAGGCAGACAGATCACCTGAGGTCAGGAGTTCGAGACCAGCCTGGCCAACATGGTGAAACTCCTTATCTACTTAAAAAAAAAAAAAAAATTAGCCAAGCGTGGTGGCACATGCCTGTAATCCCAGCTACTCAGGAGGCTGAGACAGGAGAATCACGTGAAGTGGGGAAGCAGAGGTTGCAGTGAGCTGAGATCGTGCTATTGCACTCCAACCTGGATGACAAGAGTGAAACTCTGTCTCAAAAACAAACAACCCATAAACATTGGTTATATGGGGAAACTGGGCCAGTTTCAAAAGGAGGTGGTCAAGAATTGAGTTAAACGAACCTTAAACCCCTCACCCGCATCAAGGAGGGGACATGGGTATTGGTGGAAGATTTCTCTGGAGAAAGTTATTGGTGCGCCATGACCCCCTCCATGCAATAGGACAACATAGAGGAAGGTAAGGGAAGACAAGGTAAGGGCAGACAGAATGGACTCCCACCTGAGAAACCTCATGGGTGAGCAGTCTGGTGGGCTGTGGATAGAGGAGCCAAAGGAAAGCAGCTGTTTGGAGATCTGCCTGCCCTCCATAATGTGTTGGGCCAAAGAATGCATGCGGGTTTTCCATGGACTGGATGTGGGCCACATGCAAGAGAGGATTGACATAAGGCCTACTGAAGGATGTGAACAGGACTTGGCAGAGAGGAACTGAAGGAACCACCAGATTCTAAGAACTGTGAAAAGAGCATTAGACAACCACAGGCATGTGTGTCACCCAGATGAAGGGAGCATTGGACAGAAGGGGAAGGACATCTCAGAAGAACCCACAACACACCTGTATTAGTCAGAGTTCTCCAGAGAAACAGACCAATAGGATAGCTGTAGACCTAGAAGAGGAGATTTATTATGGGAATTGGCTCACATGATTATGGAGGCTGAGAAGCACCACAATACACCATCTGCAAGCTGGAGAACTAGGAAAATTGTGGTTTAATTCAGTCCAAGTCCAAAGGTCTGAGCCTCAGGGCAGCCAGTGGAATAACTCCCAGTTTACAGCCAAAGGCCTGAGAAGCAAGGAGTAGGAAGGGAACAAAGGTGTAAGTCTCAGAATCGAAAGCATGAGAACCAGGGGTGCTAACGTCTGAGGGCAGAATATAAACGTCCCTGCTTAAAAAGAGAGAGAGAATTTGCCTTTCTTCCATCTTTTTATCCTATTCTGGCCCTTAGTGAATTGAATGATGCCCATTCACATTGGTGAGAGCAGATCTATCTACTTTGCTCAGTCCCTCAATTCAAATGCTAACCTCTTTAGGAAACACACTCACAGACAACCCAGAAATAATGTTTTACCAGCTATCTGGGCTTCCCTTAGCCCAGTCACATTGACACATAAAATAAATCATCACACCACCTACAGAAACAAGTCAACTGTAAACTCTTGCTAGGCTCAGATAGCACAAAATCATCTGATGACAATACCTATCAGTTAGGAATGTTCTCCTCCTCTCATCTTTTCCTCAGCCCCACAGGGATCAGAAACCATTTTCACTGAGCTGGCAGAGAAAACCTGGAGAGAAAAAGAACCCAATCATGACCCCTGATATGATTTGGCTGTGTCCCCACCCAAATCTCATCTTGAACTGTAGTTCCTATAATCCCCACGTGTCATGGGAGGGACCCAGTGGGAGGTAATTGAATCATGGGGGTGGGTTTTCCCATGCTGTTCTCGTGATAGTGAATAAGTCTCACGAGATCTGATGGGAGTTCCCCTGCACACGCCCTCTTGCCTGCCACCATGTAAGATGTGCCTTTGCTTCTCCTTTGCCTTCCACCATCATTGTGAGGCCTCCCCAGCCATGTGGAACTGTGAGTCCATTAAACCTCTTTTTCTTTATAAATTACCCAGTCTCAGGTATGTCTTTTTTTTTTCTTTTTTTAGATGGAGTCTCACTCTGTTGCCCAGGCTGGAGTGCAATGGTGCAATCTCAGCTTACTGCATGCAACCTCTGCCTCCCAGGTTCAAGTGATTCTCCTGCCTCAGCCCCCAAAGTAGCTGGGGTTACAGGCATGCACCACCACATCCAGCTCATTTTTGTACTTTTAGTAGAGGCAGAGTTTTGCCATGTTGGTCAGGCTGGTCCCGAATTCCTGACCTCAGGTGATCCGCCTGCCTCTCGGGTATATCTTTATTAGCAGTGTGAGAATGGACTAACATAACCCCCTTCCCAGGAAACCTTCTGCAGGAAGAGGTCAAAATTCTGCCTTTGAAGGAAAATGATGTGCTGATGATGACATGGGACTGGACAAATGCAGAATGGATACTGTGCTTTTGAAGTAAAATGCTTATAGGACTTATTATTTCCTAAGTGTATAAAAAAAGTCATGGGGGCTGCTGCACAAGTCTTCATCCAAGGGTAGTGGAAGAACTAGAACAACTAAAGTTTAAAGGGGTAACAGAAATAAAATTACAAATCACTTGAGGAAACAACTCCTGATGAGAGAGACAAAAGAAGTAACAAATTGCACAAGGTACACATTCAAGAAATCTATCTAGGGGGTCATAAAAAAATCCTGAAGGTAACTGTGCTTTAATTTTTGAATACAAAGGAATAGAATTTATTAGATAAGGCTGGGCATTATGACAAAGGAAAAAAAATTGAAAAATCTTGGCTGGGTGTGGTGACTGATGTCTGTAATTGTCCCAGCACTTTGGAAGGCCAATGTGGGAGGATCATTGAGGACAGAAGATTGAGACCAGCCTGGGCAACATAGCGAGATCCCATCTTTACAAAAAATGTTTTTAAATTAGCCAGGTATGTTGGCATGCACCTGTAGTCCCAGCTACTCGGAAGCTGAAGTGGGAGTTCGAGGCTGCAGTGAGCTATGATTGCACCACTGCACTCCAGCCTGGGTGACAGAGCAAGACCCTATCTCCAAAAAGAAGGAAAAAAGAAAAAAGAAAAAACCTAGCTAAGTGGAAGTTTACAAATCAAAACTACAGTCCATGAAATTAAAATAATGAGAGGATAGGTTGGACAGTGGACTTGACATTGGTGGGGAAAAAATTAGTGAACAGGAAGATAAATCTTAGGAAATCATCTAGAGCTTCTCTGAGCTTTTCAAAGATGCTGAAATCCCATCACCAGTGTGTTTCTCCGTATCTGCTCCCCACATATTTCCTCCCAGTGTCCCCCAGTTCATATCAGCCAAGTCCTGCAATTGGAGGCAGTGGGTGTGCTATTTCCTCCCAGAGCCATGACTGTTTTTCCTCACTGGGCTGACCTGATTCTAACTCTCAGTCAGAAGGCAATAAGCAACAGTCATACAGAAGTGAAAAATGAATTATTAGGCAGTTAGTGAGGGTAAGAGAGTCCTCAGTAAGGTTTCCCTTTTAATAAAAAAGCAACCCCCAAATTATTCATTTTCTAACAAAAAGCAGCCTGAAAAATCAAACTGCAAACATAGATAAGCAACCTGGAAGCTTGCATAGGTAAATGCTGTGCCAATAGAAAAGGGATACCTGGAAGCCAGGTATCAACAACATGGAGGCTGCAACTTCCTTTTTCTTTGTCAACCACATGTACAGTAAAGGAACAGGCAACATGGCACCAGCCAGGTAGAGAATCCATCTACATAATAAAAGATTAGAGTGGGGTGGCCAGCTTCTTCACACAGTATGTAAATGGCACACCTGGTCCAACCAATCTCTTGGCGCCCTATGTAAATCAGACACCACCTCCTCAAGCTCATCTATAAAACCCCATGCATTTCACCACAAAACCAGAAGACCCACTAGGGAGCCCATCTCTCTCTGCAGGAGAGAGAGCTTTTCTCTCTCTTTCACCTATTAAACCTCCGCTCTTAACCTCACTCCTTTTGTGTCCATGTCCTTGATTTCCTTGGCATGAGGCAATGAACCTCAGGTATTACCCCAGATGAACAATGCCACTTCAACAAGACCTTGAGAAAGACAAGAATCATCTTGTGAGGTTTTGAAGATCTCCAGGCAAGGGAAGGCTGCTGTCTCCTAGCAAAGGAGAAATTCTGCCTCTGCCATCCCAGAGTTACTGGAGAATCTACAAGCTCCAAGATTCTCAGGCTTGTCCAGCCAAACATCCTAATGCCAGAACTCAGAGTCCTACTCGTCTCCTGTCAAGGCCCTGCCTTTGGGATAGGAAGCTTCCTGGGGTCATGCTTTCTGTTTCCCTTATAGCTTTGCTATCCTTAAAACTGATTCCTGAGCCTGAATTTCAGCACTATCTGCTCTGCAGCTGTGGGAGATGAATCTCTTTCAAGACTGCCTTGCCGACTTTCACAGTGTGTCTGAGTTGACTATTAGCTGAACTGAGCCTGCATTTTCTATTTTCGGGACTTCTGTATCAGTCAGGGTTTGATCAGAAAAATAGAACCACTAGAAATAATCTAGAATATGGGATTTATTACAGGAATTCAACCTTATATAATTTGGAGAGCTGGCTATCCAGTCTATGTACAGTTGTTGCTTCTGCATCCAGTGCTACAAATAAATTCAGCTAGGTAGAAAGGCTGGTCCAGGAGTCAGAGAAGGTGAAGAAGGAGGAGGTTTCTTCATACCTACGAGGTGAGCAAGCAGATCAGCAACCAAGTTCATGAGCTGCAATAGCACCTGGTACCCTGCTCACCCTCTGAGTGTAAAACAACTATGGCTGCTTCCCAAAGCCTGCACAAGATCACGTGGCCAAGACTATGCAGAAAAGGGAATTTTGGGAAGTGTAGTTCCAGCTTAGCTAAGGCGACACAGAACAAATCCACCACAGCTCCTAAGGCAATTAACAAAAGTCCACCAACCCTACAATCCTTGTCATTATCATTGTCCCCATATTATCCAAATGTCATAGCTATTGCAAAGCCAATGCTTCACCCTCCATCTGCCTCTTGGGCCACTGTCTTCCCAGGGAGAGTCTAGCAACTGGAGTGCTACAGAAGATCAGGGGTTATCCACCCAACTTACCACCAGGAGTGGGGTCCTTACTGCCCTCTGACCAGAGAGTGAGCCGAGTTCCAGAATCCATCCTGAAATTCTGCTTTCTAGACCATTTTGTTCTGGATTTCCCCCTGGAAAGCAGAACCTGAGACAAGGGCTCTGTGCAAGCAGCTAATTTGGGAGGCAATTGCAGGGCTAGGAGGAGGGGGACAGGAAAGAGGCGAAGCTGATGTGAGACTGAGTCTTTGAGCTCCTCACTGCCGTGGGAAACTGGGGCTTGATTCTTCCAGGATCTGTGAGAAGCCATATAAAATGCACCTCAGAATCACCCACAGGAAAGATGGATAAAAGGATTATTCATGGATAAAGAGAATATTTATCCACTTTCTCCCCTTCCGCATTAGACAAAGTTTGCACCCTAGGATGTTAACTATCTCTTTCTCTCTTTCAAGAGGCAGGTGTATGAGTGACAGGAGGCTTTTTTTTTTTTTTTTTTTGAGACAGAGTCCAGGCTGAAATGCAGTGGCACGATCTCAGCTCACTGCAACCTCCACCTCCCAGGTTAAAGTGATCCTCCCAACTCAGCCTCCTGAGTAGCTGGAACTACAGAGGCATGCCACCACACCAGGCTGATTTTTGTATTTTGTATTTTTAGTAGAAACAGGGTTTCACCATGTTGGCCAGGCTGGTCTCGAACTTCTGATCTCAAGTGGTCTGCCCTCCTTGGCCTCCCAAAGTGCTGGGATTGCAGGTGTGAGCCACCGCACCTTGCCTGACAGGAGGCTTCTGGAGGCACCCCAATGGCGTGACCCCAGAGAAGGCCAGGATGGAAAGTGAAAGCTAGGCAGGACAGCTGAGCCGGGGGCTATCAGGTTTCACCTGCACTGAGCTGGTTGCTGCAGCAACGGCCAAAGTGAAAAGTGAGATCAGAGGATGTGAAATGGGATGCAAGTGCTATTCAAAGCAAGGAGGAAGAGGCAAAGAAGAAAAGGAAAAGTAGGCCAGACGCAGTGGCTCACGCCTGTAATCCCAGCACTTTGGGAGCCTGAGGTGGGAGGATCACTTGAGGTCAGGAGTTCAAGACCAGCCTGGCCAACATAGTGAAACAGTGCCTGGTACATGCCTGTAATCCCAGCTACTTGGGAGGCTGAGGCAGGAGAATCACTTGAACCAGGAGGCAGAGGTTGCAGTGAGCTGAGATCACGCCACTGCACTACAGCCTGGGTGACAAAGCGAGACTCCTTCTCAAAAAAAAAAAAAAGGAAGAGTGTCAGGAGGACATAATACTTCTGAAAGCTCTGGTCCCTCTGATAATGCTTGACTAAGGAGAAATTGAAGATGCGGGAAGTAGAGGGTTAATTTAGCAAGCAGTCACCATGGACACTCAGGACATCCCAGCTGCTGGTGGATGATGTCTGGGTAGCAGAAGATCAGCACTGGTGTACATACACCTGTCCAAAGGGTATTCCAGGATAGCTGTCGCCCCTGCTCTCCTAAATTATAACAAACTCGTCTGTAGCCAAACTCCATTTGAAAATGGGCCACAGGCCAGGCGCAGTGGCTCACACTTGTAATCTCAATACTTTGAGAGGCCAAGGCAGGAGGATCACTTGAGGCCAGGAGTTTGAGACCGGCCTGGGCAACATAGCAAGACCGTATCTCTACCAAAATCAATTTAAACTTAGACAGGCTTGGTGGCATGCACCTGTAGTCTTAGCTACTCGAGGGGCTGAGACAGGAGGATTGCTTGAGCCCAGGATGTCGAGGTTGCAGTGGGTTATAATCACTGCACTGCACTCCAGCCTGGGTGACAGAGCAAGGCTCTGTCTCAAAAAACAATGAATGAAGAAGAAGAAGAAAGGAAGAGGAGAGAAGAGAAGGGAAGGGAAGGGAAGGCAAGGGAAGATGGCCCACATAAATAAAGGGTCATAGTAATAATGGCAAACACAAGATGTGTAAGTGACCTAGTCTTAGACATTTTATTGACTAAGGACCAAGAGAGAGGAACAGAGATGAGACTACTTCTACGCCTTTTACGAAGCAAGGCGCAGGGGCTGGTTCTGCAGAATGGTTCAGAAGAATGAAGGTCTAAATGCCCTCCCGGTGAATCATGCCAAGAGCACTTCATCACAGCTTAAACTCTTCCTTGACAGGTTCCCATTTTCTATGTTGTCTCTAAAGAACAGCTAGACTGAAAAGGAGGGAGCTGAGAATAGGTTGATTTGAGAACGCTGAACAGTCACAGCCCACCCGTAGAAAGAGACTCCCTTTTTTCCTGCATCCACTTTAGAAATGCTTCCGGAGAGGGCAACAGCTCCTATAAGATGTGTAATCCTTATCAATACAGCAAAGAGGCTATCAAAGCAGGAAAGATCACATGGCTGTTAAGATAAAGGTCTGGCTGTTCCAGGGTGGGCTTATCAAGGTTTAGCAGTAAGCGAGTTTTGTTGCTTCAACTGCATTTAAAAAGTTCATTGATTTGCAGCTAATACCAAGTTGTCATAGTTTCATGAGTAACAGCTTGTGGTTTGCAGAATCAAAGCCTTTTCCTGAATCAATAATAGCAGATTCACTGAGGTGCCTGGGCCTTTGCAGAGAGGGGAAAAGCTGAGAAAGACGGCTGGGTAGAGAGAGGGAGTAAATTTGGTCAGACCATAAGTGGCCTATAAAAGAGGAAAAATGGCACTTTCCCTCTCAAAGCCCTCAAAAGCAACAGAAATTGAACCTTTTAAAAATTCAAAGTGACTTGTAAAGAGGCCATTGTTTGCAAAAATACAGAGATGAAATGTGTACATACATGCATGTAGTAAATTGACTCTAAGGGGGAAAAATTGAAGATTTTAAAAAAATTCATCAACTGGTTATCTTTATCCCGACAGCCTTTAACATCCTGAGCTTGGGCCAGGCACGGTGGCTCATGCCTGTAATCCCAGCACTTTGGGAGGCCAAAGTGGGAGGATCACCTGAAGTCAGGAGTTCGAGACCAGCCTGGCTAACATGGTAAAAGCCCATCTCTACTAAAAATACAAAATTAGCTGAGCATGGTGGCGCATGCCTGTAATCCCAGCTACTCAGGAGGCTGAGGCAGGAGAATCACCTGAACCTGGGAAGCAGAGATTGCAGTGAGCCGAGATTGTGCCACTGCACTCCAGCCTGGGCATCAAGAGCAAAACTCAGTCTCAAAAAAAAAAAAAAAAAAAAACATCCTGAGCTCGGCACAACTGAGCATTTTGCTAGACCCAGCTGCTAGGGAAACATTGACCTCTACTTGTCTTTTTCTGCTGTTGGAAAATACACACACACAGACCCATTACATTAGCCTTGACCCAATTAAGAAGGCAAATCTCTAATAATATCTAAGTGTTGTGTTGGCCTTTGAAAGCATTTTCTCAGCCTACTCCATTTGAGCTTCGTAAATGACCATATTGGGCTGAGAGAGCTGTTATTTTTATCCACTTTTGAATGGGGAGAAAATTGAGTCTTGGAACAGCCTGCCCAATTCTCCTGGGGTGCCCAGCATAGACATCACGAATTGATCAAGGCATTCTTCCCAAGAAGTTCAGACTAAGTCTCAGAATCCTGTCCTCAGCCAACCTCCAGGCAGCCACTATCAATTAATAGAAGAAAATAAAGTCGATTTGCCATCCTGGACCCACGTGATCTGCCCAAGGTCACAGAACTACTTAATGGACTAAAACCAAGTCATACATCTCTTGTTTCAGTGCTTTTTATATGAAGTAGAATGTTTTTGCCCCGGTGAGGGGAGCTCACCACCTTTGCCACAACTAAAAGCTACAACCACCTGGGGGTTTTGCTTCTCTTCACACAACTGCTCAACCCTGTTCACACTCACTACTTAGGAAGCTTAAGAAGTAACAGAGAGATCCTAGAAATTTTAAATTACATTTGTGATCCACATTGTATTTCCATTAGACAGCATTGCCCTAGATGGTAGGTAGCCATCAGAATCTTTATTTTTTTTTACTTTATTATTTATTTATTTATTTATTGAGATGGAGTCTCGCTCTGTTGCCCAGGCTAGAGTGCAGTGGTGTGATCTTGGCTCACCACAACCTCTGACTCCCAGGTTCAAGTGATTCTCCTGCCTCAGCCTCCCGAGTAGCTGGGATTACAGGCACATGCCACCACACCCAGCTAATTGTTGTATTTTTAGTAGAGATGGGTTTTCCCCATGTTGTCCAGGCTGGTCTTGAACTCCTGACCTCAGGTGATCCACCTGCCTTGACCTCCCAAAGTGCTGGGATTACAGGCGTGAGCCACCATGCCCAGCCTAGAATCTTTACGTTAAAGAACTGTATTCCTAAGTTGGGCACAGTGGTTCATGCCTGTAATCCCAGCACTTCAGGAGGCCAAGGCAGGAAGACGGCTTGAGCCAAGGAGTTCGTGACCAGCCTGGGCAACATAGCAAGACCCCATCTCTAGAAAAAATAAAAAGATTAGCCCAGTGTAGTGGCATACATCTGTAGTCCCTACTACTCGTGAGGTTGAGACAGGTGGATTGCTTGAGCCCCGGAGATCAAGGCTGCAATAAGCCATGATCACACCACTGCTCCAGGGTGACAGAGAAAGACCCTGTCTCAAAAACAAAAAAGAGCTGTATTCTTTAATTTACACATTTATTGAGCCCAAATTAAATAATATACTTTTTTTTTAACTAGACAAATGCAGTAGTGAGAAGTGGGAAAAGAACAGAACCAGCAGTTCCATCAGTAACTGCTTGTGAACAATCAATTGAGATAACTCACTCCATCTGGACCAGCCCAATATAACTTCAAAGAGTGACAAATGCCAAGAAAAAGATGATGACGCAGGGTAAGGGGGACACAGAACGACAATGGGTGTGGTTGGAATGAGTTATTTATTTATTATTTATTTTTATAAGAGACAAGGTCTTGCTCTGTCGCCCAGGCTGGAGTGCAGTGGGGCAATCATAGCTCACTGCAGCCTCAAACTCCTGGGCTCAAGGGGTCCTCCCACCTAGGATCATTTGAACCCTAGGGTGAGCAATTTTAGAGGAAGTGATCAGGGGAGGCCTCTCAAAGGAGCTGACAGTGGAGCAGATACTTGAATGAAGTGAGGGGCCTGCCACCTGAAGATCTAGAGAAAGAATATTCCAAGGGACCATGGAGGGAGGAACACGCTACGCATGATCGAGAAATAACATGGGGGTGCCGGGCGCAGTGGCTCACGCCTGTAATCCCAACACTTTGGGAGGCCAAGGCAGGCAGATCACTTGAAGTCAGGAGTTCGAGACCAGCCTGGCCAACATATCTACTAAAAATACAAAAATTAGCTGGGCGTGGTGGCAGGTGCCTGCAGTCCCAGTTCCTCAGGAGGCTAAGGTAGGAGAATCGCTTGAACCTGAGAGGCAGAGGTTGTAATGAGCTGAGATCGTGCCATTGCACTCCAGCCTGGGCAACAGAGTGAGACTGTCTCAAAAAAAAAAAAAAAAAAGAGAGAGAAGTGGCCGGGCATGGTGGCTCAAGCCTGTAATCCCAGCACTTTGGGAGGCTGAGATGGGAGGATCACCTGAGATCAGGAGTTCAAGACCAGCCTGGCCAATATGGTGAAACCCCATCTCTACTAAAAACACAAAAATTAGCCAGGTATGGTGGCCTGTGCCTGTAATCCCAGCTACTCGGGAGGCTGGGGCAGGAGAATCACTTGAACCCTGAAGGTGGAGTTTGCAGTGAGCCAAGATCGCACCATTGCACTCCAGCCTGGGCAACAGAGCAAGATGCCATCTCAAAAAATAAAGAGAAGTAACATGGGGGGATGTGGTAGGAGATATGAGTCCAGCAGGAGTCAGCTCTCCTAGGGCTTCATAGGCCATGATGAGGAGCTTCCATTTTATTCTAGTTGGGATGGGAAGCCACTATACCTTTTTTTTTTTTTTTTTTTTTGAGACAGTGTTTTCTCGCCCGTCACCCAAGCTGGAGTGCAGTGGTACAATCACTCCTCACTGTAGCCTTGACTTCCTGGCCTCAAGTGATCCTCATCCTCCCAAGTAGCTGGTTTTACAGACATGACCCACCACACCCAGCAGACTATACAATTTAAAGCAGGCAAGAAATGCAGCTGACTCAGGTTTAAAAGACTATATGACCAGGTCAGGCATGGTGGCTCATGCTTGGAATCCCAGCACTGTAGGAGGCTAAGACAGGAGGATTCCTTGAGCCCAGGAGTTCTAGACTGCAGTGAGCCATGATCACACTGCTGTATTCTAGCCTGGGAGACAGAGACCCTGTCTCAAAAAAAAAAAAAAAAAATTAAATGACCAGGTGTGATATTTATTTATTTATTTATTTATTTTTCACTTTTATTTTATTTTGAGACAGAGTCTCACTCTATCACCCAGGTTGGAGAGCAGTGGCGCAATCTTGGCTCACTGCAACCTCTGTCTCCTGGGTTCAAGCGATTCTTCTGCCTCAGCCTCCCAAGTAGCTAGGAGGTGCCCACCTTCCCACTCGGCTAATTTTTGTGTTTTTAGTAGAGACGCAGTTTCACCATATTGGCCAGGCTGATCTTGAACTCTTGACCTCAAGTGATCCACCTGCCTTGGCCTCCCAAAGTGCTAGGATTACAGGTGTGAGCCACCACGCCCAGCCCAGATGTGTATTTTTAAAGATCACTTGCATAGCAGTGTACGTGTAAGCGAAGTATTAATACTTAGTGGATGAGGAAGAGAATAATGACGAGAGAACAAGCTGGGGTCACTGGCTGCAATACTCCAGTTGAAGTTATCCAAGAGGAAGTTAGAAATACAAGTCTAATCGTCAGAAGAGAGTAGTCCCTAGACATGGAATGATTTGGGGGTCAGTAGCTGTGTCAGTCTGGGTCCTTCTAGAAGCAGACATAAAGACAGGATTAGACATACAAGACTGGTTGGGCGCAGTGGCTTTTGCTAAAATGCCAGCACTTTGGGAGGCCGAGGAGGGAGGATTGCTTGAGCCCAGGAGTTTAAGACCAGCCTGGGCAACACAGAGAAACCCTGTCTCTACCAAAAAATTTTAAAAAATTAGCCAGGCTTGGTGGCATGCACCTGTAGTCCCAGCTACTCGGGAGGCTGAGGTGGGTCACTGGAGGTCAAGGCTGCAGTGAGCTATCATTGTACCAATGCACTCCAGAGCCTGGGCAACAGATCAAGACCCTGTGTCTAAAATATATATATATATGTACATATATATATGTACATATATATGGGGATATGCTTGAGAAGGATAAAAAGGAGGGAGGCAGAAAAGGCAGAGAGAGCTTTCAGACCACCAGGCAGGTCTGGCCCCTGTGAAGGACAAGGGGAAGGAAGATTGGATGGAAGACTCCTAGACTGCAGCACAGCTCCAAGAAAGGCTTGGCTAGGACTTTGGGGAGGCCTCATGCCAAAATTGCCATAAGAATGGCTCTGCCATGGTAAATGCCATGATTGCTTAGTCATTTACTGCGAATAGCCTTAGGGAAGCGTGGCCGCAGCAAGGATGCCAAGTGGATCCAGAAACACAGCAGCTGAGACCATCAGTCAATTACACCCCTGACAGTGGTCCTAAGCAGCTGGTTCTCATATCCACCACGGCAGCCAAGGATGTCAATGGAACCCATCCCCTCCTGCCTTCTTGGGGACTTGTCTTCTAGATCTTCAACCTATCCATCCATGAACCATCATGCTTTAGACAGTTGTATCCTTAGAAGACCTTCTCCTGACCTCAAATCCTCCTCTTATGTCTTCTCTTAAATTAAAATTTTAATTTCATTTCTTAAAAATTAAAAATTTAATTTTTAGAAAGATTTTTTTGATGACCACACCTGGTCTTCTTTGTGATTTTTTAAAAATGCTCTGTCACCCAGGCTGGAGTGCAGTGGCAGGATCATACATAGCTCCCTGCAGCCTCGAACTCCTAGGCTCAAGCCATCCTCCCACCTCAGCCTCCTGAGTAGCTGGGACTACAGGTGTGCACCACCACACCTAGCCAATTTTTTATTTTATTTTGTGGAAATGAGGTTTTGTTATGTTGCCCAGGCTGGTCTTGAACTCTTGATCTCAAGAGATCCTCCTGCCTCAGCCTCCCAAAGTGCTGGGATTAAAGGTGTCAGTGACCACACCTGGTCTTCTTTGTGATTTTTTAAAAATTAATCTACTTTTAAAGCAAGGTTAATAATCAGCACCTTGTTCTAGCTATGTCTCTTCTTCTGTGAAACAATGGGAGGCCTCACCTTCAATGAGTGAAGAGTCCTGGGGAGGAACCACATTGCTGAGAATTAAAATGCTTGGGCTAACACATCCCCCTGTATGTTTCAGAGGCACAACATGATGTTACATGCTTAAAACTTGTGATCCTCTCCATATACAAATCTGTACCATCTCCAATCTCCTCCAACCAGGAAAAAGGCTTCTCTATGCATTCCATTGCTCAAGTCATGAATCTGGGACCTAGTCTACCAACTCCTCTTCCCTCACCCTCTCACCCACCACCTCCAATGGAGAACCAGATTTTGCCCATTCCACCGTCCCAATTTTCTTTCACCTCTGTGCACTTGGCTCCATCCCCATCCTCCTGCCCAGCTCCTAGCCATCAATGTCATTCTCTGAATTGCTGCAAGAACCTTCAGCCTGGTCTCTCTGCTTCCATTCTTGTTTCTTTCCAATTCTTTCTCCACACAGTCAGCCAGATCTGACAAAACCCCTCAGGTCAGGTGAACACCCTACTTTGTATCTTTCCAATAGTTTTCCATTGCACTTGCAATAAAATACAGAATGCTTAATGTAGCCTACAAGGCCACATGTGTTCTGTCTGCTGCCTCCTCTGGGCTGTCAGCAACTTTACTCCTCTGGCTCTGACGCCGGCCTTCCCATGGTCTCTAAAGGTTTGCCAATCAAAAAAGTCACAAAAATCTATATATTTAGAAAGAAATGCTTGCTTGCTGTTTTTTTGTGTTTTTTTTTTGTTTTTGTTTTTGTTTTTTTTTTTTTTTTTTGAGAGTTTCGCTCTTGTTGCCCAGGCTGGAGTGCAATGGCGAGATCTCAGCTCACTGCAACCCCTGCCTCTCGGGTTCAAGCGATTCTCCTGCCTCAGCCTCCCAATTAGCTGGGATTACAGGCGCCTGCCACCACTCCCATATAATTTTTTTGTATTTTTAGTAGAGATGGGGTTTCACCATGTTGGCCAGGCTGGTCTCGAACTCCTGACCTCAGGTGATCCACCCGACTCGGCCTCCTAAAGTGCTGGGATTACAGGTGTGAGCCACCATGCCTGGCCAGAAATGCTTTATTTCTAAAAGGAGATATCACAACCTGCAGGCAGGAAATGGAGCCTCAAAGGAGGAAAGATGAGACAGTAATTTATGCTGAATGGGTTGGCTAAGTATGCATATTCAACAGGTTATAGGAGCAGCTATGCATATTCATGGCGGCACACGTGCACAGTAAGTTAACATGTATGTTACGTACATCTCATGTTCTCTTTGGGATGGAGACTTAACATTTAAAGGTATTATAGCTGGGCACAGTTGCCCACGCCTGTAATTCCAGCATTTTGGGAGGCTGAGGCAGGCAGATCATTTGAGCCCAGGAGTTCAAGACCAGCCTAGGCAACATGGTGAAACCCCATCTCTAACAAAAATACAAAAATTAACTGGGCATGGTTGCATGTGTCTGTGGTCCTAGCTACTCAGGAGGCTGAGGTGGGATGGATTGCTTGAGCCCAGAAGGTGGAAGTTGCAGTGAGCCAAGATTGCACCACTACACTCCAACCTGGGCGACAGAGTGAGACCCTGTCTCAAAAAATAATAATAATAGGGCCGGACATGGTGGCTTAGGGCTGTAAGCCCACACTTTGGGAGGTCAAGTTGGGAAGACCACTTGAGGTCAGGAGTTCAAGACCAGCCTGGTCAACATGGCAAAACCTGGTCTCTACTAAAAATACAAAAATTAGCCTGCCGCAGTGGTGTGTGCTTGTAATCCCAGCTACTTGGGAGGCTGAGGCAGGAGAATCACTTGAACCCAGGAGGCAGATGTTGCAGTGAACAGAGATCATGCCACTGCATTCCAGACTGGGCAACAGAGTGAGACTCCATCTCAAAAAAATATATAGTCCTGGGTGTGGTGGTTCACACCTGTAATCCCAGCACTTTAGGAAGCTGAGGAGGGCCAAGGTCAGGAGATTGAGACCATCCTGGCTAACACAGTGAAACCCCGTCTTTACTAAAAAAATACAAAAAATTAGCCAGGCGTGGTGGCAGGTGCCTATAGTCCCAGCTACTTGGGAGGCTGAGGCAGGAGAATGGTGTTAACCCAGGAGGCGGAGCTTGCAGTGAGCAGAGATGCGCCACTGCACTCCAGCCTGGGCGACAGAACGAGACTCCGTCTCATATATATATATATATATTTTATATATGTAATAATAATAATAAAGGTATTACAATCAGGCCCTATAGATCAAAAGGTGAGGCAGAGGACACAAAGGCACTTAGTATACAGCCTCCATAAACTCACCGGAACCACTCCCTGGCAGGTGGTCTGCTATCAGGAAAGAATACTGGTCAGCTGTGGTGTAAATCAACAGTGGAGCAAGTTTTGTAAAAGGGCTGGTTGCTGTTGAACTCTTAGGAAAGAAAGCCTAATGGCGTTAGCAAACAAAGAAGGATCACAAGGCTTGTCTGAATTCCTATCCCGGCGTGTCTGGAAATTCAGTTTTTAAGTTTTCTCTGGAGTCCCCCTTGGTCAAGAGGGAGTCTATTCAGTTGGTTGGGGTCTTAGGGTTTTTTGGTTTTGTTTTTAGATGGAGTCTTGCTCTGTTGCCCAGGCTGGAGTGTAGTGGTGCAATCTTGGCTCACTGCAACCTCCACCTCCTGGGTTCAAGCAATTTTCCTGCCTCAGCCTCCGGAGTAGCTGGGATTACAGGCGCACGCCACCATGCCTGGCTAATTTTTGTATTTTTAGCAGAGACGGGGTTTTGTCATGTTGGCCAGGCTGGTCTTGAACTCCTGACCTCAGGTGATCCGCCCTCCTCGGCCTCCCAAAGTGCTGGGATTACAGGCTTGAGCCACCAGCCTGGTCTTTATTTTTATTTCTTAGTTCCAAGTGCTTTCCTCCCTCAAGCTTTCACATTATGCTGACTCTTTATTTCCCCAACACTGATCCCTTCCCTTCTACTCAATTTTCCTTCTCAGATTCCTTCCTCAAAGGGGCTTTTCCTAAACTTTTTCATCCAAATGAAGCCCCAAGCTACTCTCATGGCACCTGTTTATTTTCCTTCATAGCAATGATTACTGTGTGTAATTACAGTCAATTGTGAGATGTACCTGTTAAATGCTTGCCCCCTCACTAGACTGCAGGGACAGAGACCATGATTATTTTGCTCATCACCTAGCACAGTCCCTAGTACATGGTAGGGACTTGGTGTTTGCTGAATGAATAAGTGAATGACCAGCCAGGTGCAGTGGCTCATGCCTGTAATCCCAGCACTTGAGGAGGCCGAGGAGGGCGGATCATCTGAGGTCAGGAGTTCAAGACCAGCCTGGCCAACATGGCAAAACCCTGACTCTACTAAAAATACAAAAATTAACCAGATATGGTGGTGCGCACCTGTAGTCCCAGCTACTCGGGAGGCTGAGGCAGAAGAATCACTTGAACCTGGGAGATGGAGGCTGCAGTAGCCGAGATTGCGCCACTGCACTCCAGCCTAGGCAACAGAGCGAGACTCCCTATCATAAATAAATACATAAATAAATAAGTGAATGACCTAGTATAGGTAGAATAATAAAAGAAGAAGAAAAAAGATAAGCTTTAGGAAAAAAATAACATGTAAACAGTGAGCAAAGGGCTGGCTGCAGTGGCTCACACCTATAATCCCAGCACTTTGAGAGGCCAAGGCAGGAGGATCCCTTCAGCCCAGGAGTTCAAGATCAGACTGGACAACATGGGAAGACCCTGGGTCCACAAAAATATTTTAAAGTTAGCCAGATGTGGTGGCATGTGCCTGCAGTCGCAGCTACTTAGGAAGCTGAGGTGAGAGGAGGGCTTGAGCCCAGGAGTTCAAGGCTGCAGTGAGCCATGATCATGCCACTGCACTCCAGCCTGGGTGACAAAAGCAAGACCTGACTTTTTCTTTTCTTTTTTTTTTTTTTTGAGACAGAGTTTTGCTCTTGTTGCCCAGGCTGGAGTGCAATGGCGTGATCTTGGCTCAGTGTAACCTCCACCTCCCAGGTTCAAGCAATTCTGCTGCCTCAGCCTCCCAAGTAGCTGGGATTACAGGCATGCACCACCACATCTGGCTAATTTTGTATTTTTAGTAGAGATGGGGTTTCTCCCTGTTGGTCAGGCTCGAACTCCTGACCTGAAGTGATCCACTCACCTTGGCCTCCCAAAGTCCTGGGATTACACAAGCATGAGCCACTGTGCCCAGTGGCTCTTTTTTTAAAAAAAAAGAAAAGAGAAAAAAAGAAAAAAAAAAAACTGGAAACAACCCAAATGTCCATCAAAATGAACAAACTGTCATACATTCACACAGTATGGAATACAATATAAGAATGAAGATGAATGAATTAGGCCCCAGTCAATGAGTTGGACGCATCTCACAAATTTACCGTTGTGCGAAAGTAGTCAGACATAGGAGAGTATAGACGGTGTGATTTCAATTGCCTAAAGTTCAAAACCAGGCAAAACTAACATATAATGTTAGGACTCAGGATAGTGGTGTGTAGTGACTGAAATGGCACATACACGGGGCTTTGGGGAACTGGTATATTCTGTTTCTCAATCTGAGATGTGATTACCAGATGAGTTTGTGAATATTCATTGAGCTGCATACTCATGATTTGTGCACTGTGTGCTTGTTATATTTCAATAAAAGTTTACTAAAAAAGACAACTTGGTAGCCTTCTATTTAAATTGCTTAGCAGTGCCTAAAATAGATTATCACTGAATCTTTTCAGGAAATGGAAGTGTTGGTGCGTATGCCTCTGAGTGTGTATGCAAGTGTGGGTGTTGAACATTGAATATTCTTCAGGAATGCAGTCAGGTGAAAGGAAACATGAAATTTATTATGCCCTCTTAAATAACGGCTTATGTGCCGTAGTGTTTCCATAAAAGATTCTCTATTTGATGAGCATCAATCTACTTGTATTGTTAGAAGGATCTTATGTAACCCTGGCCCTATACCACATTCATCAAATTCCATTTTTATGCCTCCCTTGTGTTCAGCACATCATTTAATCACTGAGCATTTTCTCTGCACCAGTGCCTGTGAGGGGTGGTGGGAATTCAGAGAAAACTCTATACATGTCCCCTTCTTATCTCCGTTCTTAGGGCCTGAGGAATTCAACGGGGATACTTGCCAAGAGCATCTAAGCCAGAGGAACAGGATCTGGGGCAAGACTGTGTGAGGTTTTCACCTAGAATAGCTGGAAATTGTATAATCAAAGGGGCAAGGAAAGCCAGGGCCCAGCGTGAGAGAGAATTGGTACATGGAGTCAGGGATGGCAGGCTAGCTGAGCTCAGGAAACAGACGTTAAAGACATCAGGCGCAGGTCAGGAAATAGACACAAAGATGGCCTCAGAGAACAGTGGAGAACTCAGGGCAGTGACGGGCGGGGTCCTCACTGGGAGCATTGATAAAGGTTGCATTGTCTCTAGAAATTCAAAAACAATAAGAAACTGACCAAAAGTCTGTCTGCTTTTTGTTATCACCATGCACCAGCAATCCTAAAAAAATGTTAGTAGTAAAGTATTTCTGCCTAAGAGTACTCGGCACAGTAATGTTTGTAACAGTGAGAAACCAAAGAGTGGGTACTGGATCGCGGTGTATTCAGACCAGGGAACACCATGCATCAGTGTGAACAGAGGAACCATGATTCCACACGTCAACCAGGACAACCCCAAACCATGATGTTGCTACTTGCAGAAGTCTACATAGTCTAATGTCATTCACATGAAATTTTAAAACATATAAACTGAGGGTTGTGTGTGGCTCCACATTGTAAAAGTACACAAACGTGGCTGGGCACAGTGGCTCACGCCTGTAATCCCAGCACTTTGGGAGGCTGAGGCAGGTGGATCACCTGAGGTCCGGAGTTCCAGACCAGCTTGCCCAACATGGCAAAACTCCGTCTCTACCAAAAAAGATTAAAAAATTAGCCGGACGTGGTGGTGCACATCTGTAATCCCAGCTACTCAGGAGGCTGAGGCTCAAGAATCACTTGAACCCGGGAGGTGGAGGCCGCAGTGAGCCGAGATGGCACCACTGCACTCCAGCCTGAGTAACAGAGTGAGACTCTGTCTCAAAAAAAAAAGAAAAAAGAGGAAAGTACACAAACATTTATACATATGACAGACACTGGGCAGAGTGGTGATCCCTAAGGGATGGGGAGGAAGAACTGCATTCAAAAAGGGCACACAGGACATTATTAGTAACTGGAGGTGGGGAGTATTTTTTATTTATTTTATAGAGACAGGGTCTTGCTATGTTGGCCAGGCTGATCTTGAACTTCTGGGCTCTAGTGATCCTCCTGCTTCGACCTCCCAAAGTGCTGGGATTACAAGCATGAGCCACCACACCCAGCCCATTGTGAGTATTTGTTGCTGCTGCTGTTTTTGTTTGTTTGTCTGTTTGTTTGTTTGAGACGTAGTCTCACTCTGTCGCCCAGGCTGGAGTACAGTGGCACAATCTGGGCTCAGTGCAACCTCCACCTTCCGGATTCAAGCAATTCTCCTGCCTCAGCTTCCCGAGTAGCTTGGATTACAGGCACGTGCCACCATGCCCGGCTAATTTTTGTATTTTTAGTAGAGATGGGGTTTCAACATGTTGATCAGGCTTGTCTCAAACTCCTGACCTCAGGTGATCTGCCCACCTCAGCCTCTCAAAGTGCTGCGATTACAGGTGTGAGCCACCGCGCCTGGCCATTGCTGCTGTTGTTTTAAGCCCAGGGTTGGAAACCATGTATTCATTATATTAACTATCTGTTCTTTTTCTACATGTTAGAAATATTTCATAATACAAACAACATTTTGACCCAACAAAAAGACCCAAATGCTCCTAACTGCCAGGACCTATAAACCAGTGCAGGTGAATGATTCAGAAAAAAAAAAAAGTTGTGATGTATATGAAGGTGTCGAGAGCCTATTTCTATTGGTGGCATGAGACGGGCCTGGGGCCAGGTGAAAAAAAAATCTGACCTTCTGGGAAAAGGCTCTTGCAGTACGCCTGAAAACAAGATGACATGTCTTTAATGCCAATATAGGGTTGAAAGGTTAGCATCCATATAATAACCGGCCGCCAAACACCTTGCACAGACCTTGTTACATATAAGCAGGCAGAGATGACTCAACTCTCTAAATCTGGGAAACAGCCTGCCCGTTATAACCAGGCGCCGTGACATTTTGGAATATGTATTGGCAAGGTTCTCCATGTTAAATAGCTTTACAAGTTGTTATTAGAATCACGTTAGCTCGGTGCTACAGTGAATGTCCCACGTCCACAGGCGATTCTCTCCAAGAAACCTATTGATTTGCTTTTCTTCTCTTTTCCTTCTGAATAGCAACTGACAGACAAAGGGGAGCTGGCCAGGGCCTTTGATGGTAATGCCAGTTGAACAATAGCCCTGCTTGTGGCAAGCACCCTCTTTGTTCAGCCAGGAGAATGCTGAGCCGGTTGCTCATTGGATCCAGTGTATGTGGGTGGCCAGAGCAAGGTGCATTTGGCAGCCAGATGTAGATTCTGGGTGGTATGAGCTGACTGTCCAGATAGCTAAAGCTTGGGACTTGGCTGGAACTCCCCTGGCTGGTGCAATCAGAGAGACCAGATGGACTCGTCTTCTCGTCCTTTGAAGATGGTGTCCTTTATTTAGCTAAAGGGAAGAGGCAGCCAACTATCTGACCTGGAAAGCATTCTCAGGCAGCCTGGTCCTTTTCGTACACATCTAAGAAAAAGGGAAAGTGCACTGTTGAAAGGAAATTTAGGGAGAGCCTTTGCAAGCCACCAAGGACGTTGCAAAATTACACTTATAAATGGGCATCAGAGGTTCTATTAACCAGTGGGAGCTTCCCCTTTATTTTCCTGGGGCAGTTCCGCTTAGAAGGCAGATGACACTGCAGGGAATTTGTCACTATTCTAGGGGCTTCTGTGCTGTTGCTGTCAATGCTACTACGGCTACTGCTGCCACCAAAGAAGCTAGAAAATGCCTGGAATTCAAATAACAGACATCCAGAAGCTGGAAATGCCCCATCATTTTTTTTTTTTTAAGAGACAGGATCTCTGCCTGTCACTCAGGCTGGAGTGCAGTGGCACCATTATAGATCACTGCAGCCTCTATAAACTCCTAGGCTCAAGCCATCCTCCCATCTCAGCCTCCTGAGTAGCTGGGACAACAGGTATGCACCACCATGCCCAGCTGATTTTTTTTAAGAGATGGGGTCTTACTATGTTGCCCAGGCTGGTCTCAAACTCCTGGCCTCAAGTGATTCTCCTGCCTTGACCTCCCAAAGTGCTGGGATTACAGGCATGAGTTACCACATACAGTCAATAGTGTTCTTTAAAGCATAAAAGTTTTGGCTGGGTGCAGTGACTCATGCCTATAATCCCAGCATTTTGGGATGCCAAGGCAGGAGGATGACTTGATGCCAGGAGTTCAAGAAGTGAGAGCCCATCTCTACAAAAAATACAAAAATTAGTCAAGCATGGTGGCACATATCTGTAGTCCTAGCAACTCAAGAGGCTGAGGCAGGAGAATCACTTGAGCTCAAGAGTTCAAGGCTGTAGTGAGCTGTGATTGCACCACTGGACTCCAGCCTGGGTGATAGCAGAACCCATCTCAAATTAAAAAAAGGAAAAAAAAATCACAAAAGTTTTGAAATTTGAAGTTCAGTTTATCTATTTTTTTTCTGTTGTTACTTGTACTTTTGGTGTCATATCTAAAAAACTTTGCACCAGCCCAATGTCATGAAAATTTACTCTTTTGTTATCTTCTACGAGTATAGTTTTAACCCTTGCATTTAAGTCTATGGTCCATTGTGAGTTAATTTTGGCACACAGTGTGAAGAAGGGGTCCAACTTCATTCATTTGCATGTAGATATCCAGTTGTCCCAACTGTTTGTTGAAAAGACTATTTTTTTCTCCTAAATTGTCTTGGCATCTTGTCAAAAATCAATTGACCATACATGTAAAGGTTTATTTCTGGACTCTAAATTTTATTCCATTGATCTATATGTCTATCCTTATGCCAGTATCAGAGTACTTTGAACACTGTAGCTATTTAGTAAGTTTTGAAAGGAAGCATGAGTCCTCCAAGTGTGTTCTTCAACATTGCTTTGGCCATTGTGGTCCCTTGCATTTTCATTTGAATTATAGGATCAGCTTGACAATTTCTACAAAAAGGTAGCCTGGATATGACAGATATGCATTGAAGCTATTGATCAATTTGGGAATGTTACCACCTTACCAATATTATCTTCAATCCAGGAACAAGGGATATCATTCTATTTACTTAGGTATTTCTATTTTTTCATGCTAATGTAACTGTAATTGCTTTCTTACTTTCATTTTTGAATTGTTCATTGCTAGTATACAGAAATTGAATCAATGTTTTGTATAGTGATCTTGTACACTACAAGTTTTCTGAAGTAATTTGTTCCAATAATGTGTTTGTGTGTGTTTCTCTCTCTCTCTCTGTGTGTGATATGTTTTAAGATTTTCTTTCTTTTTTTTTAATAGAGACCTGGTCTTACTATGTTGCCTAGGCTGAAGTACAGTGGCTATTCACAAGTGCAGTCATAGTTCACTACAGCCTCAAACTCCTGGGCTCAAGTGATCCTCCTGCCTCAACCTCCTGAGTAGCTGGGACTACAGGCATGCACCACCACACCTGGCTCTATTTCTTAAGATTTTTCCATATACAAAATGATGTTATCTAAAAATAGAGATAGTTTTACTTCTCTCTTTCCAATCTGGATGTCTTTTCTTTTTATTGCGTAGTTGCTTTGGCTAGAACCTCCAGTACAATGCTGAATACAGGTGGTGAGAGCAGACATCCTTGTCTCGTTCCCGATCTTAGGGTGAAAGCTTTCAGACTTTCCCCATTAAGTACAATATTAGCTTTGGGTGTTTTGTAGATGATCTTTATCAGGTTGCAGAATTTTCCTTCTATTCCTAGTTTTGTTGAGCTATCTGGCCTGAGATTCTCTTTGTGGGATGTTTGAAAATTAATTGTCATAGTTTTTAGACTATAGACTGATAGTTCTATCAGTCTTTTTACTTGTTATAGTTCTCTTCAGATTTTCTAATTCTTCTTGAGTCAAATTTGGCTGTTTGTGTCATTCAAGAAATTAGTTCATCTCATCTAAGTCATCAAACTAATTGGCATACAGCTGTTCATAGTATTCCCTTACAATCATTTTCATTTATCTAAGATACATGGTGACATCTACTTTTTTATTCCTGATTTTAGTAATTTGAGTCTTTTTTATTTTTTGGTCATTCTAGGTAAAGGTTTGTCATTTTTGTTGATCTTTTCAATCAATTTTTTGGGTTTGTTGATTTTTTTTTATTGTTCTATTCTCTAGCTCATTAATTTCCACTCTAATCTCTACTGTTTCCTACCTTCTGCTTCCTTTAGGTTTAGTTTGCTTTTAAATTTCTGGTGTCTTAAGATGAAAGGTGAGGTTATTGATTTAAGGTATTTCTTTTTTAATATAAATATTTACAGCTATAAGTGTATCTCTAAGTAGTGCTTTAGCCGCATCCCACAAGTTTTAGTATGTTGCGTCTTCATTTTCATTCCTTTCAAAGTATTTTCTGATATTCCCTGTGATTTTTCTTTGACTCAATTGGTTATTTAGAAGTGTGTTGTTTAATTTCCACCTATTTTTGAACTTCCAACATTTCTTTCTGTTACTAGTATTGTCTAATTTCACTCCATTTTGATTGGCAAACATACTTTGCATGATTTCAATCCTTTTAAATTTGTTCAGGCTTTTTTTTTACATCCTGGTATATGGTTTATCCTGGAGAATGTTTCATATGCACTCAAGAAAAATATGTATTTTGCTGTTGTGCGGAGTGTTCTATAGCAATCTGTTAAGTCTAGTTGGTTTATGGTGTTGTTAAAGTTTTCTGTTTCCTTGTTGAGCTTCTATCTAGTTCTTCTACTCATTATTAAAGGTGGGATATTGAAGCCTCCAGTGATAACTTTTGTTGTTTTTGTTGTTTTTGGTTTTGTTTTGCTTTTTTACTATTTGGGAGGGAGTCTCGCTCTGTTGCCCAGCAGGCTGGAGTGCAGTAGCATGATCTCGGCTCACTGCAACCTCCTCCTCCCAGGTTCAAGCAATTCTCCTGCCTCAGCCTCCCAAGTAGCTAGGAGTACAGGTGCCCACCACCATGCCCAGCTAATTTTTGTATTTTAGTAGAGATAGGGTTTCTCCATGTTGGCCAGGCTGGTCTCGAACTCCTGACCTCAGGTGATCCACCTGCCTCGGCCTCCCAAAGTGCTGGGATTACAGGTGTGAGCCACCATGCCCAGCCTCCAGTGATAATTTTTGAATTGTCTATTTCTCTCTTCAGTTCTGTTGGACTTCCGCTTCATGTATTTTAAGGCTCTGTTTTTAGATGCACATATGCGTACAATTGCTAAATTATCTTGATGGATTGACCCTTTTATAAAATGTCCCTCTTTATCTCTAATAATATTTTTTATTGAAAGTCTAATTTGTCTTATACTGATATAGCCACTCCAGTTTTCTTAACATTGCTATTCGCATATCTTTTTCAATCCTTTTACTTTCAACCTACTTGCATCTTTGAATGTAAAGTGTGTGTTCTATAGACAGTATGTAGTTGAATCTTACTTTTTATCCATCAGAACACATTCTACCTTTTGATACAATTGTTTAATCCATTCACATTTAATATTATTATTGATATAACTGGATTCACATCTGCCATTTTGCTTTTTGTTCTCTATGTGTCTTAAGTCTTTTTTGTTCTTCTGCTTCCTCCTTTACTGCTTTCTTTTTGCATTAATTTAATACTTTCTAGTGTAACACTTAAATTTCTTTTAATGATTCCCTCACTATGTATATTTTTATTATTTTCTTATGGTTGCTGTATGGCTTAACATAAATATCTTAATTTATCAGAACCTGCTTCAGATTATAGTTACTTAAACCCAGTAAAATATAAAAAACATTGTTCTGTATAGCACTATTCCTTCTTTAATTTATGCTATTATTAATATACATATTACATCTGTATATGTTACAAACCCAAATATATATATATATATATATATATATATTTTTTTTTTTTTTTTTTTTTTTTTTTTTTTTTTTTGAGACGGAGTCTCACTCTGTCACCCAGGCTGGAGTGCAGTGGTGCGATCTCAGCTCACTGCAACCTCCACTTCCCGGGTTCACACCATTCTCTTGCCTCAGCCTCCTGAGTAGCTGGGACCACAGGCGCCTGCCACCGCGCCTGGCTAATTTTTTAGTAGAGACAGGGTTTCACCATGTCAGCCAGGATGGTCTTGATCTCCTGACCTCGTGATCCACCCACCTCAGCCTCCCAAAGTGCTGGGACTATAGGCGTGAGCCACCACACCCAGCCAATAATATATTTTATAATTATCATATTATATAATTTTATGTGTGTTGATGAAGATAAGAGAAGAAATGAAAACAAGTAATTGTAGAGTTTGTTACATTAACCTTCTTATTTGCCATTTATGTTTCTTTTCATTTGTTCCTGTGAATTTGAGATACCATCTGGTGATGTTTCTTTCTCCTATACAGTTTTACTCCCATTTGCTTCTTTTGTCATGTTATTGTCAAATGTATTACCTTTTTTAAATACAGACAGGCTCTCACTCTGTTGCCCAGGCTGGAGTGAAGTGGCATAAACATAGCTCACTGTAACCTTGAACTCCTGGGCTCAACTGATTCTCTTGCCTGAGCCTCCGGAGCAGCTAGGACTACAGGCACCCACCACCATGCCTAATTTTTAAAAAATATTTTTGTAGGCAGAGTCTCGCTATGTTGCCTAGGCTGGTCTCAAACTCCTGGCCTCAAGCAATTTCCCCACCTCAGCCTCCCAAAGTGCTGGGATTACAGGCATGAGCCTCTGCAACCAGCCACATTTTTATATATTAAAAACTCAACAATACAATTATAAATGCACTGTTTTATGCAATTAATTTTTAAATCAATTAAGAGAAGGAAGAAAATATATGCATTTATAGTGTATTTTATAATAACATAATTGCCTTGATCTTTTTTTCTTCTTTCTTTTTTTGTGTGGATTTGAATTACTGTTTGGTGTCACTTGCTTTTAGCCTGAAGAACTTTCTTTAGTAGTTCTTGTAAAATAGGTCTACTAGCAAATGAATTACCTTGGTGTTTGTTTGTTTGTTTTTCTGCAAATGTCTTTCCTTTTTTTTTTTTTTTTTTTTTTTTTTTGAGACAGAGTCTCACTCTGTCACCCAGGCTGGAGTGCAATGGCACAATCTTGGCTCACTACAACCTCTGCCTCCCAGGTTCAAGCGATTCTCCTGCCTCAGCATCCCAAGTAGCTGGGATTACAGGTGCCTGCCACCACACATGGTTAATTTTTGTATTTTTAGTAGAGACAGGGTTTCACCATGTTGGCCATGCTGGTCTTGAACTCCTGACTTCAGGCAATCCACCTGCCTTGACCTCCCAAAGTGCTGGAATTACAGTCATGAGGCACCATGCCCAGCCCAAATGTCTTTTCTTTTACCTTAATTTTGAAAGATGGTTTTACTGGATATGAGATTCTTGGTTGATAGGGGTTATTTTTCTTTGAGCATTTTGTATATGCCATCCCACTGCCTTCTGGGCTCCATGGTTTCTAATGAGAAGTCAACTGTTAATTTTATTGGGGTTCCCTTGAACATGAGTAATTTTTCTGTTGTTACTTCAAGATTTTCTCTTTATTTTTGTCTTTCAACATTTTTACTATGATGTATCTGGTATGTATCTCTTTGCACTTATCACACTTGGAGTTCATTGAGATTAATATTTCTCATCAAATTTGGGAAGCTTTTAGCCATTATTTCTTCTAATATTTTTTTCTGCTTCTTTTCTTTCTCCTCTCCTTCTGCTACTCTCATTACATATATATTATTACACTTAATGGTGTACCCACAGTTCCTTGAGGCTCTACTCATTTTTCTTCATTTTTTTCTCTCTATTATTTGGATTGTATAACCTCTCAATCAATCTTCATGTTCATAGACTCTTTCTTCTTCTGGTTCAAATCTACTATTGTGCTCCTATAGTAATTTTTTTAATCTCAGTTATTGTACTTTCTAGTACCAAAATTTAAATTTGGTTCATTTTTTATCATTTTATCTCTTTTGGTATTCTTTCTTTAATGAGATATTGTCATTGTATCTTCCTTTACTTCTTTAAGTATAGTCTTCTTTAGTTACATATTTATAATGCTTCTTTGAAGTCTTTGCTAAATTTGCTATGTGGGCTCTCTCACAAGCAGTTTCTGTTGCCTCCTTTTATTATTCCTATGTATGGGTCATACTTTCCTATTTCGCTGCATATCATAATTTTTTGTTAAAAACTGGGCATTTGTATTGTAACAACTGGATACTGATTTCCCTCACTCCTCCCTCTCTAGGACTTATCGTTGTTTCTTGTTTATCTTGTTTTGTGACCCAGGGAACTATTTTAGTGAAGCCTATTTCTCCCTCAGTGTGGAGCCCCTGATGTTAATCTTCAGAGGTTACAACCTTGGGCACACAAAGAGTCACCCTGGGATGACAATGGTTTTAGCTGGACTCTCTTCGAGCCTCCTTTTCTTTTTTTTTTTATCTTATACTATCTGCTGCCTCGGTAGGTTTTACACTCTCCTGTTAATGTCCACTAATTCCCCTCCAATTTTCATTTGTTATAACAATGCCCTGGAGCAATTGAATTCAGGTACCTTTGCAGAGGTAGCTAAGCTGTTGAGGCCAGTTTTTGAGACTTCCTTTGAGACCAGGAAGGCTCTTCTTAGCTCTCTATTTCCCTGGTTGTCTCCAGTAAATATGTAGCTGTCCTATGATTTAATTTGTTGCTCACATGGAGCTCCTAGCCTCCTCTTAATTGCTTACTACCAAAATCTGCATTGTTTTCTAGAGTGTAGGCTTGAATTTCTCCACACTCCAGGCTTAATGAAGTCAGTTCCACTGGGGAGAGCTTCAGGGATCTTTGTTCTTATGTCCTGTCTCTCTCCCTGGGCAAAATTCTTCACCAGGGCTCTGGAACTGGGGGTAGAGACAGTGGCCTGCTTCTCTCTGAGTGTTATTCCCCTACTTTATGAGTAGGGCTTTAGACAGGAGCAATAGCCTCCAGTCTTCCCAGTGTTCCTCTCCCAACATGGAACCTCTGCTGTAAGGGCAAGCTGTGTCCAGGGAAATTGTGATCCTTATATTTTCAGCCTCCCACACCTAGGGTTCACCTGTACCCTAAAAGCAGGGGCTGGGTAAGAGAACGGACCACCCCCAAGACCTCCCAGTTGCTCTTGCCTGAGTTAGAGCTTCTACGACACAGAGCCAGGGTTGGGGAAGAAAAATGCTGGTGGCCTGCCCTCCTGGGAAGATACAATAGCCCTCAACTGGGATTTGAGAGAGACAGAGCCCTGTGTTCTTGGCTGCACCCACCCAGGATGGAGCTGTTACAGGTAGTTAGACAGGCATGAGCGGGGCAGAGAGGGCTCTCTCCTATCCACTAGGAATGTCAGATGATGGTTCAGCGATTATCACATTGCCTCTCTAAAAGTAATAAATTGGCAGTCAGCGCCAGGAAGAGGCCATCTCCGGATGGTTCACACTTGTTGCACTAAAGTGTTAATTGAATGCAGATGCCAGAGAGAAGCAACTTCCTGGCCATGGGCATTAAGAGACAAAATGGCAGAGTAAGACCTTATAGGGGCACTCCACCGGAAACAGGAAGAAAGCTTCAGTTGGGCATGCATACAACTTTCTAAACACACTGCACATGCTCATTTCCCAAGTGTGAGGAGGGCACTGCGCATGCAGGCAACCTACCCTAAGGGAAGAATCATAGGAGGGGGTGCAAGATGCCAGAAGTGGGCCAGCTTATAAAGTCCTAGGATCTAAGTTAAATGTCACATCTGACCTCAGAGCCTGCTTGGGTCTTTTCCAAGCATACTTTCTTTCTTTTCTTTTCTAAAGCCTTTTAAATAAACTTCCACTCCTGCTCTGAAACTTGCCTCAATCTCTTTTTCTGCCTTATGCCCCTCAGTCAAATTCCTTCTTCTTCTTTTTTTTTTTTTTTTTTTGAGACTGAGTCTCGCTCTGTTGCCCAGGCTGGAGTGAAGTGCTGCACTCTCAGCACACTGCAGCCTCCATCTCCCAGGTTCAAGTGATTCTTCTGCCTCAGCCTCCTGAGTAGCTGGGACTACAGGCACACGCCACCACACACCTGGCTAATTTTTGTAGTTTTTTAGTAGAGTCAGGGTTTCACCCCATGTTGGCCAAACTGGTCTCAAACTCCCGACCTTAAGTGATCCTCCCACCTCGGCCTCCTAAAGTGCTGGGATTACAGGCGTGAGCCACCACGCCTGGCCCGAATTCCTTCTTCTGAGGAGGCAAGAACTGAGGTTGCTGCAAACCCGTACATATTCACTGCCGGTAACTCGAATACCTCCCACCAGTAGCACAGCCTCTGTCACAATGAACTAGGGATGAAAGTCGGGGAGCTGTGGGAAAGGAAGTAAGTCATGGTTCAAATGCCACAGAGTCTTATTGTTATTGTGACTTACTAGATTTTCTTAAATAAATATTTCTTCATTCATTGTGTGCCTGTAGGACAATTTCCAGAGACTTCAGATGGTGGTTTTTTACATAATTTTCACCAGTTGTGGTTGTCTCACTGGGAAGAGGGTCCACAGAGCTCCTTGTGCTGCCATTCTGAAAATTGTCTCCAGTGCACACTGTTATGAAAATTGCATAATTTTGCATCTTTCCTTTTTTACATGTTTTAATGATTTTCTACATAATTACAAACTTCATAAATTTTTAGTTATTGTGCAACAGTCCATCAATTTGGATATACTGTACCTTACTTTGATAAACTTTTTTGATGTTTTTGTTTTGTTGTTTTGTTTTTGAGACAGGGTCTCACTCTGTCACCCAGGCTTCAGTGGCCTGATCTCAGCTCACTGCAACCTCCACCTCCCAGGTTCAAGCAATTATCCTGTCTCAGCCTCCTGAGTAGCTGATATTACAGGTGCCCGCCACCATACCCAGCTAATTTTTATATTTTTAGTAGAGATGGTGTTTCATCATGTTGGTCAGGCTGGTCTCAAACTCCTGACCTCAAGTGATCCGCCTGCCTTGGCCTCCCAAAGTGCTGGGATTACAAGCGTGAGCCACTGCGCCCAGTCTGATAAACTTATTTTAGAACAGTTTTAGATTTACAGAAAAATTAGGCAGACAGTTCAGATTTACCATATGCCCTACACCCATTTTTTACCTATTATTAACATCTTACATTAGTCCAGAATTTACTTTTGGTTTGCTTCTATTTTTTTTCTTTTTTTTTTTGGAAACAGAGTCTCACTCTGTCACCCCTGCTGGAGTGCAGTGGCGCAGTCTCTGTTCACTGCAACCTCCATCTCCCATGTTCAAGTGATTCTCATGCCTCAGCCTTCCAAGTAGCTAGGATTACAGGTATGTGCCACCATGCCCGGGTAATTTTTTTGCATTTTTAATAGAGATTGGGTTTCACCATGTTCACCAGGCTGGTCTTGAACTCCTGACATCAAGAGATCCGCCAGCCATGGCCCCCAAAACTGCTATGATTATAGACGTGAGCCCACCACACCCGGCCAGTTTGCTTCTGATTTTTCACTGTGTTAAATAATGCTGTGATGAACATCTTTGTGCATACATATTCTTTTGCAATTATTATTCTTTTTTTTTTTGAGACAAGGTCTCACTGTCACCGAGGCTAGAGTTCAGTGGCACGATCTCAGCTCACTCAGCAACCTCCTTCCACCTCCTGGGTTCAAGCGATTCTCCCACCTCAGCCTCCCAAGTACCTGTATCTACAGGTGCATGCCACCATGCCCAGCGAATTTTTGTATTTTTTGGTAGAGACAGAGTTTCACCGTGTTGGCCAGGCTGGTCTCAAACTCCTGACCTCAAGTGATCTGTCCACCCTGGCCTCCCAAAGTGCTGGGATTACAGAGCTGAGCCACCGTGCCAGGCCTCTTTTGTATTCTTGACTATTTACTTGGGATAGATTATTTTCAGAGACATAATTACTCAGTCAAAGCGTTTTAGAACATATTTAAATCTCTAAAGTCAAAGTCCCTTAACTTGAGTCTATTATCAAAATTCTATATGATAGCTGAGTAGTAATTAAGTTATTATTTCTAGATTTGGTCAAGTAAGAGATGTGCCTCTTTAGCAGAGCCTCTAGCAAACAATGATCATGAAGCTAAATAGTTTCTAAGAATTTATTGAAGTCCTAGATACAAGATGATCTTGACACCCCCAGGCAGATTTGTCTAAGCCTAAGAATGCCTGTCACTCTTACTGATCAGGATAATCATGCTTAAATATATTAAAGAGCAGTTAGACCAGGCATGGTGGCTCATGCCACCTGTAATTCTAGCACTTTGGGAGGCCGAGGTGGGCAGATCACCTGAGGTCAGGAGTTCGAGACCAGCCTGGCCAACATGGTGAAACCCCGTCTCTACTAAAAATACAAAAATTAGCTGGGCATGGTAGCGGGTACCTGTAATTCCAGCTACTCAGGAGGCTGAGGCAGGAGAATTGCATGAACCTGGGAGGCGGAGGTTGTGGTGAATGGAGATGACACCACTGCACTCCAGCGTGGGTGACAAAGTGAGACTCCGTCTCCAAAAATAATAATAATAAATAAATAAATAAATAAATAAATAAAGAGCAGTTAGCCTTTCCAATTCAACCTCCAGATAAAGAATCAAACATAAATTACTTAAATTTGGTTCTATGCGATGGAATGGTGGTCTATATCAGTGGCTCTCAAAGGAACCCGACCAGCACAATTACTGGTTTAGATAGGTCAGACCAGGGCTAATGCTGGCAGGTATCAGTGTCAAAACCCTCAAACCTTAAAATCTGACATGGGTTGCCTCACATCCAGCCCCAAGGGCTTGTGTGTTTCTGCTGCAAACATTTTACCTTTCTCCAACTGATAAGAAAAAGGATGAAGAAAGGGTATAAGACTAATTGTATGATAATCAGCTGGGAGTGATCTGATATAGGAAAAGGATGTAATGAATCATTAATGTTATGGAACCACTTTTTGGTATTCAGGTCAGTCTGACTGGCTGGAGGGAGGTTACGAGGGCTCAGAGAACACAGCAGGCAAGCTCAATGTACTTTGTGAACTAGGATTTAAGAGCAAGGTCTTAGAACCACCTGTTCCTCTCCTGCCATGAATAACCCCGGTGATGTAGGGCAAGTTAGAAGGCCCCTGAGATTCATTTCTTGAACTTGAAGGCTACAGAGGCTGCCATGGCACCTGGGTAGCCATTGGCCAATGGCCCACTGTAAGTGACACTGTGGCACCAGGGAACCATGGTCATACAGGCTAGGAGAGTCAGCCTCGCAGAATGTTTCTGAGGCTCTGCAGAAAAGCTGCACCAATATGCCTCTCTCCATCCATCCCAGCAGTGATGAGAATACAAGTATGATAGCATCAAACACAGGGCTTAGTTTGCATGCCCTCTTATAAATGCTGGGGAATTATAAATGCCTATAGGCCGGGCATGATGGCTTACACCTGAAACCCCAGCACTTTGGGAGGCCGAGGCTGGCGGACAACCGAGGCTGGTGGACAACCTGAGGTCGGGAGTTCCAGACCAGCCTGGCCAACATGGTGAAACCCTGTCTCTACTAAAAATACAAAAATTTAGCTGGTGTGGTGGCATGCTCCTGTAATCCCAGCTAATCGGGAGGCTGAGGCAGGAGATTCGCTTGAACCCGGGAGGCGGTGGTTGCAGTGAGCCAAGATCATGCCACTGCACTCCAGCCTGGGTGACAGAGTGAGACTCTGTCTCAAAAAAAAAAAAAAGAAAAAAGAAAAGAAAAAAGATATCCAGGCAAGAAAGGAGTCTGGAGTTCAGAGACCAGACAGGTCAGTAAGTAATGCATTTTTATGGACACAAATGTGTACCATACAAACTGGCTTTTCTAATAATTGCCTTTGATAAATAGCGGTAAGCTACAACACTCTGTGGTTTCAGCATGGCTTTAAAATTAAGACACATAATATAACTTGCACATGCAATTTTTCAATTTTTTCCCCTTAGAGCTAATCTTCACAGATTGTCAGACATGATAATGATTATTGTTCACTCGGGTAGCTCTGGCCTGGCAGAAGCCTGTAGAAGGAAACTGTCTAACAACAACATTAGTGCTTTACACTGGGTTCAGTGAGTGCTGCCTGTGGCAAAGGAGGGATGGGGGCCGAGTACAGGGAGTGGAGTGGTGGAAGAGAGGTTGTGGGGAAAGGGGACTATGGAATCATTATGGAGGGGCTGTTTTGGGGGAATTTATCCACATTCCTAGGAGGAAAAAATTGAGCACTTTTCCTGGTGGCATTAGAGAATTTTTTTAATGTTTAATTTTTCTTTTTTTTTTTTACTTTTTAAAATTTTATTAATTTTTTTTGCTACAAAAGTAATGCATAAGTCAGGTGCAGTGGCTCATGCTTGTAATCCCAGCACTCTGGAAGGCCAAGGCAGGTGGATCCCTTAAGCTCAGGAGTTCAAGATGAGTCTGGAGAACATGGTGAAGCCCCATCTCTACAAAAACTACATACACACACACACACACACACACACACACACACACACACAAAATAGCCATGCATGGTGGTGTGCTTGTAGTCCCAGCTACACAGGAGGCTGAGGTGGGAAGGTCACTTGAGCCCAGGAGGTTGAGGCTGTAGTGAGCCATGATCACACTACTGCACTCCAGCCTGGGCGACAGAGGGAGACCCTGTCTCAAAAACAAAACCAAACAAAACAAAGAAACAAATGCTAATCTCTTCTGAAAACACCCTCACAGACAACCCAGGAATAATGTTTTATCACCTATCTGGGCATCCCTTAGCCCAGTCAAGTTGACACATGAAATTAACTGTCACACCCTCCAATTCCATCATTTTGAGTTCACCATTTTTTTCTATGTTTATTTTAAAATATCTAAACATGTCCACATCTATAGGGGTTTTTCTCGTAAGCAATTCTAATCATTAATCCTGATTGATGTGTTTCCAGTACTAGGAAAACAAAGTCACACCAGTGTTCCAAGCTGTCATCAACAGCCAAAGCTATCATGTCAATATATGACATCAACTGCATGACCGGCTCTATTCTCAGCCCTTTAGCTGTCGCCTTATTTTTTTGTTGTTACAACAAACCTCTGAGATAAGTATTATTATCAATCCCATTTTAAAAATGAGAAAACTGAGGCTGAAAGGAGTTAAGGAGTTTTTCATTTGACCATGGAATCTGAGAGGGCAGAAATCCTGGCTTTTTTGTTTACTACAGTATCCCCAGTACCCAATACGGTGCCTGGCACATAGTAGATTTGATAAATAGATTTGGGAATGCTGGTTGGGCGCGATGGCTCATGCCTGTAATCCCAGCACTTTGGGAGGCCGAGGTGGGCAGTTCAACTGAGGTCAGGAGTTCGAGATCAGCCTGGACAACATGGTGAAACCCTGTCTCTACTAAAAATACAAAAATTAGCCAGGTGTGGTGGTGGGTGCCTATAATCCCAGCTACTTGGGAGGCTGAGGCAGGAGAATCACTTGAACCCGGGAGGCAGAAGTTGCAGTGAGTCGAGATTGTGCCACTGCACTCTAGCCTGGACAACATAGTTAGACTCCTGTCCCTACAAAAAAAAATTTTTTTAATTAGCCTGGCATAATTAAATAATAAGTAGTCCCAGCTACTACATAATAAGTAGTCCCAGCTACAAGGGAGGCTGAGGCAGGAGGATGGCTTGAGCCTGGGAAGTTGAGGCTGCAGTAAGCTATGATCATGCCACTGCACTCCAGCCTGGGTGACAGAGTGAGATCCTGCCTCAAAAGGAAGGAAGGAAGGAAGGAAGGAAGGAAGGAAGGAAGGAAGGAAGGAAGGAAGAAAGGAAGGAAGATGAAATGACTCTTGGTATTCAGAACGTCTAAAGGACAAACAGTAAAGTTTCCATAAGGCTGGCCAAGGGTCAGTGCTTCTGCCTTGCTGATTCAGGAAAATCAAAAATGAAAAAAGAAATGAGTAAATCAACATACTCTGAACACCCACGGACCAGGTGATCCTAGCTGTATCTCAGTTTAATTCACTCCCTGAATGGTAGAGTGATTTTGTGGATGAAGATACTGAAGTTCAGAGAGATGCAATGATTGTCCACGGCTGTAAGGGCAGAGCCCACATGGTCCAACTACCAGTCCAAGGCTTCTCCCACAGTTATCACTCCATGAAATGTCTTCATGTCTCACTTAAGTGCTGCAGTGTGTGAACTCACAGGGGTGTAGGGGCTCCATTTGCTCTGCTAACTCCAGTTCCTGCCTCTTGATATCTCAACATCTATAAGCTAAGGCAACCTAAGAAGAAATTAAAGAAGCATAGATGAGCCATTTTCTCACTGTAATGTTGCAAAACCGTCCCCCAGAACATGTCTGGATTTTTTGGATTTGTTTTTGTAGCAGCAGTTTTGGAGAAAAACATATGAATGAAGCCCAATTGACCAGTGATATAGTTTAGTTGTTTGTCCCTTGCACATCTCATGTTAAAATGCCATTCCCGATGTTGGAGGTGGGGCCTGGTGGGAAGTGTTTGGGTCATGGGGGCAGATCCCTTATGAATGGCTTGGTGCCCTCCTCACAGTAGTAATGAGTGAGTTCTCATTCTGTTAGTTCACACAAGAGTTGGTTGTTTAACGGAGCCTCACACCTCCTCTCTCTCTCTCTCTCTCTCTCTCTCTCTCTCTCTCTCTCTCTCATCATGTGATATGCTGGCTCCCCCTTTGCCTTCTGCCTTCATCATAAGCTTCCTGAGGTGTCACCAGAAGCAGAGCAGATAGTGGGGCCATGCTTCTCGTACAGCCTGCAGAACCATGAGCCAAATAAATCTTTTTCTTTCTTTCTTTCTTTTTTTTTTTTCTCTGAGAAGGGGTCTTGCTCTGTGGCCCAGGCTGGAGTGTAGTGGCATGATTTCGGCTCACTGCAACCTCCGCCTCCCAGGTTCAAGCGATTCTCCTGTCTCAGACTCCTGAATAGCTGGGATTACAGGTGTGTGCCACCACACCTGGCTAAGTTTGTATTTTTAGTAGGGACAGGGTTTCACCATGTTGGCCAGGCTGATCTCCAACTCCCGACCTCGAGTGATCCACCCACCTCAGCCTCCCAAAGTGTTAGGATTGTAAACGTGAGCCACAGCTCCAAGCCTAACCACTTTCTTTGTAAATTACCCAGCCTCAGGTATTCCTTTACAGCAATGCAAAATGGACTAAGACAACTAGCTGAACTCCAAGAAGGACGGGGCTGGCTGAATAAAAGTGGGGTGTCAGAGGAGGGAGAGCCAGGTCCTAGAAGGAGCAGGATAAAAAGAAGAGCTTTGCAGCTTAGGGCAAGGAGGAGGGAATTGAGCTCGTCTCCCGGCTGAGCAGGGTGCTGAAGGAAGAGACAAAAGCATTATCCAAATGACCTCAGGTTGCATGAGAGGAGGGGACCTCTTGGAGGTGGAATTACAGGCAGGACCCAGACGCTTCATGACCCAGAGGAGTTAATGTGAGTCAGCAGGAGCGGGGTCACACGCAGGCAAAGCCAGGAGGCTGGCGTTGGAGACTGATAGGGTTTGAGTCTGTGTTCTCGCCCAAATTTCACGTCGAATTGTAATCCCCAGCATTGGAGGAGGAACCTAGTGGGAGGTGATTGGATCACGGGGGCGAAGATCCCCCTTGCTGTGCTGTTCTCGTGATAGTGAGTGAGTTCTCGCGAGATCTAGTTGTTTAAAAAGTGTGCAGCAGGCTGGGCACAGTGGCTCATGCCTGTAATCCAAGCACTTTGGGAGGGCAAAGCGGGCAGATCACTTGAGGTCAGGAGTTCAGGACCAACCTGGCCAAAATGGTGAAACCCCATCTCTACTAAAAAAAAAAATACTAAAAATTAGCCAGGTGTGGTGTCAGGCACCTGTGATCCCAGCTGCTCGGGAGGCTGAGGCAGGAGAATCAGCTGAACCCAGGAGGCGGAGGTTGCAGTGAGCCAAGAATGCACCACTGCACTCCAGCTTGGGCAACAGAGCAAGACTCTGTCTCAAAAAAAAAAAAAAAGTGTGCAGCACCTCCCGCTTCCTTCTCTCTTCCTCCTGCTCCAGCCACGTAAGACATACCTGCTTCCCTTTTGCCTTCCACCATGATTGTAAGTTTCCCGAGGCCTCCCCAGCCATGCTTCCTGTACGGCCCACAGAACTGTGAGTCAATTCAACCTTTTTTCTTTATAAATTACCCAGTCTCAGGTAGTTCTTTATAGCAATGCGAGAACGGACTAATACAAAGACAAAAGCTTTCTAGCAATGCAGTTGACTCTCTTGGCATTGGGTTCCTGAACATAGAATAGGGCAGGCGGCTTCCTGCAGATTCTGGGCAGTGAGATCAGTTAGGAGCTTCTGCAAGGGAGGCTCTGGGGAAGGCCACCTTCCCTGAGACATGCCAGACAACAGTTTAACTATTGCCACATCAACCTATACTCAGCTATAGCTGCAGGCTGAGAAGGCTGGCCAAGAGGGGAAAGAACACTACTTATTATGTTTTTTCCAATTGCATATTTTGCCTCAAAGTCACTCATTGAAAAGGATTGGCTGGACAGGGTGGCTCATGCCTGTAATCTCAACACTTTGGAAGGCTTGAGGCCAGGAGTTCAAGAGCAGCCTGGGCAACATAGTGAGACCCCATCTCTATAAAAAAAAAAGTGTTTAAAATTAGCTTAGGCTGGGCATGGTGGCTCATGTCTATAATCCCAGAAGTTTGGGAGGCTGAGGCGGGAGGATCACTTGAGGTCTGGAGTTCAAGACCAGCCTGGGCAACATGATGAAACCTCATCTCTACGAAAAATACAAGAAAACTAATCAGGTATGGTGACATGCACCTGTAGTCCCAGCTACTCAGGAAGCTGAGGTTGGAGGATTGCTGGAGCTCAAGAGTTCAAGGCTGCAGTGAGCCAACATCACATCACTGCACTCCAGCCTGGGCAAGAGAGTAAGACCCTATCTCCAGATTTTTTTTTTTTTTTTTGAGACAAGTTCTCTCTCTGTCACCCAGGCTGGAGTGCAGTGGTGCAATCTCAGCTCACTGCAACCTCTGCCTCCCAGGTTCAAGCAATTCTCCTGCCTCAGCCTCCCAAGTAGCTGGGACTACAGGTATGTGCTACCACACCCAGCAAATTTTTGTATTTTTACTAGAGATAGGGTTTCACAATGTTGGCCAGGCTGGTCTCAAACTCCTGACCTTAGGTGATCTGCCCACTTCAGTCTCCCAAAGTGCTGGGATTACAGGTGTGAACCACCTCACCTGGCCAAAATTTTTTTAAATTAACCATACATCGTGGTGCATGCCTGTAGTCCCAGCTACTGGGGAGGCTGAGGCGGGTGGATCACTTCAGACCAGGGGTTCAAGACCAGCCTAAGTAACATAGTGAGATCCCACCTCTACAAATTAATTTTTTTGAAATTAGGCAGGTTTGGTGGTGCATGCCTGCAGTCCTAGCTACTGGGGAGGCTGAGGCTGGAGGATCACTTGAGCCCAGGAGTTCAAGATTGCAGTGAGCACCACTGCACTCCAGCCTGGGCAACAGAGTGAGACTGTCTCAAAAAAAAAAAAAATAATAATACAAAGGGGACCAACATTTTAAAAGCTAGATTTGAGTGGAGGGTGTATATTTGTTTCCAAGATTGGTAGTTTTTTGAGGCTTGCCAGTACATATCTGGAGCCAGTGCCCTCGCAGTCTCCCTTTCCTTTTCCCACCCTTCACCCTTGGGTTGCATTTTCTCATCTTGCTTTAATCAGCCTTATCCACAGTAAGGGAAATCAACTAGTCCTAAGGAGGCTTCTCTGCTGTTCCTCAACTTGGCAGCTAGTTAATTCTCAAAAGAAGGATTGCATTTGAAAGCAAGTACTGCCTTTATTTTACTGTGGTGCAGTTCTCTGATCCTCCTGCTGCTGCTTTGAATAATCAGTATTTAAAAAAGAAAAAGGACGGGGCACGGTGACTCACGCTTGTAATCCCAGCACTTTGGGCGGCTGAGACTGGTGGATCACCTAGGTCAGGAGTTTGAGACCCGCCTGACGAACATGGTGAAACCCTGTCTCTACTAAAAATACAAAAATTAGCTGTGTGTGGTGGTGTGCACCTGTAGTCCCAGCTACTTGGGAGGCCAAGGCAGGAGAATTGCTTGAACCTGGGAAGCAGAGGTTGCAGTGAGCCAAGATTGCACCACTGCACTCCAGCCTGAGTGACAGAGTGAGACTCAGTCTCAAAAAAGAAAAAAAAGAAAGAAAGAAAAGGAAGAAGTAAATGGTTAACCTCTTCATTCTCTTCGTTGGCCTTCAGCATGGTGGCTCCAGTGAGCTGTCAGGAATAGCATTCCGTAACAAATGAGATTATACCTCTTTTCATTATCCATCCTTTTCATTCAAGTACAGTAGCAGTACTGGGACTTTCAAGGATCACATCAACTAAATCCTGAGTTAGAGACATTTAAATTCAAAAATCCACACTCAGCTGTACCTTTTCTCTCCTAGCTACTTCAGTGAATTTGGGGTTTGGCTATAACTGCTTGAAATTTTATTTTAAAGTAAATGGAAGCTTGTTTTGACATTGCACAGTTATTTCAACATGCATCCCCAAGAGTATGGCTGCAAATGGAGTATAAATGTGACAGGATCCCAACTCGAGATTTTCGTTTTAGCCCAGCTCATTCAAAGCAATAATCTACATTGTGCCATGCCAAGTGGTGAGTGACTACGCTAGGAGGATTAAAGGATTATTTTTTTTAATCCACTGGAACTCAAGCCATGGCCTCTCTATCAGTAACATTAATAACTAAAATGGACTGAATTCACATACCTCTTTTCTCCAAGATTCTCAAAATGTTTTTGCCAAATGTAACGTACCCAATCACAGATTAATTTTTAGAGCTGGGAAGAGAGCTTAGAGATCAACCAGACAAACTCAATAATTTAAAGATGAAATCCGGGGCCCAGGGATGTTCAATGACTTAGTCCAGGTCTTGTGGCCACTTACTGGCAAAGCCAACCTGGAACCCAGGCATCCAGATTTTTAGCCTGGGGTGCTTTCCCCCACAACTCTGGTCTGTGGATTTGCATCCAGCATTACATCACCTGGGAGCTTATTAAAAAAAGCAGAATCTCGGCCGGGTATGGTGGCTCATGCCTGTAATCCCAGCACTTTGGGAGGCCAAGGCAGGCGGTTCACCTGACGTCAGGAGTTCAAGACCAGCCTGGCCAACATGGCGAAACACTGTCTCTACTAAAAATACAAAAATTAGCCTGACGTGCTGGCAGGTGCCTGTAGTCCCAGCTACTCAGGAGGCTGAGGCAGGATAATCACTTGAAACTGGGAGGCGGAAGTTGCAGTGAGCCAAGATCGCACCACTGCACTCCAGCCTGGGTGACTGAGTGACACTCCATCTCACAAAAGAAAAGAAAAAGAAAAACAAAAGCGGAATCTCAGGCTCCACCCCAGACCTGCTAAATCAGAATCTGCATTTGAACAGAGCCCTCTGTGTTTGTGTGCCCATTAAAGAATGAAAAGCCTCCAGGAGGCTATGACAGGAGGATCACCTGAGCCTAAAAGTTCAAGGCTTCAGTGAGCTATGATCACGCCACTGCACTCCAGCCTGGGCAGCAGAGCCAGACCTTGTGTCTGAAAAACATAAATAAAATTAAAAGGATGAGAAGCCTCGCTTCACATTTTTCTGCCATCATCTCACAGCTCCGTAACCTTTGCATTTAACATCAGTACCATTTTCTGAACATGCCCAAGAGAGTCCAATAAAATAAGTACAATAATGTAGAAAGAAAATTCCCTACTGAAAGAAAAGTGTCACAGTGCATCTGGCCATGGCAACAGATGGAAAAGATCAAAAGAGGATCCTATTGTCTGGAGTTTTTCTTTTTTTCTTTCTTTTCTTTTATTTATTTATTTTTTAGAGATGGTGTCTCCCCTGTCACCCAGGCTGGAGTGCAGTGGTGACAGCCTCACTACAGCCTCAACCTCTTGGGCTCAAGCAATCCTTCCACCTCAGCCTCCCGAGTAGCTGGGACTACAGGCAAGCACCACCACGCCAGACTAATTTTTGTATTTTTTGTAAAGACGAGGTCTCGCTGTGTTGCCCAGTCTGGTCTCAAACTCCTGGTCAAGCAATCTGCCTACCTTGGCTCCCCAAAGTGCTGGGATTATCATTAGCCACTGTGCCCAGCCCCTGGTGATTTTATGGAGAACTTACTCTGTGCCCTTGGATAAACAAGGTCCCCACCCTGAACAAGCTTATAATCAGGTAGGAAAGAAAAATTCAGTGCCTGAGGAGCAAAAATAGAAACAATTAAATTCTAAACTGGGATGTAAAGAATCTAGAGCAATAGGTATTAACATACAGACTGAGTGGACTGGGGTGCTCAGGGAGAACTTCCACGGGACCCCCTCTAATTCATCCTCCTCCTTGCTGCCTGAGAGAAATGTCTAAACTGCAACTGTGATCAACTCTCATCTTTCATGGATATGCCACTGCCTTCAGAGTCAAGTCCAAAGTCCCCTGGGTAGTTCCTGGAGTCTCTCTTCAGCCTCAGCGGTCACTATCCCCATCACCCCTTATCACGCCCTTGTGAGCCAGGAACACACTGCTGCTTGCAGTTCCCTAGTTTGCCTTTGCTTCTTTGGCCCTGGATCTTCGCAAGAGGCTTCTCCTACATGGAATGCATTCTCCCTTCCCCATCCCTTTGTTACTGGTAGAGGGTTTTTTTTGTTTTTTTTTTTTTTTTTTTTTTTTTTTTTAAGATGGAGTTGCACTCTTGCTGCCCAGGCTGGAGTGCAATGGCGTGATCTTGGCTTACTGCATCCTCAACCTCCTGGGCTCCAGCAATTCTCCTGCCTCAGCCTCCCAAATAGCTGGGATTACAGGCGCGGCTAATTTTCGTAATTATAAGTAGAGACTGGGTTTCGCCATTGTTGGCCAGGCTGGGCTCTAACTCCTGGCCTCAGGCAATCCGCCCGCCTCAGCCTCCCAAGGTGCTGAGATTACAGGTGTGAGACACTGCACCCGGCCTGGTAAAGGGTCTTGACTGCAAGTTATCCAGGTTCTTGGTGTTTTGAACAAATAATTGGACTAAATGCACAGCAAAGCAAAGAAAGAATGAAGCCATGAAAGCAGAGATTTATCGAAAATAAAAGTACACTCCACAAGGTGGGAGATGGCCAAGCAGCAGCTCAAGAGCTCCGGTTACAGAATCTTCTGGGGTCCAAATACCCCTTAGAGTTTTCCCATTGGCCACTTGGTGGCTGGCAATCAGTCTGATTGGCTGCAGATAGCAACCAATCAGAGACTAAAGTGACGTTACCAAGTTACACTCCTATGCAAACTATTACTTTCTACAATCAATCAGAGGTACTTTCAATTTTCCATCTACCTTGCAGAAAAGGGGGGTGTGGTTTGCAAAGGGAGTAGCCTCTGGTCCTTTTGTTACTTGGTCATGGAAAGTTGGGGGTTTGCCTTTTGATTTAGTTCTAGGAAGACAGCATGAATCAGCCTTAGGTTGCCTGCCTCCAGACCATGTTCTCCTGCCTCACCCTTATCCAGCTAATCCTTTCTCATCCTATGGTCTCTGACAAGAGACCAGGGGACAGCCTCCAAAACTTGGATAAGTGGCTGTCTTCTGTACTCCCATCATGCCCTGTGTTATGGACTGAATGTTTGTTTCCCACCCACCCTCAAATTCACATGTTGAAGCCCTGACCCTCACAGTGTGATGGTATTTGGTGGTGGGGCCTTTGGGAGGTAATTAGGTTTAATGAGGTCATGAGGGTGGGGCTTCCATGATGGGATTAGTGCCCTTAAAAGAAGAGACACCAGAGAGCAGGTTTCCTCCTTCTCTCCACCGTGAGAGGAGAGAAGAGTAGCTGTCTGCAAGTCCGGAAGAGGGACCTCACCAGAAACTGAACCCTGCCAGAACCTTGACTGTGGACTTCCCAGGCTTCAGAACTGTGAGAAATAAATATCTGTTCTTTAAGCCACTCAGTTTATGGTATTTTAGCTCACTTAGACACCCTATGTTAACAGCTATCCTAGCCAGTGGGTTATTACTCATCTGTGTCTCCCACAGATGGCAGGCACTTTGAAGGCAGGGACTATGTCTCTCAGTAAACCTCTCTGGGACCCTTGGCCTGGCACATAAACCACACTCTGCAGATGCTTGTCACATGACAAAAAGAGTGTGTGAATACATTTGTGCTTGCAGGAGATGGAATTTGAGCTGGGCCCTGAAAATAGATTTTAAAAGCTATGAAAAGGCTGGACACAGTGGCTCTTTCATGCCTATAATCCCAGCACTTTGGGAGGCTGAGGTGAGTAGATCGCTTGAGGTCAGGAGTTTGAGACCAGCCTGGGCAACATAGCAAGATCCTGTTTCCACTAATTTTTTTTTTCCAAGAGAGATTAAGTGATTTGTCTAAAGTCATATGGCTACTAAGTGGTAGGTCTGGTTCCAAACCTAGGCACACTGACTCCAGTTCATTCCATTTATTATGCTTTTAGAGGGAAAAGGAGTCAGCTGAAAAGGAGACTAGTTCAAATAAACCAGCTATATTAGTCTGTTCTCACACTGCTATAAAGAACTACCTGAGACTGGGTAATTTAAAGAAAAGAGGTTTGATTTGGCTCATGGTTCTCCAGGCTGTACAGGAAGCATGGCTGAGGAGGCCTCAGGAAACTTACAATCGCAGTGAAAGTTGAAGGGGAAAGCCAGCATGTCTTTCATGGCCAGAGTAGGAGGAAGAGAGGGAGCAGGGAGGTGCTACACACTTTTAAACAACCAGATCTTATGAGAACTCACTCACTGTCATGAGAATGGCACCAAAGGGGAAATCCACCCCTATGATTCAATCACCTCCCACCAGGTCCCACCTCCAACACTGGGGATTACAATTTGACATGAGATTTGGGCAGGGACACAGACCCACACCATATCACTAGCCTGGTGCTAGTCTTTTTTTTTTTTTTTTTTTTTTTTTGAGCAGTCTCACTCTGTCGCCCAGGCTGGAATGCAGTGGAGCTATCTCAGCTCACTGGAATTTCTGCCTTCTTGGTTCAAGCAATTCTCCTGCCTCACCTTCCTGAGTAATTGGGACCACAGGCGCGTGTAACCACACCTGGCTAATTTTTGTATTTTAGTTGACACGGGGTTTCGCTGTGTTGGCCAGGCTGGTATCAAACTCCTGGCCTCAAGTGATCCACCCACCTCAGCCTCCCAAAGTGCTGGGATTATAGGCATAAGCCACCAAGCCCGGCCTGCCTAGGGCTATTCAATGCCATTGTTTAAAATTCCTCAAGCTATGGTGCTGATGCTTTCAGAAAGGAACAAGCCTTTGACATCAGCGTGTTACTCCTGATACCTAACCTACAGCACCCTGGTTGCATTTTAATGAAGAATGCCACCTTCCCTCTGTTTAGCTGCCGGGGGCGTTTGGATCTGCTGCCGATTGATTATTATTACACATCCTTGAAGACAGTATATCTATTAACAGTTGTTCCAGTTACTTAAAAATGTGAGCTTCTTATGCTTTTCCTTTACTTCTGGCCCTTGAGTTCAAGCTCCCCCTCCGTGGTCACTTTTCTCTTGACAGCTCAGTTATCTTACATCTCTCTGGCAAGTGGAGACCCTGCACAGCTCATGGAAGCCTCTGGCACTCAAGGTCCCCATAGGTCTCAGAGAAGACAAGATTACATTTCCATGAATGTGCTTCCGTGCATATTTTGCAATTTCAGAGTTGTCCATATGCCCGAAGAAATATCTTATACTGAGGCCAATAAAAGACATTAACAGGCGCAAAGCTTAGAACCACCAGAATTTAGCCAAAAGGGTCTCTAGGCCTTTCTCTCCAAACAACTTTGTGGGTTTTTTTTCCTTTTTTTGCTCCAGATTTATTTCTCAATGTGCTTTATTTTCTAATAATTGAACATTTATAAAATAGCACCTCATGTGCACCTAGCAAATGTGCAAACCGTTTCATAATTAAAGAGATGTCTAGTCCCTAAAACCTGACAGGTGTGGTTAAAACATATGATTTGCTTAGCGTTTTAGGGGAATGTGTGACTAAAGGTCAGAGCCTCACTCTGATCACCAGCTGAAACAATGCTCAGATGCTCAGAGCATCCAGCCAGTATGTGTGAAGCCCCACCTTGCCGTTATAGTTATCATAGCTTTTTTTTTTTTTTTTTTTTTTTGAGAAGGAGTCTTGCTGTGTCACCCAGGCTGGAGTGCAGTGGCATGATCTCGGCTCACTGCAACCTCTGCCTCCCACATTTAAGTGATTCTCCTGCCTCAGCTGGCTGAGTAGCTGGGATTATAGGCATGCACCACCAAGCCCAGCTAATTTTTGTATTTTTAGTAGAGATGGGGTTTCACTGTGTTACTCAGGATGGTCTCAAACTCCTGACCTCAGGTGATCCACCTGCCTCAGCCTCCCAAAGTGGTGTAACTACAGGCATGAGCCACCGCACCCAGCCATCATAGCTATTGTTTGATCAAGAAAGCCCCATTCCTTGTAGTGATACAGCAGGATTCTTCAGAAAGACAGAAAAGGGCCATTTGGAGAAAACAAAATGCTAAATCTAGAAACATTCTGGGTTCCCGATGGTTGTTTTTTTCCCCAAGTCATCTGAGAGACGTTTCTTATTCCATAGCAGATGTCTGGCCATGAACATCATAACCTAATTAATTATTATGGCTATTTATAGGTATGACTTGCATGTAGAACATTAATAATCACAACAATGACTATTAACAAGAATGAATTGCCCATGTATTGAGCTTTATGACTCACAAAATAATTTCACTTATTTAATTTTATTTTAGATTCTTCCAACAACCCAAGGAGGTAGTCAAGGTAGGTGATATGGTTGGGATTTGTGTCCCCACCCAAATCTCATGTGGAATTGTAATCCTCAATGTTGGAGGAGGGGCCTGGTGGGAGGTGACTGGATCACAGGGGCGGATTTCCCCCTTACTGTTCTCGTAATAGTGAGTTCTCATGAGATCTGGTTGTTTAAAAGTGTATAGCACCTCCCTCTTTGCTCTATCTCCTGCCACTGCCATGTAAGACTTGTCTCCTTCCTCTTCATTTTCCACTATGATTGTAAGTTTCCTGGGGCTCCCCAGCCATGCTTCCTGTACAGCCTGTGGAACTGTGAGCCAATTAAGTCTCTTTTCTGTATAAATTACCCAATCTCAGGTAGTTCTTTTTTTTTTTTTTTTTTTTTTTTTGAGACGGAGTCTCGCTCTTTTGCCCAGGCTGGAGTGCTGTGGCGCATCTCTGCTCACTGCAAGCTCCAACTCCCGGTTCACACCATTCTCCTGCCTCAGCCTCCCTAGTAGCTGGGACTATAGGCACCTGCCACCACGCCTAGCTAATTTTTTGTATTTTTTTTAGTAGAGACGGGGTTTCACTATGTTAGCCAGGATGGTCTCAATCTCCTGACCTCGTGATCTGCCCCGCCTTGGCCTCCCAAAATGCTGGGATTACAGGCGTGAGCCACTGTGCCCGGCCTTTTTTTTGAGATGGAGTCTCACTCTGTCACCCAGTCTGGAGTGCCATGGAGCAATTTCAGCTTACTGCAACCTCTGCCTCCCGGGTTCAAGTGATTCTCCTGCCTCAGCCTCCCAAATAGCTGGGAGTACAGGTGCCCACCACCACGCCAGGCTAATTTTTGTATTTTTAGTAGAGACCAGGTTTTGCCATGTTGGCCAGGATGGTCTTGAACTCCTGACCTCAGATGATCCACTCACCTTGTCCTCCTAAAGTGCTGGGATTACAGGCATGAGCCACTGTGCACGGCCTTCACGTAGTTCTTTATAGCAATGTGAGAACTGACTAATATTGTAGTATTCCCATTTTAGTCTTTCAACTTCATAGGTAAGGAAATTGAACCACAGGAGTTTCTGAATAATATGTAATTGGAGGGAAAGAGCCTTGCAGGCTGTGTTTATCTTTAGATTGGCAGAAGAATGAGTATAATCTCAAGAGTTATGATTTATCTTAAGATATCCAGAGTTTAAGTACTTAAACTATCTCTACACTGTGAGTATTTATGTAGTCAAGTGAACTCTCTCAAGGCCCAGCTGTTCCCTATCTTGCAGATGAAATCAGCTGAGAAACTGTCCATCACATATGCTACCTGAAGAGTACAAACTGAGTCATCATCAATTTGAGACAAGACAAGGTTCAGTTTTGAGGCTAAATGACCTCAAACTTTCAGAACATCATATCAGACCATTTTTGGCTCATTTAGGTAATGGGACAACATGGTTTCCATGTATTCCTCCCGTGATGAATGTGGGTGACCCATTTCCTTCATCAGTGTCAATAATTCACATTAATATTTAGAGAGTTTGTCAAAGAGTATTTGCTTAGAAGATTTGATTCTGTTGTAGACCCTGTGAGCCAGGATGAGTTCTAGTAATACTGTGTTCCCATTTTTCAGACAAGGAAACCAAGGTACAGTTAAAAGGCATTCAAGTATTTACAGCACACCTACTATGTGACAGGTGCCACACAGTGCTAGGGGTACAATGAAAAGAAAATGCAGGTGTATTTTAAAAATTAGCCAGATGTAGTGGTGCACACCTATAGTTCCAGTTACTCAGGAGGCTGTGGTGGGAGGATTGCATGAGGCTGGAAGACAAAGGTTGCAGTGAGCCATGATCACACCAGTGCACACTAGCCTGGGCAAGAGAACAAGACCTTGTCTCAAAAAAAAAAAAAAAAAAAAAAAAAAAAGCCGGGTGCCGTGGCTCATGCCTGTAATCCCAGCACTTTGGGAGGCCGAGGTGGGCAGATCAATTGAGCCCAGGAGTTCGAGACAAGCCTGGCCAACATGATGAAACCCCATCTCTACTAAAGATAGAAAAAATTAGCCGGGTATGGTGGTGCGTTCCTGTAATCCCAGCTACTTGGGAGGCTGAAGCAGCAGAGTCACTTGAACCTGGGAGGCGGAGGTTGCGGTGAGCTGAGATTGCACCATTACACTCCAGCCTGGGTAACAGCGTGAGACTCCGTCTAAAAAAAAAAAAAAAACAAAACAGAAAACAGGCCAGGCACTGTGTCTCACACCTGTAATCCCAGCACTTTGGGAAGGTGAGGCAGGTGGATCGCTTGAGGTAAGGAGTTGGAGACCAGCCTGGCCAACATGGCGAAAACCCATCCCTACGAAAAAATACCAAAATTAGACGGGTGTGGTGGCAGGGGCCTATAATCTCAGCTGCTCAAGAGGCTGAGGCAGGAGGATCGCTTGAACCCAGGAGGTGGAGGTTGCAGTGAGCTGAGATTGCACCACTGCATTCCAGGCTAGTGACAGAGCAAGATTCCGTTAAAAAACAAACAAACAAAAAAAAAAAAAAAACAGAAAAGAAAAGGCAAATGCAATCTTGCTTCTGTCATTTCTTACTGTTTGATGTGGGAAATAATCAAATATTTGTGCCAACAAATGTAAAATTTTAACTGAATGTGGTGCTGCTTTCATTGACATATTCCATCAAACCATTGTACAAAGCCAGGCACAGTGGCTTACACCTGTAATCCCAGTGCTTTGAGAGGTTGAGGTGGGAGGATCACTTGAGCCCAGAAGTTTGAGACCAGCTTGGGCAACATGGCAAAACTCTTTCTCTACAAAAAACACAAAAATTAGCCAGGCATAGTGGCACACACCTGTAGTCCTAGCTACTCAAGAGGTGGGAGGATCACTTGAGCCTAGGAGTTCGAGGCTGTAGTGAGCTATGATTGCACCACTTTTCTCTAGTGTGGGCAACAGAGTGAGACCCTGTCTCAGAAAAAAAAAAAAAAAAAAGGGTCCAGGTCAGGTGGAGTGGCTCATGCCTGTCATCCCAGCACTTTGGGAGGTCAAGACAGGCAGATCACTTGAAGTCAGGAGTTCGAGACTAGCCTAACCAACGTGGTGAAACCCCGTCTCTACTAAAAATACAAAAAGTAGTCAAGCATGGTGGCAGGCACCTGTAATCCCAGCTACTCAGGAGGCTGAGGCAGGAGAATCACTTGAACCTGAGAGGCAGAGGTTGCAGTGAGCCGAGATCAAGCCACTGCACTCCAGCCTGGGCAACAGAACGAGACTCTGTCTCCAAAAATAATAATAATAAAATAAATAAATAAAGTTGAGGAAACTCAAAGAGGATAACTACATTGTCAAAAATCACATTCCTGGCCTGGCACAGTGGCTCACACTTCTAATCCCAACACTTTGGGAGGCCAAAGTGGGCGCATTGCTTGAGCCCAGGAGTTCGAGACCAGCCTGGGCAATATTACAAGACCCTATCTCTACTAAACAAAAAAAAAAAAAAAAAAAAAAAGAAAGGCCAGGTGGGGTGGCTCAGGCCTGTAATCCCAGCACTTTGGGAGGCTGAGGCGGGTGGGTCACTTGCAGTCAGGAGTTCGAGACCAGCCTGGCCAGCATGGCAAAAACCCGTCTCTAGTAAAAATACAAAAACTTGCCAGGCGTGGTGGCACATGCCTATAATTCCAGCTACTCGGGAGACTGAGGCATGAGTATCACTGGAACCCAGAAGGTGGAGGTTGCCTTAAATAAAAATAAATAAATAAATAAACAGGGTCTGGGGTTGAATTACAGCTCTGGGCACTTCCAGCCCTGGCATTATAGGTCTTTATAGCAGACCCAGACCCATTTGATGGCATGGCACCTTGGGAAGGGGGAGAAAAGGAAGAGGGATGCAGAGAGAGAGAGAGAAAACAGGCATTTCTCTTGCCTCTAGAAAGATGTTTAAAGTTAGGTTGAACTAGAATAGAATCAATTGAGGTGTGTAAATCAGATCGCATTTTAAGTGCTCAGAGAAGCTGCTATTTTTAAAAAAAGAACTCCTGAAGGCAATCTTCAGTAAAGTGAGGAGTTCTTTTGTAGAAGGCATAAATGCCCCTGGATTTATCCTCTTTTAATCGCCTAAACGTTTGTCTATCAGGTTTCCATAAGGCACTAGGTACATTTGTGCCTAATAACAATGAGTAGTAAAGTTAATGGTTGAGATGCTCTGATAAAGATTAATGCTTGACTTCCTCTTTGAATTCTCTCTTACACTGCGTTTGGCTTTGAAAAGTACTTTTCCCTTTGTACTCCAGCCTCTGAAATCATCCTTATAAAGTCACTTCATGTAGGAGACAGTGCGGAAGATGTTCTCTTTCCGAGAGCATGGTATGATAGGCATCCAAAATACCTTCTTTAATTAAGAACCATCTTCTGGCTGGGTGCAGTGGCTCACGTCGGTAATCCCAGCACCTTGGGAGGCCAAGGCAGGAGGATCGCTTGAGCCCAGGAGTTCGAGACCAGCCTGGGCAACATAGTGAGACCTCGTCTCTACTAAGAATTTTTAAACTTTAAAAATTAAGGCGGGCACAGTGGCTCACACTTGTGATCCCAGCACTTTGGGAGGCCGAGGCAGGCAGATCACATGAGGTCAGAAGTTCAAGACCAGCCTGGGCAACATAGTGAAACCCCATCTCCACCAAAAAATACAAAAATTAGCTGGACATGGTGGTGCATGCCTGTGGTCCCAGCTATTCGGGAGACTGAGACAAGATTGCTTGAACCCAGGAGGTGGAGGTTGCAGTGAGCCAAGATTGCACCACTGCATTCCAGCCTGGGTGACAGGGCATAACTCCATCTCAAAAAATAGTAATAATAAATATTTTAAAAATAAAAATAAAAATTAGGCATGGTAGTACACATCTGTAGTCTCAGCTACTGGGGAGGCTGAAGCCAGAGGATTGCATGAGGCCAGGAGTTCAAGGCTGCAGTGAGCTATGATCGCACTACTACACTCTAGCCTAGGCAACAGAGTGAGACCTTGTCAAAACAAACAAACAAAGAAAAGAACCATCTTCTGGAAATGGATGGATGATGTGTAATGAATGAGCAGCTTTGTGTCTGAGCTTTGGTTTGGGAAAAGCCATTTCAGCGAGCTATGTGAGACCTCAGTGTTTGTGTGTGTGTGTGTGTGTGTGTGTGTGTGTGTGTGTGTGTTTTGAGACAGGGTCTCGCTCTGTCGCCCAGGCTGGAATGCAGCAGCATGATCTCTGCTCACTGCAACCTCTGCCTACCAGGTTCAAGCTATTCTCATGTCTCAGCCTCCCAAGTAGATGGGATCACAGGGGTGTACCACCACACCCAGCTAATTTTTCTATTTTTAGTAGAGATGGGTTTTGCCATGTTGGCCTGGCTAATCTTGAACTCCTAGCCTCAAGCAATCCACCCACCTCGGCCTCCCAAAGTGCTGGGATTACAGGCATGAGCCACCGTGCCGGCCAGACCTCAGTGTTTCTGTTCTTGCAGGCTTCTCCTCTCAAAGCTGGCTAGCACTCCGGCCTCCATTTACAGCCACCGCTTCCTCTGCTCCACAAAGACAAGCTGTCTAAGTTAATCCATTAGTTAGCCTTCTGCATTTACACATAACACATGGTGCTCCATGCTTCATTAGGATGGACAAGGTGTTCCAGTCGCCATGTCCCTGCATAGAACGTACTGCGGTTGCTGTCCCCAAACAAATGCTTTCATACTCTGCACCCTTCCTGCCTCCGTCCGCAGCCTCTCTCCTCACTCTACGAACCTGGACAAAGCCTTCTGATCTCCTGCCAGCAACCACTTCTGTGTTGATTAATACTTCCGTCTCGCTCTGTGCCATGCCAAACCGAGCTGGGTTTGCTGCCCGTCCAGAAGAGCAAGAGCTATGCAGCTGGACAGATCTGTCGGCCCAGGGCAGGCGCTAGACACAAGGTGATTAAGGAAGATAATGATGAATGAAGGACTCACAGGTGAAAAATGACCTCTTTGCAATCCTTATTGATCCACCAGCTGAGGTCTTTTTTATGTGGAACCTAAATTTGACATTTCAAATTGAACCTGAATCTCGAATAGCTCATGCAATTTTAGAACTGGCAGTGATTTTAGATGGAATCCAGTATGTTGCCTAGATGGGGAAACTGAGGCTCACAGCATGAAAGTGACTTGCCTAAAGTAACAGAGTGTTAATGGCAAAGCTAGGGCTAGGACACAGATCTGAGGCTCAGGTTGCTGTCCTGGGCCAGGGCTAGGTCACCATTCCCGACTGCAGGGCTGTTTTCTTCTGCACAACCTAGGTTTTGTCAGTGAGCTAATGTTGTCTGTAAAGCATTCTTTTTACTGTCCCTTTGGGAGCCAAGGTCCAAATTATAACAGTATGACCTTGTCCTTTTTACGGGCAAATTTTTTTTTTTTTTTTTGAGACAGTCTCACTCTGTCACCCAGGCTGGAGTGCAGTGGCGTGATCTCGGCTCACTGCAAGCTCCGCCTCCCGGGTTCACACCATTCTCTCGCCTCAGCCTCCTGAGTAGCTGGGACTACAGGCACCCGCCACCACGCCTGGCTAATTTTTTTTTTTTTTTTTTTTGTATTTTTAGTAGAGATGGGGTTTCACCGTGTTAGCCAGGATGGTCTCGATCTCCTGACCTCGTGATCCGCCTGCCTTGCCCTCCCAAAGTGCTGGGATTACAGGCGTGAGCCACCGCGCCCAGCCTCTACAAAAGATTTTTTTAAAAAATAGCTAGGTATGGTGGTGCACACCTGTAGTCTGAGGCGGGAGGATCACTTGAGACTGGAATTTCGAGGCTGCACTCCAACCTGGGCAACAGAGGGAGACCTTATCTCTAAAAAATAATAATAAAATAAAAGAAGATGGACAGGGTGACGTATGGTGCTTAGGGAAAGGAAAACCAGTCTTACAGGGAGTAGCCAAGAAATGGCTCTTCTCCTTTTGGAGAGAGCTATCTTTTCTAAGAAGCATTTGACTTTGGGATTTATTTCTCCATGCAATGAACAACACGAGGATGAAATGAAGCTCCACCAAAACGAGCCCTGGCAGTCAGAGGCAATGGGGGGATGGAACTCCCTCTTAATGGGCAACCAAGAGTAACACCTGGATTGGCGAGAAATGCAAACTGCCTGGAAGCAGAGCAGGGCAGGCTCCACCCACGGTGTATGACAGATGCGGATTTCCCAGTTGAAATGTAAACCGCCCCAGGAACTCTTACTGGCACCATCTCAGTGATCAGTTAACACCTGAGCATGTATTGTCACCACAGAGTTCCTTGCCTGAAAGTATATAAATTTTACTTAAGAAAAGAGCACTAGGCCAGGTGCAGTGGCTTAGTCCTGTAATCCCAGCACTTTGGGAGGCTGAGGCAGGCGGATCACCTGAGGTCAGTAGTTCAAGGCCAGCCTGGCCAACATGGTGAAACCCCGTCTCCACTAAAAATACGAAAATTAGCTGGGTGTGGTGGTGTGCACCTGTAGTTCCAGCTGCTGGGGAGGCTGAGGCATGGGAATCACTTGAACCCAGCAGTCAGAGGTTGCAGTAAATGGAGATCATGCCACTGCACTCCAGCCTGGGTGACAGAGCAAGACTCTGTCTCTAAAAATAATAATAATAATAAATAAATACATATATAAATAAATATAGTAAAATGTTGATAATAGAATTTAGGTAGTGAGTATGTAGGTATATACTGTACAACTCTTTCAATTTTTCTGAAAGTTTAAAAGTTTTCAAAATAAAATATGAGGGAAAGTGAATCTTAAAAGTTAAATAAGTACTTGTCTGAGGGGGGCGGATCACGAGATCAGGAGATCGAGACCATCCTGGCTAATGCGGTGAAACCTCATCTCTACTAAAAATATAAAAACAAAATAAGCTGGGCATGGTGGCGGGCGCCTGTAGTCCCAGCTACTCAGGAGGCTGAGGCAGGAGAATGGTGTGAACCCGGGAGGCGGAGCTTGCAGTGAGCCGAGATGGTGCCACTGCACTCCAGCCTGGGGGCAGAGCGAGACTCCGTCTCAGGAAAAAAAAAAAAAAAGTTCAATAGGTACTCCCCAGGCAAACAAAATGAAGAAGGGCTAATCTAACACCATTTCAAACTTCCCAACCCTCATCTGCTTTTCCTGCCGTCTCTATAAAGCTTGGCAGCTAAATATTTACTTACCTCCCTCGCTGCTAGGGGTAGACACATGGCATGGTTCTGGTCAGTGAGACATTAAGGGAACTCTACTGGGCTTTTTGGGGAAAGTTTTCACTTAGTTGGTACTGCCCCTTCCTGACTTGAATACAAACATGGTATCTGGAGCTGCAGCAGCCCTTGCAACTGCAAAGGAAAATCTAAAAGAATCCAACTCCCACCCTGGCCTTATTAAGCCACAAAACCAATGTTAGCAGCTACCCATCTCCAGACTTGCTGGCTGTGTTAGAAAAATAAACCCTTATTTGTTTTAGCCACTGTTAGTCAAGTTTTCTGCAGCTGAAACATTCTGAGCAGAGGCAGAAGTGTAAAACCACCTGGTTTTCAGGTAATTGCAAGCAATTTGATGGCTACAGCCAGAGTCTGGGGACAAAAATGTGAATCAAGAGATGGAGCCAAAGAGGTAGGAAGAGGCCAGATCCTGCAGGGCTCTTTGCTATTCTGGGGACTTCAAATTCTCTGAAAGTAGCGCAGCTTGGGGGAAACCTGTTCAGATTCCCTTTCACAGCCATGATTCTTAAGCTTTTGTAAAGATCAGAATCATCTGGGGTTGAAAATATACAGTTCCCAAGCCCCACAGCCACAGGCAGAGATTCTGATTGTAGCTGTCAGAATCACACCCATATCCCTCCAACTTCTCCTCTTTTTTTTGAGACAGAGTCCATTTTTTTTGTGCACACTGGATTACAGTGGTGCAATCATGGCTCACTGAACTTCTGGGCTCAAGCCATCTTCCCACCTCAGCCTCCCAGGTAGCTGGGACTACACGTACATGAAACCATGCCCAGCTAATTTTTTTTTGGTAGAGACGGCATCTCACTGTGTTGCCCAGGCTGATCTTGAACTCTTGGACTCAAGTGGTCCTCCTACCTCCAGCCTCCCCAGTAGCTGAAACTACAGATGTGCCACCACCATGCCTGGCTAATTATTTTATTTAATTTTTTGTACAGACAAGGTCTCACAGTGTTGCCCAGGCTGGTCTCAAACTCCTACATAACCCCTCCTTTATGGGGAGCTTCCATGACTAGTCCCTGAACACTAAAGATTCCTACCTTTGTATCTCTGTGTCTTTCTGCCTGGGGATTTTCTCTGGTCACAGAAGCATGCTGTGTGCACACACAAGGCAGGCCAGAATTATCAGGGAGTCCACGCCCCCAGCAGCAACCTTCAACCAATGAGAAACAGGAGCTCCAGCTTTCTTGCTTGTCAGTGAGACACTACTGAGGTGCCTTGCAGTCTCTCAGGAGGTCCCCTTGGGGCTGACCCTCAGGTGGCCATGGTGATAAATAACCTTCTCATTAATATAGCCTTTATTGCTTTTCCTTCCTTCCTTCCCCACTTCCCTTCTCCAGACCCCTTTCAGGGAGCTATTGGGATCATCTCTCAAGTAAACTCCTGGCACTCAAATCCTTGTCTAAGCCTCTGCTTCAGCAGAACCCAAAGTAAGACACTGATTCAAAATACTTGGAATGCAGGCCGGACATGGTGGCTCACACCTGTAATCTCAATGCTTTGGGAGGCCAAGGCAGGAGGATCACTTAAGGCCAGGAGTTTGAGACCAACCTGGGCAGCATAGTGAGACCCCATCTCTACAAAAATTAATAAAAAGTAGCCAGGCATAGTGGTATGCACCTGTAGTCCCAACTACTCAAGAGGCTGAGGTAAGAGCATCACTTGAGCCAGGAGTTAGAGACTGCAATGAGCCATGATCATGCCACTGCACTCCATCCTGGGTGATAGGATGAGACCCCATCTCTATAAGAAATTTATTATTATTATTATTATTATTATTATTATTATTATTATTATTTTGAGACAGAGTCTTGCTCTGTCGCCCAGGCTGGAGCACAGTGGCACGATCTTGGCTCACTGCAAACTCCGCCTCCCGGGTTCACGCCATTCTCCTGCCTTAGCCTCCCAAGTAGCTGGGACTACAGGCACCCACCACCATGCCTGGCTAATTTTTTGTATTTTTAGTAGAGGCGGGGTTTCACTGTGTTGGCCATGATGGTCTCGATCTCCTGACCTCGTGATCCTCCCGCCTTGGCCTCCCAAAGTGCTGGGATTACAGGCGTGAGCCACTGGGCCTGGCCTGTATAAGAAATTTAAAAATTAGCTGGATGGTATCATGAACCTGTAGTCCAGGAGGCTGAGGCAGAAGGGTCACTTGAGCCCCAGAAGGTCAAGGCTGCAGTGAGCCGTGATAGCTGCATTCCAACCTGGGTGACAGAGCAAAACCCTGTCACACACACATACACACACACACACCCACACACACACACACACAAAATGCTTGGGGTGGGGAACAGGACTCTGCATTTAACCATCATCACTCTCTAAGAACTCAGATATGCAGATTCAACCTCTATCCCTCTGCCCCAAGTAAATTTTCCTATTGACGCTGTCAGACAAATTTGTAGATTAGACTGAAATTCCTCAGTGACAAGCAGATTTTTCAGTTGAGTTGAGACCAAGAGATTTAGCAAATTCTCTAGCTAATTCAGTTAATCTATGAAAAGTTTCCAAACATAAGCATTTTCAAACATAAGACCTAAGTACAAATCAGCTTATGACATGGAAAGTAATAACCAGGATATTGTCAAAACCCTACTACATAATAAATAAGGATAAAGAATCCTAAATGTTCCTTACCTCATAACACCCAGAATAATTTTGTCTAAATTAATTAATATTTAGTATCTATTCTTTCAGTTGCTTTCAAATGAGAAATTTATCTTTCACAGAAAAAGAGAGGAAAAGTTGATCTTAGTTGAAGCAATGATACTAATAGTGTTTAGGGGTTAGGTAAAAATTGTCCCGTGTTGCTTTAATATTTCCTTACCAGGAAAAGAGATGGCCAATTTTTTTTTTTGAGGCAGGATCTTGCTCTGCTGCCCAGGCTGGAGTGCAGTGGTGCAATCTCTGCTCACTGCAACCTCCACCTCCAGGGTTCAAGAGATTCTCCTGCCTCAGCCTCCCAAGTAACTGGGACTACAGTCATACGCCACCATGCCCGGCTAATTTTTGTATTTTTAGTAGAGATGGGTTTTCACCATGTTGGCACGGATGGTCTCGAACTCCTGACTTCAAGAGATCCACCTGCCTTGGCCTCCCAAAGTGCTGGGATTACAGAGTGAGCCATCACGCCTGGCCATGGCCAAATATTGTTATACCATCATTCGTTCTCAAATCAGGATTCTGAGAGGAGGAGCTGATGGCGAAGAAAAGGACATAAGAGAGGTCAGAGTGGAAAATGTTCTTGAGTTCGTCTAATGAGACAATCCTCTCCAGATGAGTGGACCAAAGCAAGTAATATAATGTCCCATTATCGTAAGCTATGGCTTATGAGGTTTTTTTTTAAAGTATCATTTAAATTTCCAGCTGCAATTCTAGGGATTATTCCCAACAAGAAAGTTTTTTGGTTTGGTTTTTTGTTTTGTTTTGTTTTTTGAGATGGAGTCTCACTCTGTCGCCCATGCTGGAGTGCAAAGGTGCAATCTTAGCTCACTACAGCCTCCACCTCCCGGGTCCAAGCAATTCTCCTGCCTCAGCCTCCCGAGTAGCTGGGACTAAAGGCGCACATCACCACACCAGCTGATTTTTGTATTTTTAGTAGAGATGGGGTTTCACCATGTTGGCCAGGCTGATCTCGAGCTCCTGACCTCAGGTGATCTGCCTGCCTCAGCCTCCCAAAGTGCTGGGATTACAGGCGTGAGCCACCACGCCTGGCCGGGTTTTGTTTTTAGAGACAGGGTCTCATTGTGTCAACCAGGCTGGAGTGCAGTGGCACAATCATAGCTCACATCAGCCTCAAACTCCTGGACTCAAATGATCCTCCAGCCTCAGCCTCCCAAGTAGCTGGGACTACAGGCACACACCACCATGCCCAGATAATTTATATTTTTGTAGCAATAGGGTCTTGCTATATTGCCCAGGCTAGTCCCAAACTCCTACACTCAAGCAATCTTCTTAGGCCTCCCAAAATGCTACAATTACAGGTGTAAGCCACCATGCCATGCCTAATTTTGTTTTGTTTTTATTTTTTGTTTTGTTTGTTTGTTGTTGTTGTTGTTTTAGAGTCAAGTTCTCACTATATTGCCCAGGCTGGTCTCGAACTCCTAAGCTCTGGCCAACCTCCTGTCTCAGCCTCCCAAACTGCTGGGATTAGAGGCATGAGCCACCATGCCAGCTTGTTTTGTTCGTATATCTAGTTCCCACATGGGCTAAAGTGGAATTCAAAGGAATTTTCCCTCAGGTGCCTTCACAGGCCTGGGGATGCTGGTGGTTGTCTCATGAAAACTACAAATAATTTTAATTAATTGAGGTCATGTAGACAGCACCCAACTCATCCTGAAAACATAACAAGCCCCCACTTACTTGGTTAGTTGTTCTCCTCTTGACTGAATTAGTTGAGCCAGTGTGTATAACTTGAACAGGTAAGATCTTTTTTTTTGTTTTGTTTTTGAGGTGGAGTCTGGAGACTTGCTCTGTTACCCAGGCTGCAGTACAGTGGCACAATCTCGGCTCACTGCAACCTCTGCCTCCCAGGTTCAAGCAATTCTCCCGCCTCAGCCTCCTGAGTAGCTGGGACTACAGGCATGTGCTACCATGCCCGGTTAATTTTTGTATCTTCAGTAGAGATGGGGTTTCACCTTGTTGGCCAGGCTGGTCTCTAACTCCTGACCTCAAGTGATCTGCCCGCCTCAGCCTCCCAAAGTGCTGGGATTACAGGCGCTAGCCACCATGCTGGGCAACTTGGACAGGTAAGATCAGAAAGATGCTTGTAGCCCTCTCAAGTTTTAAGGAGAGAAATTACACTACTATATACATCCCAATATATCACATGATGCTTTTTACCTATTCCATTTTGTTTTGTTATCTTGTCAGTCTTTCAGGTAGGACTAGCTTTTTTATCCTAATTAGACAATTACACATCATGATACACTAATTTGTTAACCTATGTTCACAAATCATTTAATTACCACTGCTGGCTTTGATGTGCTGTTACTATTCGGTTATGGGAGTAAATAATTCAACAGCTAACAGAAAGAAACTCATTATTTTCTGAGAGATATTGTTGTTATTTTCAGTGTTTTAAAAACACTTTAATCAAAACTTTAAAAATACTTCAATCAAAACTTTAAAAAAATATTACGTTGTTTGTATAGTAGTAAGTAAAAGAGTATTCATTGCTTTCATATAAATAATTATTTAGAGGACCAAATAACAGCTTCTGAAATTCACAATGAATAGAATCCTTGTTAAATTTTTTTTACTTTTACTTTTACTACTTTTTTAGACAGGGGTCTCACTCTGTCACTCAGGCTGGAGTGTAATGGCAAGATCATAGCTCACTGCAGCCTTGAACTCCTGGGTTCAAGCAATTCTTCAACCTCTGCCTCCCGAATAGCTGGGGCTACAGGTGCATACCACTACACTTGGCTAACCTTTTAATTTTTTTTTTTAGAAACAGGGTCTTGCTGTATTGTCCAGACTGGTCATGAACTCCTGGCCTCAAGCCATCCTCCCACCTCAGCCTCCCAAATTTCTGGGATTACAGGAATGAGCCACTTCACTTGGCTGAATAAGATTCTTTTTTTTTTTTTTTTTTTTTTTTTTTGAGATGGAGTCTCGCTCTGTCGCCCAGGCTGGAGTGCAGTGGTGCGATCTCGGCTCACTGCAAGCTCTGCCTCCCAGGTTCACGCCATTCTCCTGCCTCAGCCTCCCAAGTAGCTGGCACTACAGGTGCCTGCCACCACGCCCAGCTAATTTTTTGTATTTTTAGTAGAGACAGGGTTTCACTATTAGCCAGGATAGTCTCGATCTCCTGACCTCGTGATCCTCCCACCTCGGCCTCCCAAAGTGCTGGGATTACATGCGTAAGCCACCGTGCCTCGCCAGGATTCTTAAAGTAGACTAATTTTTTGTTCTTCAGGCCAATTCACAGACAATCTCCCATGACGGTATAATTTTTTTAATGCAGCGTCTAATATTGATTTGTGAAGCACTTTGATGACTGGAGACAAGAGGAGCAATCTCCTTCCTATTTGATGCTGCTATCTACTGTCACTCAAACTTTCTTGATCTTCTAGAACCATTCATTCCATTTGGTAAGCACTCTGGGTCGCTGCCACATCCTGGGAGCTGTAGGTGCTTTGGGGTTCTTTCCCTTCCTCCTTGATGAATGGGGAAACCAGGCTGCCAGGTGCAAACTCCCAGCAGGTTTCACAACTGTTTCTGCTAGGAGTTTGCATTCAGGATCAATAATATCATTATGCGTTTCTGTGCAAACATCAAAATTACTCTATGCAATTAAGCTCCTACCTTTGCTGCACTCCCCCAGGAAGAAAATATCCTAAGAGAGGAGGAGAGGTTTCTATGTGAAGCTTTGTGATAATATTATTGACCCATATTGTCATTTACTGCATAACATATGCACATTTAGACTGGTTTGTTTGTTGATTTGTTTTTGGTTTGATTTGGTTTTTTTTGAGACGAAGTCTTGCTATGTTGCCCAGGCTGGAGTGCAGTGGCACAATCTTGGCTCACTGCAACCTCCGCCTCCTGGGTTCAAGTGATTCTCCTACCTCAGCCTCCTGAGTAGCTGGGATTACAGGCGTGTGCCACCACGCCCTGCTAATTTTGTGTATTTTTAGTAGAGATGGAGTTTCACTATGTTGGCCAGGCTGGTCTCAAACTCCTGACCTCAAGTGGTTTACCCGCCTCGGCCTCCCAAAGTGCTGGGATTACAGGTGTGAACCACTGGGTCTGGCCTCTGTTTTTTTGTTTTTTTGAGACAGGGTTTCACTCTGTCACCCAGGTTGGAGTGCAGTGGCGCAATCATGGCTCACTGCACCCTCCGCCTCCCAGGCTCAAGTGATCCTCCCACTTCAGCCTCCTGAGTAGCTGGAACTACAGGCTTGTGCCACGATGCCTAGCTAATTTTTTTGTATTTTTTGTAGCGATGGGGTTTTGCCATGTTGCCCCAGGCTGGTCTTGAACTCCTGAGCTCAGCCATCCACCCACCTCAGCCTCCCAAAGTGCTGGGATTACAGGCATGAGGCATCGCAACCAGCTTCAAACTGTTTTTTATCTTTTAGGTTCTTGTCGTTTCTCTTCAACTATACTGTGAATTTCAGGCCTGAGGCTGTGCCTCTACCTTGATGAAATCTTTGTATTACCCAGAAAAGCGCCCAGCACATAGTAGGTTCTCAAAGAAATATTTGTGGCTGTTGAGCAATAAAAGTGAGAATGCAATGAATAAAGTAACTTTTTCCTTTGTAACTCAAGGTATGGGTATAAGGTTCCTATTTTCCTGATATGACAAAATATCCCTTTATGAAGCTTTTTCTGGGAGACTTTTAGGTGGCATTGTATGCTTCCTCTGCATGCAAACTCACTTTTAATCTTCAGAAAAACACACCAACTGAACACTAATCCAAGGCATAGAAACGCAGACCTTCCCTACATCTCCTGTTAGGATTAAATAAAAGCCGATGCAGTAGTATATTTGCATTCTTCCTTTATCCTCTATCAGTCAGCAGCTTTAGTCGTAGCCCACAGTTACTTTCTGACAGTTTTCATCTTCATTTCCTTCCAGAACAGCAAGAAAAGTGATATTAGCAGTAAGACTTGAAGACAGTCCTCTAACTCTTGAAGATTTTGTTGGGAAGTTGACTGAACATCCTGTCTGGCTTCTGAGGCATTAGGTATAACATCTTATAATAATGTGGGGTAATACTACAGTGATTCCTCCTGACAAGGCACAGAGATAGGGCAGTCCTGCAGCTCGCAATGCTGGCGCAGCCTGGAGGTACAGGGAACAGCATGTGTGCTGCTCACCATCATTAGGGAGGTGCTAATATTTCAATACAAGCCTAAAAGCTTTCCTTGTTGGCAGCTGGGTGCAGTGGCTCATGCTTGTAATCCCAGCACTTTGGGAGGCTGGAGTGTGAGGATTGTTTGAGCCCAGGAGTTGGAGACCAGCCTGGGAAACATAGTGAGACCCCATCTCTACAAGAAAAATTTAAAACTAGCTGGGTGTGGGGGTGCACACCTATAGTAACAGCTACTCGGGAGGCTGAGGTGGGAGGATCGCTTAAGCCCAGAAGGTCGAGGCTGCAGTGTGCTATGATCACACCATGGCATTCCAGCCTGGGTGACAGAACAAGACCCTGTCTCTTAAAATTTTTTTTTTTTTGAAACAGAGTCTCAGTCTGTCTCCCAGGCTGGAGTGCAGTGGCAGGATCTCAGCTCACTGCAACCTCTGCCTCCCAGGTTCAAGCAATTCTCCTGCCTCAGCCTCCCGAGTAGCTGGGACTATAGGTGCGCACCGCCACGCCCGGCTAATTTTTTAAAATTTTTAATAGAGACAGGGTTTTGCCATGTTGGCCAGGCTGACCTCGAACTCCTGACCTCAGGTGATCTGCCCGCCTCAGCCTCCCAAAGTGCTGGGATTACAGGTGTGAGCCACTGCGCCCAGCCTAAAAATTTTTTTTCAAATAAGGAGGATTCATCTCTCACTCTTATTATTAAGCATTTGTTATTTAGTATCTACTTACTCAATACATACTTACTAGGCACTTACTGTATGCCCAACAAAGCATTAAGATTTGTCTTTTTGTCTTTCTTTTTTTTTTTTTTTTTTTAAGATAGGGTCTCACTGTCACTCAGGCTGGAGTATAGTGGCATGATCATAGCTCACTGCAGCTTCAAACTCCTTGGCTCAAGGGATCCTCCCACCTCAATCTCCCGAGTAGCTGGGACTACAGGCATGTGCTAATTTTTTATATTTTTTATAGAGACTGGGGTCTTGCTTTGTTGCCCAGGCTGGTCTCGAACTCCTAGACATAAGTGATCCTTCCATTTTGACCTCCCAAAATGCCTTGATGACAGGCGTGAGTCACCGTGCCCAGTCTCCGAACATCTTAGAATCTTCAGTGATCATGTAAATAGCCAAGTTCCCTAAATATATACAAGTCTTGTATTGGAATGGATTTGAAAATTTAAAGAGGCCTGTGAAACTCACACAACACTCTTTCCTTTTAGTCTCCATGCTTGTGACGTTGTAGGACACCTTCAGTCCTAGGTATAGACACATTCTTGGGAACAGGGAAAGCACTCTCTGGTTTACACTCCAGTACCGTATCCTCCTGCAGCCTTGGAAAGCAGCTTCAAATTGCTAGCTAAATACAAGTAAGGATGTGTTGAAGGAGGTTTCCTGCTTTTCCTGTTAGTTGCAAGAATTGCCAACAGTGATTGGGCTCTGTGTGTGTATGTACGTGTGCAAATAGCAAAGATCAAACTGCTTATTAATCCAAGTCAGGGCAAGGAGGAAGAAGCTATCAGCAAAAATAAGTGATTTCTTTTTAGGGTTTTACTCTGAAGACAAAAATTTTTTAATGAAATGAGACCTTCTGCCCTTTCCCTGGCACCAGGACATTTTCCCTTCACACCAGGGACCTCCCACAGTGAACCATGAACGCTGAGTCTCAGAGCCTAACGTTTCTTTTCGTTCAGTTCCCATTGTTTAGTCATTCATACCTTGTATTCCAGCCATTGTCATTCATCTCTTCTGCTTAGTATCACTAGCCAGTTTTCTTTTCTAACTTTTGCATAAGAAAATACTCAGGCACATTTTTAGAAAACGTACATTGGGACGTGAGTTATGTGAGTAATACAGAACTTGGAAGCTATTTAAATAGAGATTGCAAAGTGGTTAAAAGTCTGTAAAATAAAATCACCTAAAATCCCAACACTTTGGGAGGCCAGTGTGGGAGGATGGCTTCAGCCAAGGAGTTTCAAACCAGCCTGAGCAATATAGTCAGACCGTGTCTCTAAAATGAAAAAAAAAAAATTGGCAGAGTGTGATGGTGTGAGCCTATAGTCCCAGCTACTCAGGAGGCTAAGGCTGGAGGATGGCTTGAGCCCAGGAGGTGGAGGTTGCAGCGAGCTGAGATTGTACCGTTGCTCTCCAGCCTGGGCAACACAGCAAGACCCTGTCTCAAAAAATAAAAAATAAGACATTGCTTTTGCTGGGCATGATGGCTCATACCTGTAATCCCAGCACTTCAGGAGGCCAGGGTGGGAGGATTGCTTGAGGCCAGGAGTTTGAGACCAACCCTGGCAACATAGGGAGACCCTCTCTCTACAAAATAACAATAATAATAATAATAATAATAATAATAATAATAATAATAATAAAATTAACCAGACATAGTGATGTGTGCCTGTAGTCTCAGCTACTCAGGAGGCTGAGGCAGAAGGATCGCTTGAACCCAGGAGTTTGAAGCTGCAATGAGCTATGGCCACTGCACTCCAGCCTGGGCAATATACTGAGACCCTGTATGCTGTCTTAAACAAAACAAAAGTTTCTTTATTTTATTTTATTATTATTATTTTTTTGAGACAGAGTTTTGATCTTGTTGCCTAGGTTGGAGTGCAATGGCACAATCTTGGCTCACTGCAACCTCTGCTTCCCAGGTTCAAGAGATTCTCCTGTCTCAGCCTCCCAAGTAGCTGGCATTACAGGCGTGCACCACCATGCCCAGCTAATTTTTGTGGTTTTAGTACAGACAAGGTTTCACCATGTTGGCCAGGCTGGTCTCGAACTCCTGACCTCAGGTGATCCACACGCCTTGGCCTCCCAAAGTGCTGGGATTACAGGCATGAGCCACCACACTCAGCCAAAACAAAAGTTTCTTTCATGTGAAAGAAATTGACTTAAGGGGACTACAAGGGAGAAGAGAAGAACAGAGGCATCATCTAACATTGTTTTTTCAGGGTTAAAGAGCACCAGTGCCCATGCTGTTAGCTTGTCTCATTGGAATCATGGCTAGGACTGATTTTATAACATGCTCACGCAATCTGGTTCATAGGAACTCACAAGCTGTCCCCCAGAAACCCAATGCTGATGGAGAAGGCAGGAGAACCACTTCCATTATTGCAGGCAGGAGTCATAAATTCCAGTCCCTGCTCAGTCACCAACTTGCTGTGGAAGACCTTGTGAAAGTCATTTAATTCCCCTAGACCTTAACCGTTGCCTCTCTAAGATGAGGCTATTGAGCTTTAAGAAGAGAGATCATATAATTTATCAGAAAAACCAAGACATTTTCGCCAGAACACATGTTAAACTGGACAGGTGACTGCATGGCAAACCAGGACTGCTGGGCGTGCCATCTCAAAAATCCCTGTGGACTGGGCATGGCGGCCCGCGCCTGTAATCCCAGCACTTTGGGAGGCTGAGGCTGGCAGATCATTTGAGGTCAGGAGTCCGAGACCAGCCTGGCCAACATGGTGAAACCCCCGTCTCTACTAAAAATACAAAAAAAATAAAATAAAATTAACTGGGTGTGGTGGCTAAGTCAGGAGGCTGAGTCAGGAGAATCACTTGAGCCCGGGAGGCGGAAGTTGCCATGAGCCAAGATCGTGCCACTGCACTCCAGCCTGGGTGAAAGAATGAGACTCCTTCCAAAAAAAAAAAAAAACAGAAAAACAAAAAAAAAAAGTCCCTGTGAACACTGGAGTCTGATTCAAAAGGCCCTTCCCCCAAGAGTAACCCCAAAACTTTCAATAACACAGGCAAAATTAAGAAGAACCCAAACACAGTAATGTAACAAAAATTGCTACTTTGGACAAGATATTTTAAATACAGTTTCACTGTTGTAAAAGTGAGAGGCAGAAGGAACTTCATATCAGAAATTAAGATAGCTTATTTAGGAAGGGGTATTGAATTATTTTCTAGAACCTATTGAGGTTTAAAATACATATATAGGCCAGGCGCGATGGCTTACACCTGTAATCACAGCACTTTGGGAGGCCAAGGCAGGAGGATCACTTGAGGCCAGGAGTTTGACACCAGCCTGGCCAGCATGGTGAAACCCTGTTTCCACTAAAAACACAAAAACTAGCCGGGCATGCTGACCCATGCCTGTAGTCCCAGCTACTCAGAAGGCTGAGGTGGGAGAATCACTTGACCCTGGGAGACGAAGGCTGCAGTGAGCCGAGATTGTGCCACTGCATTCCAGCCTGTGCGACAGAGTGATACCCTGCCTCAAAAAAAAAAAAAAGAAAAGAAAAGAAAGTCTGAGAATGCTCTGTATGGCTCAACAAAGGGAAGAAACTTCTAAGGACCAGAAGTTTTTAGCAATGAAACAGACCTCTCTGCAAGAAGAGGGTTCCCCATCACCAGAAGTATTTCGGCAGGTTCTGGGTGGTCATCTCCTAGGGTCATAGTGGAAACAACTTTTCACTGGAAGAGAGGCTACATGAGGTAGTCTCTAAGATACTGTCCACTTCTAAGACTTGTGACTTCTATGATTCTAGGGCTCTGGATTCTAGGGTTCTGACTGAATCAGTAGTTAAATATCATCTAACACAGTCCCTTAGAGCAGGGCACTTCATGCATTAACATCTCACAGAAAGCCACCACCACCCAAACTGTCATATGTGTGCTGATGTTAAACTGCTTGCCTGCTGCTTGGCCCAGAATGAAACTGAGTTTCATTTTGACTAAAACATTTTTAATGCATTTGGGAGAAACAAAAAAGTTCTAATAACACACCTCAGGTCTATGAAAAGAATATTGCTCCACAGCCAGTTCACGGCAAAAGAGGAGCACATCGGCCCGTATAATAAAATTCTATCTCAGTCATTTAATATTTAGTGGAAGGCTAGTGGAAGTAAAATCAGACCTGGATTCAGTTCAACACATGGGGCAGTAATGCAAAGTGGGCCAATGATGAGCCTTTGCATTCATTTGTGTTGGCAGATGTCCAAGGCTGCTTCACATCTGTACTGTGAAGCCTCTGTTGGCAGGCAGTGTGGAAGAAAACATGCAATGTTTTTCCCCACGTTGTGGTGCCCTTTCTGGGGCAAAAGAGCAGGGCTGTTGCTGACTGATTGAGTGTTGCTTGCAGCAAACTCTACAGCTCAAGGAAAAATCCGTCACCCTTCTGGAACTTTAGAGCTATGCTTCACAGCGAAACTAAACCTGAGAGCTATACAGAAGGGTGAAAGGGTGAGCTAAATTGAAAGGGCTGAGCAGTGTTGGAGGGCATTAGATTTACAAGGATGCCTCTTAACTCAAAGAGTATTCTCTTTTCCTTTATAGGGCTGGAAATTCGTAATTTATGCTGTTTTAAAGCAAGGACTGATAGGAATGTCAATTTTCTTCCTCTTTGATCATAAAAAATATATATCTTTATTTATTTATTTATTTTTAGAGACAAGATCTCACTCTGTCACCCAGGCTGGAGTGCAATGGCGCGATCACGGCTCACCACACCCTCGACCACCCAGACTCAGGTGATCTTCCCACCTCAGCCTCCGGAGTAGCTGGGACTACAAGCCTGTGCCACTCCACACAGCTAAATTTTTTTTGTGTGTTTTTTTATATTTTGTAGAGATGGGGTCTCGCTGTGTTGCCCAGGCTGGCCTCTAATTCCTGGGCTCAAGCCATCCTTCTGCTTGGGCCTCCCGAAGTGCTAGGATTACAAGCATGAGCCACCACATCCAGCCAAATATATCTTTTATTTATTTATTTATTTTTAAGAGGCAGGGTCTTGCTCTGCCACCCAGGCTGGAGTGCAGTGGCGCGATAATGGCTCACTGCAGCCTCGAATGAATTCCTGGGCTCATGTGATCCATCCACCTCAGATTCCTAAGAAGCTGGGACCACAGATGCCCACCACCATGCCTGGCTGATTTTTAAATTTAAATTTAAATTTTTTCTAGAGATGGAATCTTGCTATGTTGCCCAGACTGGTCTCTAACTCCTGGTCTCCAGTGATCCTCCCACCTCCGCCTCCCAAAGTGCTGGGATTCCAGGTGTGAACCACTGTGCATGGCCTCAATTGTTCTTTTTGAGTCTCATCTCTGAAACTGGCTAAATAAGTCACCTACAATGTGAAAAACTACACGAATAAAAGACATGTAACACATTAGCTCTACAAGAATGAAATGCACTATACAGATTCAAGGACAAGTATTCTGATTTATAGGCTTTTGTAGGACTCAGTTAGCAAGATATAAAAGTAGCCATTATCAGCTGAGTGCGGTGGCCCATGCCTCTAATCCTAGCACTTTGGGAGACTTAGGTGGAAGGATCACTTGAGACCAGAAGTTAGAGACCAGCCTGGGCAACATAGCAATACCCCTGTCTCTACAAAAACTAAAAAATTAGCCAGTCATGGTGATGTGCACCTATAGTCCCAGCTACTCTGGAGGCCAAGGCAGGAGGATCCCTTGAGTCTGGAAGGTCAAGGCTGCAGGGAGCTGTAATCATGCCACTGCACTCCAGCCTGAGTGACAGTGAGACTCTATCTCAAAAAAAAAAAAAAAAAGGCAGTCGTTATCAAAGGCATTTCCTCACCACGGCTGGGTTCTTTATAAATATCAGGTGATGGGACCATCGCCTGAAGCATCTTGGCCAAAATATTTGAGAGTTAGGGTCCAAAGACCTAAATAAGAAACTGACCATCAGTGTGGCTCAGGTAAACATTCCACTTTCTAATCATTATCTAAAAAATAGAGACAATAAAATCTGCTTACCATGGTTACTATGGTGATTAAATTTTCTAATTAATTATTTGAAAAATGTAATGAGCACTTAAAGTAAGAGTCTAAATAGACACTTCCCCAAAGACATAGAAATCGCCAATAAGTATAGGAACATCATTAGTTATCAATGAAATTCAAATCAAAATGAGTCAGATACCACTACACATTCACTAGAATGGCTGTAATCAAAAAGATGATAAAAAGTCTTGGTGAAGATGTGGCGAAATTGGTGCCCTCATACAGTGCCGGTGGGAATGTAAAATGATGTGGCCACTTTGGAAAACAGTCTAACAGTTCCTCAAAAGGCTAAACATAGAATTCTCAAAATAATCCCGGGATTTTACTCTTAGGTATACACCCAAGAGAAATGAAAACATAAGTCCACACAAAAACGTATACATAAATGTTCATAGCAGCATTATTCATAATAGCCAAAAAGTGGAAATAATCCAAATGTCCATCACCCGATGAATGGATAAATAAAATACGGTAAATATCTATGACGAAATATTATTTGGCAACAAAAGGGAATTAAGAATACATGCTACTGTATGGATGAATCCTGAAAACGCTATACTAAGTGAAACAAGCCAGTCACGAAAGACCACATATTGTGTGATTCCATTTCTATGAAAGGTTCAGAATAGGTAAATCCAAAGAGACAGAAAGTAGATCAGTGGTTGCCTGGGGCTGGAAGGAGGAGAGGGAGTGGGGTTTGGGGAAGGTAAAAGCTAAGGGCTGTAAGGCTTCTTTCTGGGGGTGATGAAAACATTCTAAAAGTGATCATGGTGATGGTTGCACAACTCTGTGAATATACTAAAAGTCATTGAATTGTACACTTTAAATGGGTGAATGGTATGTTATATGAATTACATCTCAATAAAGCTATTTCAAAAAATATGCCAAGCAATTTCCTAGGTACTCAGTACATAACGAATGTGAAATGCACATGGTATGAGCTTGATAAATACAATGCAAACATGTAATGCCTCATTTACTTTGAATAAAGGGGAAAATAACTTTTAAAAGGAATACAAATGCATGCAAAATATAACAGCCTAAATTAATGTGCTAATTAGGAATAAAATAACCATAACTAAGGCATATCACCACGTGGTGTTGTACTGGGACATCATTAAGCTACACTTAAGTGTACAGTTAGGCACAGCCTTCAATGGCAATAATCTTTGGTAATATGCCATTGAGTCATAGTGTTATTTAAACAGAAAGCGAAGGTCATTATAAACCACACCTGAGAATCAAAGACAAAGTGATACAATGACAGTTTATTGCAAGACAAGAGAAACTGTGCCTCTATCTTTCTTGTCTTGGCTGTCATATCCTGAATGGGTGTGATTTGCACACTTTCCTACCTCCCCCACACAGTCACTCATAATGCAAGAAAACAGAAATCTTGCTTTTCCATATCAAGGAATTTTTTAAAAATCAGTGACATACTTCTCTAGTCCCTAACCTTTCCCATTCTCTTGTTATCCCCAGGAGGCTGTCATTTCAAAGCCTAAGAGCTAACACAACCCTCAGATTATTGATGGGAGTGGGTCCCATAGAAGTCACCATCCATGTCCTGCTCAAGTAATGCGTGAGCAGTCTGGGAACAGACGCTGGCACCTACCCGAGCTTTCAGTGACTCAAGCTCTTAGCATTCTTGTTTAGGCTTGACATTATGGATGGAGGAAGGTATCCTGGGGAAGCACGTTAACACAAGCAAAGGCAGTTTTGTGAAATGTTTCCAGCAGCGATCATACATCTGGTCCACCCAGCTCTGGGCAAAAGGGCTGATGTTGTGCCGATCCCAGTAAGGACCAGAACTCTGGATGGAGAGCATGTGTGGGTGCATGAAAAGTTTACTCAAAAGTGATCACCAGCCTGCCCGACATGGTGAAACCCTGTCTCTACTAAAAATACAAAAATTAGCTGGATGTGGTGGCACATGCTTGTAATCCCAGCTACTTGGGAGGCTGAGGCAGGAGGATCACTTGAACCCGAGAGGCGGAGGTTGCAGTGAGCTGAGATCGCGCCACTGCACTCTAGTCTAGGCAACAGAGCAAGGGTCCATCTCAAAAAAAAAAAAAATACGCAGTAAAAAAACCCGAAGCTGGAATTGACTACACAATGAAATTGGCTAAATGAAAACAGTCCAGGAAGATAAAGTAAAATCAGATTCAATGACAGAATAAGAGCGAAAGAGTGACTACGATGCACCTCCAAATAGAAGCAGATTTAAATGAAATTCCAAGGCATTTGCTGAAAGGCTTACATGATTTTGAAGAATTTGTTTATTTATTTAGAGACAAGATCTTACTTTGTCTCTCAGGCTGGCGTGCAGTGGTACAATCACAGCACACTGCAGCCTCCACCTCCTGGGCTCAAGCAAGCCTCCCACCTCAGCCTCTTGTGTAGCTGGGACTTCAGTCATGTGCCACCATGCCCGGCTAATGATTTTGCACTTTTTGTAGATATAGGGTTTTTCTATGTTGCCCAGGCTGGTCTCAAAACTCCTGAGCTCAAGCAATCCTCCTGCCTCAGCCTCCCAAAGTGCTGGAATTACAGGCATGAGCCACTGAGCCCAGCCAAGAAGTGTTATTTAGTTGGGAAGAGCAACTAAAACCTGAAAATAGAATGCAAGTTCTAAGCCTGAAAAACACACCAAGAAAAGTTACTTTACAAAATATAAATAAGTTATGTTCCTTCTTTTCATTCACTAATTGTTTGTTTTGCTTTGTAACTGAGAAACACTTTGCACAGCAACGATGTGATAACCAGTGGCTAAGTTCCAAAGGTACCCACCAAAGACTGTTGACCTATAACCACTCCACCTTCCCAGTAATTCTAGTAGTATTGATGCAAGGCAGGCAAGCACCAAATTAGGGACTATCCTGGAAAGGTTCTTGGATTCGCTCAGGAAACAATTTAAGAGTCAGAAAGAATTCAAGAGCAAGCCGAGAAAACAGCTTTATTGAGAGGGCAGTGTTACAGCTCCGTGACTGCTCCTACAGAGAGGGCTACTCCACAGGCAGTGTGGAAAGTAGCTGCTCAGGTGCACATTTATACCCACTTTTAATTACATGCAAATTAAGGAACAGGCGGGCGGTGGTGGCTCAAGCCTGTAATCCCAGCACTTTGGGAGGCCAAGGCAGGCAAATCACCTGAGGTCAGGAGTTCGAGAACAGCCTGGCCAACATGGTGAAACCCCGTCTCTACTAAAAATACAAAAATTAGCCAAGCGTCATGGTGCACGCCTGTAATCCCAGCTACTCGGGAGGCTGAGGCAGGAGAATTACTTGAACCTGGGAGGCGGGCGTTGCAGTGAGCCCAGATCGCTCCACTGCACTCCAGCCTGGGTGACAGAGCAAGACTCCATCTCAAAAAAAAAAAAAAAAGAAAGAAAGAAAAAGATAGACCTGGTGTGGTGGCTCATGCCTGTAATTCCAGTACTTTGGGAGGCCAAGGCAGGAGAATTGCTTGATGGCAAGAATTCGAGACCATCCTATAACATAGCGAGACCCCATCTCTACAAAAAATAAATTAGCTGGGCATGGTGGCATACATTTGTAGTCCCAGCTACTTGGGAGGCTGAGATGAGAGGATCATTTGAGCCCAGGAGGCTGAGGCCAGAGTGAGCCATGATCCTGCCGCTTCACTCCAGCCTGGGTCACATAGTAACAACCTGTCTCAAAAAAAAAAAAAAAAAAAAAAAAAGAAGAAAGAAAAAGAAGAAAAAATGATTTCTTCAATTGTACATAGAGAAGTTATAGAGCAAGATGATGTATAAATAGAGACTATTTAAATCTTTTAACATGGAGAAGTACTCTATAATGTTCAAAACACTACATCAATGGGTGAAAATTGTGTGATTACTCAGAGATCTAGGAGGAATGTAACAATTTAGGGATATAAAGAAGTGACAGATTTAGAAAAAACATGGAGACTCAACTTGAAAGTTAAGGTATGGAAAGAGAAATGACTCAGGCAATTGAAAAGATACAAAAAGAAAAAATGGTCAGAATTAAATATGATATTTGCATAAGTAAGAAAACAAGATTAGTCAAGCTATGAAGAAAAGTAAGAATTACTCTTAGAACAAAGAAAGAAAATGATAAAGGTGTATAAAACTCGCACTGATCAGATAATTTGAAAGGTAGTTGTTAATACCTAAATTAAAAAGAATAAAAAGCACTGAGACGAGAAAACCTTCAAAAGGACCCGAAAAGTGTTTAAATTGTAAAGGTATATATTACATTTGCAGGATGCATAAATAAATCTGTGAGAGGCTTAGAAGAGGAATTTTTAAATGTGATTTCCCAATAAAAGTCTTCTTACTGGGCCGGGCATGGTGGCTCACGCCTGTAATCCCAGCACTTTGAGAGGCTGAGGTGGGCGGATCACTTGAGATCAGGAGTTTGAGACCAGCCTGGCCAACATGGAGAAACCCCGTTCTACTAAAAATACAACAATTAGCCGGGTGTGGTGACGCATGCCTGTAATCCCAGCTACTCGGGAGTCTGTTACATGAGAATCACTTGAACCCAGGAGGCAGAGGCTGCAGTGAGCCAAGATCGCTCCACTGCACTCCTGCCTGGGTGACAAAGTGAGACTTGGTCTCAAAAACAAAAACAAAAAACAGGTCATCTTGTTGATATTTCAGGGGAAAATTATCTCCAAAGTGTTTGAGACCAGCCTGGGCAACATGGAGAAATCCTATCTCTACAAAAAAATACAAAAATTAGCCCGGCATGATGGTGTGCACCTGCAGTCCCAGCTACTTGGGAGGCTAAGGTGGGAGGACCACTTGAGTCCAGGGGTGTTGAGGCTACAGTGAGCCATGCTCGATTGAACGGAATGCACCACTGCACTGCAGCCTGGGTGACAAACAAACAAACAAAAACCTCCAAAGGACAATGAATTATATGGCACATTTCCATTGAAAGTTGATTTATTTTCAATGTACTGCCTCCCCCAGGGGTGATATTCCTCTAAATTGCACAGGTAAAACAAGTAGGTACACATGAAAAATTTTTACTTAGTAATGTTGCTTATTTTTAGCTGTCCAGAAGTTATTTTTATTCACCTTATTTCCTAAGAAGCTCAGCAATTTTCTAATTTATCATCAACAACATTTAATTGAACACTCTTTCACATGTAATTGCTAGCTGCCTGTACTTGTAAAATAGGGCTGAGAATATAGAGTCAACTAACCCAGGTTCAAGCCCCTGCTCAGTCACGTATAAATAACTTTAAGCAAATCCATCAAACCTCAGTTCCTTTATCGCTATATAAAGTGAAAGCCTTGAACAAGAAGAAATTATATGATATCTTAAATCCCTTATAGGTATGGTTGTTATTCTCTGAAGGATAATGTTTTCCTTAATCCGTATAAGTTATTATTGCAATCTTGTCTTCAGAATGATTTTATAGTGTGCAATTTTTCACTAAAATTTATTGACAGCCTAGAATAATCCAAAATTGCAGATTTTAGAGAATAAATAGAAAATGGCTTCCAAGGCAGTATTTCTGCCTTTATATGAAGAAATTATTTGGATATCATTTTAAAAATTTAAACATACAAATTACATAAATAGGTCAGGTACAGTGGCTCATGCCTATAATCTCAAAACTTTGGGAGCCTGAGGCAGAAGGATCACTTGAGGCCAGGAGTTCAAGATCAGCCTGGGCAACATAGTGAGGCCTCATCTCTACAAAAATAGCTAAAAATAAAAAAATTAGCCAGTCATGGTAGTCCCAGTTACTAGGGAGGCTGAGGCAGGAGGATAACTTGAGCCCAAAAGTTAGAGGCTGCAGTGAGCTATGATTGTACTACTGCACTCCAGCTTTAGGCAGACCCTGGCTCAAAAAGAAAAAAAAAAAGAAATTATATAAATAGCATGCATTTATTATATCAATAAACACGTAAGTATACATTAGCAAATTAATAATATATTAATAGCTAGTTAATATTTTAAATAACCGATTAGTATTAATCATAGCTAACAAACTGCATAGATGTGTCAAATATGATGTAACCTTCACAATGACACCGTGAAATTTATACTATTTTTTTTTTCTTTTTGAGATGGAGTCTCGTTCTGTCGCCCAGGCTGGAGTGCAGTGGCACGATCTCAGCTCACTGCAACCCAACCTCCTGGGTTCAAGCGACTCTCCTGCCTCAGCCTCCCCAGCTGGGATTACAGGTGCCCGCCACCACGCCCAACTAATTTTTATATTTTTAGTAGAGACGGGGTTTTGCTGTACTGGCCATGCTGGTTTCGAACTCCTGACCTCAGGTGATCCGCCTGCCTCGGCCTCCCATAGTGCTGGGATTACAGGCATGAGCCACCATGCCTGGCCAAAATTTATACTATTATTATCCTTATTTTACAAATAAGGGAGATTGGAGATACTAAGTAACTTATCCAAGATCACACAGCTTGTAAGTGGTAGAGCCCAGGGCCTTTCACTGCCAAAATTGGGATATTATTGTATATTATTGAGATATCATTGTATATTAATGGGATATTATTGTATATACTGTTTTGTGATTTGCTTTTTAAATTTAACATGTCCTAACTATAGTTCTTTGTCACACGTTTACTTCAATAGCTTCATTTTGAAGGACGGCAGGGTATTCTATATACATGAATGCATGAATACACTGTTATTTGCTTAAACGTTCCTCCATTGTTGGGCATTTAGACAGTTACCAGTTTTTTTACTCCTTGTACACAAATTTTTGTAAATCTAATATTTAGACTGGGTGCAGTGGCTCACACCTATAATCCTAGTCCTTTGGGAGGCTGAAACAGGAGGATCACTTTAGCCCAGGAGTTCAAGACAAGCCTAGGCAACGTAGTGAGAACCGGTATCTACCAAAAAAAAAAAAAAAAAAACTTTATCGGGCATGGTGGCACATGCCTGTGGTCCCAGCTATTGCGGAGGGGCTGAGGTGGGAGGATTGTTTGAGCCCAGGTGGTCAAGGCTGCATTGAACTGTGATTGCTCCACTGCACACCAGCCTTGGTGACAGAGTGAGACCCTGTATCAAAGAGAAAAAAATTAAACATTTCTTCCAAATAAATTTTAAGATATATAATTACTCAAAAGCCATATTTTCTTTCTTTCTTTTTTTTTTTTTTTTTTTTTTTGAGACGGAGTCTCACTCTGTCACCCAGGCTGGAGTGCAGTGCTGCAATCTCGGCTCACTGCAACCTCCACCTCCTGGGTTCAAGTGATTCTCCTGCCTCAGCCTCCAGAGTAGCTGGGATTACAGGAGTGCCACCACTCCCAGCTAATTTTTGTATTTTTAGTAGAGACGGGGTTTCACCATGTTGAGCAGGCTGGTCCCAAACTCCTGACCTCAGGTGATCCACCAGCCTCAGCTTCCCAAAGTGCTAGGATTACAGGCATTAGCCACCACACCCGGCCAAAAGCCATATTTTTAAGACTTAAAAAAAATATACTGACTATGTATTTCATGTTTTTTTTTTAAATGTAGTTTTTAATACTTTGAGGTTATCTAAAAGATTGTTAAACGTTTTGTTGGTTGTTGTCAATAGTTCCTCTTGTGGTCTTAGTCTGCCACTTAAAAGAGAAATTCAAGTAAGTGAAGAGATAGTTCAGCAGTTCCCAATAGATGAAAGAATGAGGGGATAAATTTTTTGTTTTCCCCACTCTTTGTGGAAAATTACAGAAATGGACAGAGTAAGTGCCAGGAAGGAAATTGATTCCCTTCACGGGTGTGGTATTGGAACTGAACAACAGAGAAGAAAACTGAAACATTAAGGACAAGTATTTTGGTACCAAACATTCTTTTCTCTTAAAATTTTATTGTATATATTTAAGATACTCATCATGTTTTTATATACATATGAATCATAAAATGGTTACTATAGTCAAGCAAATTAACATATTTATCATCTCACATAGCTACCTGTTTTTGTGTGTGTGGCAAGGCAAACTTTTTTTTTCTTTTTGAGACAGAATTTGGCTCTTGTCACCCGGGCTGGAATGCAGTGGCATGATCTCGGTTCACTGCAAACTCCACCTCCTGGCTCCTGGGTTCAAGCGATCCTCCTGCCTCAGCCTCCCGAGTAGCTGGGATTACAGGCGCCTGCCACTTGCCCAGCTGTTTTTTGTATTTTTAGTAGAGACCCGGTTTCGCCATGTTCGCCAGTCTGATCTCAAACTACTGGCTTCAGGTGATCCACCTGCCTCGTCCTCCCAAAGTGTTGGGATTACAGGCGTGAGTCACTGCGCCTGGCCGACAAACATTTTTATATCTGGAAAAATCTAGCTTTTTGGCCAAACATTTTTTAAAGCCCTAGATCGTCAGAATAGAGGTTACTTGGGGAGGAACGTGGGATGGGATTTGACTGAAGAGATGAAAGGCAGGAGGGAAACTCCTCAGGTACTAGAAATAACATATATTAAATCTAGGTGGTGGTCATGTGTATAAAAACTCATCTTGCTGTGTACTTTACAGTACATAAATGACGCCTTCAAAGAAACAAACTCAGATAGTTGGCATCATGGAAACCAAACATTCAGGAACAAATGGACTTCTGTTTTTCTCTCAGATATTTTATATATGTTTTACTATAATTTAAGCATTCCATGTTTAAGCCATAAATAAATAAATAAACACAGTAACTCTGACAAACTGACAGAGTATTTTTTTTCTTTTTCTAAATATTTGTTTGGATGAATCCACACTTCTTTTCTCTCTTTTTTTTTTTTTTTTTTTTTTTTTGATACAGGGTCTCACTCTGTCCCAGGCTGGAGTGCAGTGATGCAATCACAGCTTATTGCAGCCTTGAAGTACTGCTGGGCTCAAGCGATCCTCCCACCTCAGCCTTCCGAGTAGCTGGGACCACAGGCACATGCCACCACAGCCAGATTATGTTTTTTTTTAAAAAATGCTTTGAGAGACATAGCCTCCCTATGTTACCCAGGCTGGTCTTGACCTCTGGGCTCAAGCGATCCCCTCGCCTTAGCCTCCTAAAGTGCTAGGATTATAGGTGTGAGTCACCATGCCCGGCCCCATTTCTTATTTAACCAATCCCTAACAGTTGGGCATTTAGATAGCCTTCAATTTTTTGCTATGATTTCTCCTGGCACATATACTTTTGAGTGTACCTTTAATTATTAACTGAAGAGAGGTTCCTGGGAAACTGTGTTTCAGACATCTGAAGAGAAGGAGATGACATGCAAATTCTGCCAGCATTTATCTAGAAGTTAAATGGGGCACAACGTGTCTCAACAGAATAAGACTTTGATCAAACACTGTTAGGTCGCTTGGGCCACATTAGAATAAAAGGCTCGGAATGCAGCATTCACTCATCTTTAAAAAATATTGGCATTTGGAGTAATCCAAAAGAGAATAGTATCTAAATAGTCTACTTTTCCTAAGCATCCACAGGTCATTTTTCTCTCTCCAGAAACTCAATCTCAGTCTTTACATTTTGGAAGATTCAGCCGGGCTCGGTGGCTTATGCCTGTAATCCCAGCCCTTTGGGAGGCCAAGGCAGGCGGATCACCTTAGGTCAGGAGTCCGAGACCAGCCTGACCAACATGGAGAAACCCCCATCTCTACTAAAAATACAAAATTAGCCAGGCGTGGTGGAGCACGCCTATAATCCCAGCTACTTGGGAGGCTAAGGCAGGAGAATCGTCTGAACCCGGGAGGTGGAGGTTGCAGTGAGCTGAGATTGCGCCATTGCACTCCAGCCTAGGCAACAAGAGCAAAATGCCATCTCAAAAAAAAAAAATCTTTTTTGAAGAATGAAACATAAGATTTGAGGACTTTTCCAAAATCTTAGCTGCATTAGAAAATATTGCCCTAGCCTGGTGTGGTGGCTCATACCTGTAATCCTATCACTTTGGGAGGCCAAGGAGGGAGGATTGCTTGAGTCCAGGAGTTCAAGACCAGCATGGACAACATAGTGAGACCTCTCCCACACACACACACACATGTCTCTACAAAAAATAAAAATAAAGACAAATTAGCTGGTAATGGTGGCATCGACCTGTAGTCCCAGCTACTCAGGAGGTTCAGGTGGGAGAATCACTTGAGACCGGGACATTGAGGATACAGTGAGTTCTGATTGCATCACTGCACTCGTCTGGGCAACAAAGCGAGATCCTGCCCCAAAAACAAAGAAACAAACAAAAAAAAAACCTGCAGAAAATGTTAACCTAACTTTTGATAAAAGTGCATCTGTCATTATCAGCTATGTTATGACACATAGATTGGGATCCTAGCTCTTTTTGACTCAGACTATATTGTACAGGCAATATTTTATTATTATTACTTATTAGGTTTTTCTCACACCCATTTATTCATTCATGGAAAGGCAATATTTTTATACTACTGAATAATTACTTGGATGCAGATGTGTTTAACATTAGACAAACCTGCTTTCTTTCTGCCCTTTAAACACCCCCACTCCTTTTGTTTTCTAGAACACATATTTTGGTTGGCAGCAGGAAGTAAAACCTCAGCCTCCATTTGCATTTCTCTAACCTCTCCATACAATGGCATAGACATTTGTTTGTGAACACAGTATTGTAAGATATCTGTATTTTTGGCTGGAATCCAGTTCATCTGTTACAATTTAGTGATGTTCTAAGCTTTTACTTCCATCTCTTGGACCCTAAAATGACTTCATGTTTTGGCCAAGCTTCAGAGTTTCAACATCCACAGACAGAGCCAGACTTTCTTATTCACCCTACCATGCTGGGCTGCCACCAGCAGTTTCTGGGGCATGAAAAACATCCAAACTGGCAAACTTCAGAAAGAGCAGGCATTTTTTTTTCGAAGCATATTTTGTGACAAAAGGCCAACCTGTTCCCCTGATTAAAATATGCAGTGGAGTTATTTTAGCTTCTGAAATTTTCCATTCTGAATAAGAATTTATATTGAGAAAATGGCGATAAAAAGAAGAAGAATCCTATCAACTCTCCTTAGCTTAGTAACTATAGGTGCTCTGAAACCGATAACATTGGTCTGGAACCTTATAACCCTCACCTAGATAAATGCTTCGGATGCAAGTAGTCAAGCTTACACCTATCTCTCCTCCCCACAATCAGCCTGGCAGGAGAGAATTCTTCTCTGTGGAAACTAAACAGCCCCAGAAAAAAAAGACCTACAAATACCCGCATTTATAGGTCCGCCCAGGGACAAAACCAGCTTGAAGTCCCATGACCCTGTGACGAAGCTCTTCAGCCACCAATCTTCTCTGGAACCTGGATTTCCAATTAGCTTGTTATTCCCATATCCTTTAATATGAACAGGCAGCCAAGGAACCAGACTCTAGAGAAAAGACTCAAACATAAAAGACAGAAACCAGCTGGGTGCAGTGGCTCACGCCTATAATCCCAGCACTTTGAGAGGCCGAGGCGGGCAGATCACGAGGTCAAGAGATTGAGACCAGCCTGGCCAACATGGTGAAACCCTGTCTGTACTAAAAATACAAAAAATTAGCTGGGTGTAGTGGCGGGCACCTGTAATCCCAGCTACTCGGGAGACTGAGGCAAGAGAATTGCTTGAACCCGGGAGGCGGAGGTTGCAGTGAGCCGAGATCATGCCACCGCACTCCAGCCTGGTTGACAAGAGCGAAACTCCATCTCAAAAAAAAAAAAAAGCAGAAAACAACAACACAAAAAGAAAGAAAATAGGAACTAGGGAGGAGCAAGGCAGCAATCATGATGAATGAGGGGGTTGGGCATCTCACTATCTGGAAGTAGTGATCTGGTGAGTCTCAGTTCTTCGTAATTTTTTTGAGAGGCCTGAAGGTCATTTCCCTGGGAAGGAACTCAGATATAAGCTTCAAACTTTAAGACCAGAAGGGTCAATTTATATATTGATCCAAAAAAACTGTCTATGGGACTATTGAGTCGGTTTCACATGCATGAGTCTTGAAAACATGCTAAGTGAAATAAGCCAGACACAAAAGATAAATATTGTATAATTCTGCTTATGTGAAGTATCTAGAATACAAATTCATAGTAAGTAGAATAAAGGTTACCAGGGGCTGAGGGAGGGGAGAAAATGAGGAGTTATTGTTTAATGGGTATAGAGTTTCTGTTTGGGATGATGAAAAAGTTCTGGAAATGAATGGTGGTGATGGTTGCACAATATTGTGAATGTACTTGATGCCACTGAATCGTATACTTAAAAATGGCTAAAATGGGCTGGGCATGTTGGCCCATGTCACTACAAAAAATAAAAACATTAGCTGGGTATGGTGGCACATGCTTGTGGTCCTAGCTACTTGAGAGGCTGAGGTGCGAGGATCACATGAGCCCAGGAGGTCGAGGCCGCAGTGACCCGTGATTGTGCCACTGCACTCCAGCCTGGGCAACAGAGCCAGACCCTGTCAAAAAACAAAAACAAAAACCCTAAAATGGTAAATTTTATATTATGTATATTTCACCACAATAAAAGAAAAATGAAAACTTATGAAAGGAAGACACAGTGGTCATAGTATTCTACGTGGTGTTACCAGATCTCTGGGGCATTCTAAGAGTAGCCAGAAATTAAGATATCTACTGAGTTTTAATTGGCAAAATGTAATAACATCGCATGAATCACACAAAATAATTCTGTAGGCATGTGGGCTGTCAGTTGAGACTTCTAGAAAGATATGCAACATGCGATTCTGATGGGGGAAAGACTGGGATTGAAGAAATTCAGGGTCTAATCATTCTTTAAATCACTTTCTAACTCGTGTCTTACATTTTCCCAACCTGTAAAGGGGAATGAGTAATAGCTGCTAGCTCAGTCTCCCAAAAGTGTTGAGGCAAAGCCAACACTGGTCACATGGTACATTCTGCATCTTGAAAGATGTCTTATGTGATCCTCACATCTGATGTCATTATGTTGGGTTAGTTGGTAAAGAAAGTGTCTTCATGAGTCTTTTGCTTAAAAAACAGAAAGCTGGCCGGGCACGGTGGCTCATGCCTATAATCCCAGCACTTTGGGAGGCCGAGGCGGGCAGATCACAAGGTCAGGAGATCGAGACCATCCTGGCTAACACAGTGAAACCCCGTCTCTACTAAAAATACAAAAAATTAGCTGGGCGTGGTGGCGGGTGCCTGTAGTTCCAGCTACTCAGGAGGCTGAGGCAGGAGAGTGGTGTGAACTCGGGAGGTGGAGCTTGCAGTGAGCCGAGATCATGCCACTGCACTCCAGCCTGGGTGACAGAGTGAGACTCCGTCTCAAAAAAAAAAAAAAAGTTATTCTTTTACCCCATACAGAGAGAAGGAAATTGTCTTTGAGTGATAGAGGTTTTATTGAACAAGAGTCAGGATGTTGGCTCCCATAGGCTTTTTCTAGTATTTAAAATGTTCTTTGTTAGTCAGTAAGAATCTTGCTTTACCTGTATTATTAGGAAAGATACTTGGATATCCAGAGAACCCTTCTTCAAAGTTCTAATGAGATGACAATCTTTTTTTTTTTTTTTAACAGAGTCTCACTCTGTCACCCAGGCCGGAGCACAATCTCGGCTCACTGCAACCTCCACCTCCTGGGCTCAAGTGATTCTCCCACGTCAGCCTCCTGAGTAGCTGGGACTACAGGCATGCACCACCACACCTAGCTAATTTGTATATATTTAGTAGAGACGGGTTTCACCATGTTGGCCAGGCTGGTCTTGAACTCCTGAGCTCAAGTGATTTGCCCGCCTTGGCCTCTCAAAGGGCTGGGATTACAGGTGTGAGCCACCGTGCCCAGCTGAGATAACAATCTTCTTAAACTTGTCAAGCCTCAGTTTCTTTATCTGTAAAATAAGGATAAAATCTACATCATCTACTTGACAGAATTGTTTTGAGGATTCAATAGATCTTTATGTTCATTTATTCTCAGTAAATATTCATGCCGATTGCTGGGAATGTAATGGTCAAAAAAAGAGACATGGTCCACACCTCCCTAAAGTCTCCAGGTAAGGGGATTAGATGAGGTATGTAAATCACACAAAACAGTTCTCCGTACATTAGTAGATGTCAGTAAATATTAGTTCCTTAACTGTGATGGTTAATTGTATATGTCAATGTAACTGGACCACAGGGTGCCCAGATATTTGGCTAAATATTCTTTCTGGGTATGTCTGTAAGGGTGTTTCTGGATGAGATTAGCATTTGAATCAATGAACTGAGTATAGCACATTGCCCTCCCCAATGCGAGTGGGCATCATCCTATCCATTGAGGGTCTGAATAGAACAAAAAAGTGAAGGAAGGGGGAATTCTCTTTCTCAGCCTGACTGCTTGAGCTGGGACATTGGTCTCTTCCTGCTCTTGCACTAGAATTTATACCATTGGCACTCCTGCTTCTCAGGCCCTTGGACTTGGATTGGAACAACACTCCCAGCCTTCCTGGGTCTCCAACTTGTAGACAGCAGATCATAAGACATTGCAGCTTCCACAATAGTAGGAGACAATTCCTATAATAAATCTTTCTTTTGGCCAGATGTGATGGCTCATGCTTGTAATCCCAACACTTTGGGAGGCCAAGGTGGGTGGATTACTTGAGGTTAGGAGTTTGAGACCAGTCTGGCCAACATGGTGAAACCCCATCTCTACTAAATATACAAAAAAAAGTATTATTCAGGTTTGGTGGTTTGTACCCATAGTCTCAGCTACTGGGGAGGCTGAGCCAGAAGAATCGCTTGAACCTGGGAGGCAGAGGTTGCAGTGAGCCAAGATCACACCATTGCACTCCAACCTGGGTGACAGAGCAAGACTCTGTCTTAAAAATAAATCAAATAAATATCTCTCTCTCTCTCTAGCTCTCTCTCTCTCTTAATACACTAACCCTTGAGATAAGAACCCTCAAAGTCACTCCTGCAAATCTAAGTCAAGACCCTGAAATCAGCAAAAAACCAGTTGCAACCTGGTTCCTTATTTTGTAAAGTCATATTGCCCATATTTACAACTCTAGGCCACTGCTAGCCAAACTGTAAGCATTGGAGTCATTCTTCTGCCCTGTAATATAAAACTTGGGAGGGAGCAAGTCACTCAGTTTATCTTCCCCAGAGAGCTGGGAAAAGTAATATTATGTCCAGAGCATAAGGGATTCAGAAGTTTACCAAAGTCCTGGGAACTTAAATTGTAGGCAAAGATAATATTACTGTTGGTCACTGTCTACTTATTTTCTATTTAAGGAGTTTTATCTTCTTAGTAGAGGGGGTTGGTTTAATAGAGTGTAAGGGGAAAAGTCTAGTGAGTGTATTGATTGACCATAGGATGATAAATGTGGGCAACTTATTTCCTAATCTTCCTCCAGATTTGACTAGCTGAGGGTGAATAAAATTATTTTTAATATAGCCAAGTCTTTTTTCTTTGCCTTGGGATTCTGCTACCATATATGTGCCTGGATGACACTTCTCTCCACCACCCCACCAAGAAAGAGTAAGAATTTATAGATGGGCACCAGGTAAAAGATATTTCAACATATGGTACTCTATGCCCAAATGTAGAGTTTTAGCATCTCAGCTAGGAACAATTAAGTTATGCCAGCGTAGTACTTAAGGAAGGAAAGAAAGAAATACATACGGTATTTACACATCAAATACACCCACATTTTACTAGAAAAGAAGATGGTTATAATACCTCATACCTCATGAGAAAGAACAAGGACCTTCATTATCAAGGGAAGAAAAGGTTTCTAAGGTATTGCACATATTTTTTTTTTTTTTTAATTTGAGACAGGGTCTCGCTCTGTCACCCAGGCTGGAGTGTAGTGGCATGATCGTAGCTTACAGTAGCCTCAAATTTCTTGGCTCAAGTGATCCTCCCACTTCTTCCTCTGGAATAGCCGGGACTACAGGCATGCACCAACATGTCTGGCTTTTAAAAATTTTTTGGAGAGGCAGCGTCTTGCTATGTTGCCCAGGCTGATTTCGAACTCCTGGGTTTAAGCAATCCTCCCACCTTGGCCTCCCAAGGTGTGGAGATTATAGGCATGAGCTACTACATCCAGCTGCATTGTACACATTATATGCAAAATAGAAGCAATCTGATGGGAAAGGAAGAAGATGAGGCTATTTAATGAAGCAAATTAGTTTTATGTCAGATTACACTCTCAGGTATGAAATATTTCTGAAAAAAAAAAGTTTGTGCAAAACACAGCGCTCTTATTATTGCACATTTCCTCCCTTTTGCTTGCTCAAGACAAATGCAATGCTGAAGAGGTTTTTACTCTGATGCTCTAACAAGAAGTGTACTTCTGTCACATCCAGAGTGACTGATAATGGTCAGGCCTATCCATTACTCCATTCAAATAATAGGGTTTCCTTGCTTTTAAGGTCACTTGAGCTATAATGTTGTTATTGTCCTTTCTTCTGCTCTGTAGTCTCATTTTCCCAGAGGATTGGTAGAGAGAGAAAGGGGCATTGGGCAGCACTCAGTCATGGGCAAAATGGCACTGTCACCAGTTTCGCTGAAGTCCTGAATCTCCTTGCTACTGATAGACACGCATGTGACAGTGGGTTTAGTGGGGACAAATAGCTTGGGCTTCAATATGGATTAAACAATAGCAACACAATAGCAGAAATCCATTCCTGGGCCGGGCACGGTGGCTCATGCCTGTAATCCCAGCACTTTAGAAGACCGAGGCGGGTGAATCGTCTGAGGTCAGGAGTTCAAGACCAGCCTGGCCAATATGGAGAAACCCTGTCTCTACTAAAAATACAAAAATTAGCTGGGCCTGGTGGCATGTGCCTGTAATCCCAGCTACTCGGGAGGCTGAGGCAGGAGAATTGCTTGAACCTGGGAGGCAGAGGTTGCAGTGAGCCAAGATTACGCCATTTGCACTCCAGCTTGGGCGACAGAGCAAGCCTCCATCTCAAAAAAATAAAAAATAAAAATAAGAAATCCATTCTTGGATATTTTTTGTTCCAATTAGAAACTAGAGTGGAAAATACTCTAGTTTTGTGCCTAGCCACCACCTTATTATTAGAGCGAAAAAGGCCAGGTATAGTGGCTTATGCCTGTAATCCCAGCACTTTGGGAGGCCCAGGCAGGATAATTGCTTGAAGCCAGGACTTTGAGACCAGCCTGGGCAACAAAGCAGGACTCCATCTCTACAAAAAACGAAGTAAAAAATAAACTGAAATATACCATGCAGTGGTTCACATTTGTGATCCCAGTTACTTGGGCGGCTAGGGTAGGAGGATCACTTGAGCCCAGGAGTTTGAGGTGCAGTGAGCCATGATTGCAACACTACACTCCAGCCTGGGAAACAGAGTAAGACCCTGTCTCTAAAACCCCTCCCCCTGCCAAAGAAAACAAAGAAACAAACAAACAAACAAAAACCACACACACACACAAAACCACACAGGACTCCTGGGTTCTCTCCTGAGTCCAGCTCTATCACTATGTAAGTATGTGACACTGGACAACACACCATATCTCCTGGGCTTCTGTTTATCTATTTGTGTTAATATATGAACTACAGCATCTCTAATGTCATATTCAATTAAATAAATATCTATCAGTCCTGAAACAAGTCTACATAGCAATGTCCTGCTGGCCTGCTAGTCACTTTGTCACACATTTGGACTTCTTCACAATTTCTTGTAGGCCTGAAGCAAAGCACGTTGGCTTAACGTATTTAACTCCAGGATGTCTTTTCCCAAGAAATGCAAGGCTTGGCCAGGTACAGTGGCTCACGCCTGTAATCCCAGCACTTTGGGAGGCCAAGGCGGGTGGATCACTTGAGGTCAGGAATTCAAGACCAGCCTGGCCAATGTGGCAAAATCCCGTCTCTACTAAAAATACAACAATTATCCAGGTGTGGTTAACTCATGCCTGTAATCCCAGCTACTAGGAAGGCTGAGGCAGGAGAATTGCTTGAACCCAGGGTGCAAAGGTTGCAGTGAGCCGAGATTGCACCACTGTACACTCCAGCCCGGGCGACAGAGCAAGACTCCATCTCAAAAAAAAAAAAAAAAAAAAAAAAAAAAAAAGAAATGCCAGGCTTCGGTTTAATAGTTTTTCTTCAGTTTTTAATTTTGTAACGTTTCAAACCTTCAGAAAAGTTGCAGGCAGAGAACAATGAAGGGTCTCGTACCCTTCACTAAGATTTACCAATTGTTAACATTTTGCCACATTTATTTTCTATTTCTCTTTCTCTACTCCCTTCCTTAATATATACATTGCTGAACCATTTGAGAATTTATTGCAGACATCATGACACTTCATCCCTAAACACTCCTTAAAGATAGCATTTATTTCCTAAGAAAAGAGACATTCTTCTACGTAACCACAATACAACTACTTGAAAATTTTAACAATGATTCGACACTATTATCTAAAGTATATTCCATACTCAAATTTCCTCAATTGTCCTAATAATGTGTCCCAATAATGCTTCATATGGTTTGGATGTTTGTCCCCTCCAAATCTCATGTTGAAATATGATTCCCCTTGTTGGAGGTGGGGCATGATGAGAGGTGATTGGATCTTGGGGGTGGATCCCTTATGAATGGTTTAGTATCATCCCCTTAGAGATAAGTGAACTTTTGCTCAGTTAGTTCACATGAGATCTGGTTGTTTAAAAGAGTGTGATGCCTCCCACTTCACCCCTTGCTCCCACTGTTGCCATGTGACACCCCTGGTCCCACTGTGTCTTCTGCCATGATTGTAAGTTTCCTGAGTCCTTCACCAGGAGCAGATCAGATGCTGGAGCCATGCTAAAACAGCCTATACAGCCTGCAGAACTGTGAGCCAAATAAACCCCTTTTCTTTATAAATTACGCAGTCTCAGGTATTCCTTTATGCCAACACAAAAATGGCCTCATACAATGTCCTATGTAGTTTAAGTTCATTTTATTTTATTTACTTATTTTTTTGAGACGGAGTCTTCATCTGTCGTCCAGGCTGGAGTGCAGTTGCAAGATTTCGCCTCACTGGAAACTTCACCTCCCAGGTTCAAGTGATTCTCCTGCCTCAGCCTCCTGAGTAGCTGGGATTACAGGCGCCTGCCACCAAACCCAGCTAATTTTTGTATTTTTAGTAGAGATGGGGTTTTGCCATGTTGGCCAGGCTGGTCTGGAACCCCTGACATCAAGTGATCTGCCTGCCTCAGCCTCCCAAAGTGTTGGGATTACAGGCATGAGCCACTGCGCCCGGCCAATGTCCCATGTAGTTTTATTTATTTTTATCTTTTATATTCCAGGATCCAATCAAGGATTATTTGTTGCATTCAATTTTCATTTTTTCCTTCCCTTGAACTATAATTCCCCAGCCTTGTTTGATTTTCATGTTATTGACATTTTTTGAAGAATTTAGGACAATTGTTTTGCAGAATGTCCCTCAATTTGAGTTTGTTTGGCTGTGCCCTAATGATTAGATTCAGGTTAAGTATTTTTGGAAGGAATAGCGTATGGTTTGCTGTGTTCTTCTCAGTGTATCACATCCAGATGTAAGTGATGTAACTGGTGATAGTAAGTTTGATCATTTGGTTAAGGTGGTATTCGCCAAATATCTGCAAAATTAAAGTGCCATGTCCCTTTAAAAGTAACAAGTAATCTTGGATGTGACACTTTGAAACTTGGTAAATATCCTGTTTCCCAAAGATTTTGACATCCATCAACAGTGGTGGTTGTAAGATTACCATGTTTTAATTGCTCTTTACAAAGGTGAATTGGGATAATCAACAGATCTCTGAGGAATCAGTCAGGGTGGACTTCGGTCCACAGAAAAACCCTGGGGAGTGCGTGTGTGTGTGTGTATGTGTGTGTGTGTGTGTGTGTGTTTATGATGGAGGTGCTGAAGTAAATTGAGAAGGTAAAGTGGGGCTGGGCACAGTGGCTCATGCCTGTAATCCCTGCACTTTGGGAGGCCGAGGCAGCCAGATCCCTTGAGGTCAGGAGTTTGAGAGTAGCCTGGCAACATGGTGAAATCCTGTCTCTACTACAAATACAATAATTAGCCGGGCATGGTGGCACACGCCTGTATTCCCAGATACTTGGGAGGCTGAGGCAGGAGAATCGCTTGAATTCAGGAGGCGGAGGTTGCAGTGAGCTGAGATTGTGCCACTCTAGCCTGGGCGACAGAGCAAGATTCCATCTCAATAATAATAATAATAATAATAATAATAATAATAATAATAATAATAATGTAAAGTGGGCTGACCACGGTGGTTCATGTCTATAATCCCAGCACTTTGGGAGGCTGAGACAGGAGAATCAATTGAGGTCAGTAGTTTGAGACCAGCCTGGGCAACATAGCGAGACCCCATCTCTGTAAAAATAAATAAATAAATAAATAAACAAAATTAGCCGGGTGTGGTGGTGCATGTCTGAAGTCCCAACTACTTGAGAGGCTGAGAAGAGAGGATCACTTGAACCCAGGAGTTTGAGGCCTGGGTGAGCCAAGACCATGCCACCGTACTCCAGCCTGGATAACAGAGCAAGACCCTGTTTCAAAGAAAAAAAAAAAAAGTAAAGCGACATGCTGTTAGGATTTTAAGCAGTTTCAGTGGAGGCTTTGGGGATGTCTCACGCTCAGAATCAAGAAAAATAAACTGTTGCTAGGTGTTGAACAGAACAAACACAATATACTATTTCTGTCTTTGCAATTTCTCCATAGTGTAAGACTTAGAGCTTAAAAATAATGGGTACATGCAATACAAATAATGCATTCATATGTCAATTATAGATAAAATAGGCTGGGTGCAGTGGCTCATACCTGTAATCCCAGTACTTTGGGAGGCCCAGGTGGGTGGATCACTTGAGGTCAGGAGTTTGAGACCAGCCTGGCCAACATAGTGAAACCTGCCTCTACTAAAAATACAAAAATTAGCTGGGTGTGGTGGCGCACACCTGTAATCCCAGCTATTCAGGAGGCTGAGGCAGGAGAATCTCTTGAGCCTGGGAGGCAGAGGTTGCAGTGAGCCAAGATCACAACACTGCAGTACAGCCTGGGCAACAGAGTAAGACTCTGAAAAAAACAATAAAAATAAAATCAATAAATAAAATAAAACAAAAGATATTTTTATAGGTGAATTATAGCTTCCTTTATTTCTTTTTCCACCATCCCCATTCCATTATATTTTTTGTTGTAATTTCACTAAACTTCTGTTAGATAAAGTTTAGGTATTATTAACAGGAAACAATTAGTAATCAATAATGTGGGATGAGCAAAAATTTGCAATCGAGTTTACAGATAATGAAGTGATGATTTCATGTGTTAAGCAAGAGTAACATTCAGGAGATTGATTTTACAAAGAGAGAGTAGCAAATAATTTGAGTATGCCTTTTTTTTTTTTTGAGAGAGAGGGTGTCACCCTGTTACCTAGGCTAGAGTGCAGTGGCACAATCACAGCTCACTGCAGCCTTGACCTCTGGGGCCCAAGCAATCCTCCCACCTCAGCCTTCTCAGCTTTCCTAGTATCTGGGACTGCAGGTGCATGCCACCACACCCAGCTAATATTTGTATATTTTGAGAGAGGGGACTTCGCCATGTTGCCCAGACTGGTCTTGAACTCTGGACTCAAGCAATCCACCTGCCTCCGTCTCCCAAAGTGCTGGGATTACAGAGCACCCTGTGCCCAGCTAAGCATGCCTGTTTTTATCTTGAACAATTATACTACAGTATGTCTACATTTTTTTTCTTCATGTTTCCCTGATTTATCAGAGTTAATTTTCAACAAAAGCAGGATTCTATACCAATGTGTGAGACTAGTTATTAAATGATAGGGAGAACAAACCAAATGTTACAATAAAGGGAAAACATTCTGCAGAGAAGAACAAAAATAAATAATAATAGCAATAATCATGATGATGATAAAGAATGCTAATGAGCTTTGATAAAAAAAAACCCTGTAAAGCGAAGATATTCTAATAATAGTACAGTAACATGAACCGAGAAGGTGAATTGTGTAAGAGATTACATTTTAAGTGGCAAGAACAATCGGACATAGGAAACAAGGATATAAGATCATAAAACAATAGATGCCATGTAGTCAAGCAATAGACATAAAGAAGCCTTAGCAAATTTTTTTTTGCCTTGCAGAATTATATTAATGTATGTCTTCTTTCGTTATCTTCCTATTTCTCTGGTTTATCAGGCGATTTGAACTCAAAGCAGGGAGAACAATGTTTTACTATGACGTCAGTGTTTTAGGAAAAAGAGCCAGGAATGTGAAAAGTAAGCTCTTTGCAAATACAATGATGTCATTGTTGCTGCTGTTGTGCTTCTAGGATAAGTGTGTGATTGTTAATTGTGAAAACACAAATAGTAGTGGATACAATTTTTCTTAGAACAGAAGTGCTATGCCACTAAAACACGCATAATGGAGATTACAAGAACAATCAACAAAGTGCAGCGTATTATAAAGACTGACTTTTAAGCTGCAATATAGCCAATATACACTGTTAAGAACCCAGAATTATCTCATGAATGAATAATGAAATAAATAGCCATGTTTTATTAGCTTTATATAAAACTATCTACAAGTTGAACAACCTTTTTGAGCCCTTTTTAAAAACATTTTTGCAATTTGCTGGAGCAATGGTTTCTTTTCTGTTTTTTTCTTTGAGCTACAGTGGCTAATCTGATTTTGGCGTTTCAGTAATTATGTCAATTAATATGTGCTGAGAGAAATTTCATTTGTTGAAATGGATACCAGGTGAATATATAATTAGTAGAAGGTTGTCTCTTTAAGTCTTTGTGTGCAATTTTCCAAGATTAGCTGCAATGGAACAGTAGCATTAGAATAGAGATAGCTAGCTTCTTATCAACTATCCTACTTAACTATTTCATGAAAGTTTCTGGTAAGATGAGCCCACTCTAGAAACGGGGCAACATTTTTTATTTGGGTAGTTCAAACAGCAAAGTGTTTGTTTGTTCTGAAAGTCAAGAAATCTTCATCATAAATGAAGATGTTGTTTCCTCTTTTTAGAATCTTTCCAAAGAATAATGGAACTTGAAGATAAATGAAATTCCTAGATATTCATTACCTCATATAGAAACATCTACTGTCTTCCAAAATTGACAGAGGCACTAAGAAACTCAAATACTACCAACTCATTTTTAAGGACACATGCTTGGTAGGATCCCATGTTAATACTAAGGCTAAGTTCCTTCAGGCTTCTTTTTTAGGGGTTTTGAAGTAGAAGTACGAATATCCAAAACTTCATGTCTTTATCTGCACTATAAAATACTGCAGCCTAGCTGGATGAGACGGTTAATTCCTGTAATCCCAGTACTTTCAGAGGCTGAGGTGAGAGGATCACTTGAGTCCAGGAGTTTGAGACTAGCCTGGGTAACATAGTGAGACCCCTAAAATTTCTAAAATTTTTTAGAAAAAATTTTAAAAGGCCAGGCATGGTAGCTCACACCTCTAGCCCCAGCACTTTGGGAGGCCAAGGCAGGAGGATGGCTTCAGCCCAAGAGTTCAAGACCAGCCTGGGTAACATAGCTAGACCCTGTCTCTTAAAAAAAATAGCTGGGCTAATGGTGGTATGTGCCTGTAGTTTCAGTTACTCCAGAGGGAGGATTGCTTGAGCCCAGGAGGTCAAGGCTGCAGTGAGCTATGATCGCACCACTGCACTTCAGCCTGGGCAACAGACTGAGACCCTGCCTCAAAAAAAAGAAAAGTTTTAGAAGAATAGATATAGACTGATATCATTTATATATGTTTTAAAACATGCCATAAAGCACTATATGTTGGCTGGGTGCAGTGCTCATGCCTGTAATCCCAGCACTTTGGGAGACCTAGGCAGGTTGATTGCTTGAGCCCAGGAGTTTGAGACCAGCCTGGGCAAAATAATGAAACCCCATCTCTACTAAAAATACAAAAAATAGTTGAGCGTGAGCATATGCACCTGTAGTCCCAGTTGCCTGGGAGGCTGAGGTAGGAGGATCACTGGAACCCGGGAGGCAGAGGTTGCAGTGAGCTGAGATTGCACCACTGCGCTCCAGCCTGGGTGACAGAGTGAGTCAAAAAGAATACTATATGTTGTTTAGGGATACTTCCACATGTCATAAAAATACAGAGAAATGCATGGAATGATAAGCAAGGAATTCAGGATAATGATTCCGGGGAGGCGGTAAGGGAGTGGAAGGAGAAAGGGTGATGGAAAATGGAGAGAGAAAACAAAATCCCAGAGGAGATATTGTTATGGGATCTCTGGGGTGTCAATTTTTCTGGCCGGAAACCTCTGTGGCTGTAGCACCTTGGCCTGAGTTCTTGTCCTGTGTCCAGGAAGAATGAGGGATGCAGACAAGTGAAGGGCGAAGAAGAAGAGTTTTATTTTAGTGTTAGAACAGCTTAGAGGAGTGGGTAGCTCCTCTCTGTACATAGGTAGTCCAGTCCAGTGTTCAGTGGTTAGCAGAGATGAGGCTCTGGAGAGGGTGGGACTTCTCACTGCAGGCAAGTCATTCCAATGTCTCTGCAGGTCTCTGAAGCTCTCAGGAGACAGAGTAGCTCCTTTTGGCTGGCAGGTGGTCTCGGCAGGTGGTATCTGTAGTTCTCAGTGGAGAGGGTACTCCTGTCTGCAACTGGTCACCCCATTGTCTCCAGCTATCAGCAGAGGGTACTTCTCTATGCTGGTGGTCGTCCCATCCCGTTGTCTCCCTGTTCGTCTTCTAGCCATCCTCTACCCTGCTCTGGCTGAGCCCAGGGCTTTTATGGACCTCAGAGGGGAGGAAGTGTCTACAGATTGGCCCATGGATGACCATGGGCGGCCATGGAACAGGCACCAGGAGTCCCCACTCTGTTTGGAGGGACTGGCAACCCTGTCCTAGCCTTCAAGCCCTCCCTGGCCTGAGGGTGGGGCCTTACTGGGGACCCTGCCCCATTCCGCCCAGAACTCTATCTGCCTCCTGCTGCCATTCCTGGCCCCAAGGCTTGGCTCCAACCCTGCTCTGATCCAGGAGCAGAAAGAGGCCAGGCAGTGGGAGTAGATACCCCTAAGCCTGCAAGGAGGGGGATGTGCAGGGATCCTTTCTGGGGGGCCTGAGGGTGCAGGCTGCAGAGACGACCCGGTCCTGTGCGCCTGGGAAGGCGGCTGCAGCTGCTCCTAGGAGCTCCTGCCCTGCCAACTCAGAAGGGGCAGGGCTCCCGCTTGTCCCTTGCCCCTGCCTGCTTTTTCCTGGAGCGGTAGGCCCAGGTCTGCAGCCACGGGTGCGGCGGCTGCAGCTGCACCCGGGAAGGCAGATCCTGCCCCTTCCCGGCTCCCCCAAGAGCTGCAGTTTGGGTGGCTATAGCCCCGCCGCCAGGTACAGCAGGAGGCCTGGGTCTGCGCTGTGGTTTGGGTGGCTGCAGCCGCATGGGTAGCTCCTGTCCCAACTCAAAAGGGACAGGGCTCCCACTTGCTCCATGGAGTGTGCAGCCCCAGCTGCGCTTCCCTGCTGCAGCAGGCATGATGGCAGCAGCCACTGACATCAGTATTATACACAGGAGGGTTCGAGTATTTTGGAAATGTTTTATTTCTTACGCTACTGGGGAGTACATGATTGTTCATTATATTATTTTGAAATATTTAATAACACATTAAAATATTCATAAATTAAAGTGTCACATAAGCAGAGAAGCTGTTAATTCTGAATGGAAGTAGTAACTAAAGTAAGCTTTCTAGATGAGTTGGCCTTAATGGTTAAATTGGTCTTGAGGGATGGGTGGAAATTCAGCAATTCTGGATGGCAGGAAAGGAGATTGTAGGACGCTGGACCAGCATGAGCAAAGGTGTGGGGGTGTTCTGGGAAGGAGCTGGGATGCATAGAAATATATTAATATATACTGCAATAAATGAGGTTGATAAGATTACTGGGGCAAGACCATGAAAGGCCTTGAACACAGCAGAAATACAAAATAATTACTATACTAAGTTTTGTAAATAGGAGCATGAATTAGGTCTGGGCTATAACTTATTTTTTTTTACATAATTCCAAAGAGTTGATAATTTCTTCAACTGGGATGTTATCTTATCTGAATCTGACCAGTTTAGATTTATACTGCTCTTCAAATAAACATAAAAATCACAATTCATCACAAGTCATCTACCAAATCTATTAGAAGAATTGATCGTCAGACTCATGATCAGTAATAAATACTGAGATCTCTCACTGGTAGCTTTAAAGAGTCATTTAAAGTTTCTTCTTATGACTATTCATCAATTTTCCTACCTGGTCATGTCAAGTGAAACCTCAAATAGAAAACATTGCCTTGAGAAGGGATAGAAATACTGGTTGGTTTTTAAAATAAATCTAAAGCTTATTAAATTTGCCAGAATGGCCATTTTACATGAACATCATTTGGTCACCAGCAGGCATCTTTCATTGGCTTCACATGGTAGAGTCTGAAGAATATGGGTTGATCAATGTGTCATTCATCAGAGACACCTGCAGAGATGATGAAAGTTTATCGTACAATATTATGGAAGGAAACACAACATTTAGCAAATTGAACCACTCATCTCCTCCTCCCCCCTTTTTTAAACATTAAAACTGCAGTTTGAAAAACAACTTCCAATGTGAAAAAAAATTAAAACAGCAGGTGATAATTAGGGCAAAGTTACAACAATGTTATTGCTGATGGGCTACCTGTCAGTTAATGCAAGTTATCACTTCAACCCAGGAATAGTTATTATTAAAAACAACTTATGGGGGTTAAAGAAAGGATGTTAAATGTGTTAGTCTCCTTATTTGCTCACTTGGAAATGGCTTAGAGATAGCTCCATTAACCACCTCAGTTCTATCCTGGTCTCGGCAAGGAATGCACACAAAATAACTGAAAGTTATAAACGACCAAAACATAAACCTTAGATGCCTTGAGTTAAAATCAATTTTCCTAATAAATTCAAATATTACAAACCAGTATGTAATATCAAGAATGAGGTACTAATAATTACCATGTTGGCAGAGTGCAAAGTGCAAGACAGAGGGATATAAAAATTTAGCAATTCAGAAAGTCTGATACAAAAATAGCTTTTACTAGTGTGAGGCTCAGAGTTCAGTTCAATCACTGAGCTATAATAGTATATTCTCTGACTAGTCAAGGTTGAATGTTCAAGATGTAGTTTGAGTATTAATCATTGATTCAAATAAAAGCACAACTGAAGAGGCTCTCCTGAGTTAAGTAGTTTATTCCTGAACACAGATGTAACTTTTTCCCTTTGTATTTTCCAGAACCACTTGACTGTTTTCCCTACTATACAAGCAACCTATTTTGGAATTATTTCTTTAGCTTTACTCTTTATCAACTATAATCTTTTGGGCAAAGAATTCACCTAAGCTTTTGCTGGTATGAATTATGAGTTCATTCATACTGGCCATTTCAAGTTTAAGCTTTAACTTTCATGCTACCCAGTAAGAAATCTGATAATATGCTATATAATTCATCTTGGTTTACTATATGGTATTCCATTGTACAGCAAATGTATTGTAGGATTCCATTTATATGAAGTACAAAAACAGACAAAAATCATTTATGCTATTAAAAGTCAGGATAGTGGTTACCCTTGATAGGGAGGTGATGACTAAGAGTGGGCACAAATTTGGCAAATAGTATTGTATGAATAAACCACATCTTTTTTTTTTTTTTTTATTTTAAGTTCTGGGATGCATGTCCAGAACGTGCAGGTTTGTTACATAGGTATACATGTGCCATGATGGTTTGCTGCACCTGTCAACCCATCATCTAGGTTTTAAGCTGCGCAAGCATTAGGTATTTGTCCTAATGCTCTCCCTCCCCTTGCCCCCCACCCCTCAACAGGCCCCAGTGTGTGATGTTCCCCTCCCTGTGTCCATGTGTTCTCATTGTTCAACTCCCACTTATGAGTGAGAACATGCGGTGTTTGATTTTCTGTTCCTGTGTTAGTTTGCTGAGAATGATGGCTTCCAGCTTCATTTATGTCCCAAATAAACCACATCTTATTTATCTATTTTACTATTCATAAGCATTGGGTAGTGTCATTAATAATAAAAAAAAACGAAGTATTATATAGGTACTCATATGTACACAAGCAATACTCATATGCATTTATATATACACAGCATTTTAAAGCTTTTTATTGAAGCATAATTTACATACACAGAGATGCATATATCAATAGTACAGCTCAATGAATTTTCACAAACTGAACACACCAGTACCCAGCTCAAGAAACAACACTACCAGCTCCCCAGAAGCCGATTGGTGTTCTCTCCTAGTCATCAGCTCTCTCTCAAGGGTAACCACTATCCTGACTTTGAATAGCATCAATGACTTTTGTCTGTTTCTGTACTTCACATAAATGGAGTCCCGCAATTGTACATCTCCCTTTTTTCACTTAGCACATTTGTAAGGTTCATATATTTTACTGCATTTGGAAGCAGATTGTTCATTCTTAGTGTGGTAGAATGTACTCTGTTGTATGAATATACCACCAATTATTTATCTATTTTACTGTTTATGACCATTTGGGTTGTTTCCTGGTTGGGGGTTATTTATGAATAGGGTTGCTCTGAGTGATTTAATAGTCTTTTGGCACACATGGGACATTGGTATATTCCTAAGCGTGGAACTGCTGGGCCATAGGGTTTTCATATGTTTAACTTTAACAGATATTGCCAGTTTTCCAAAGTGGTTGTACTATATACCTAGCATTTGACTTCCTGAGGAATCATTCTAAGAAGGGCATTTCAGCATAACCATTAAGAGAACAGGTTTTGGAGTCACTCAGATCAAATTTAGCTTATGACTAAGGAGTGGAGGCACCTTGGACAATATGCTTAACTTTAAGCCTCAGTTTACTCAACTGTAAAATAGGAATAATAAAACTTTTCTCAAAATTTATGAGAATTAAATGAGATATTATTTTAATGCAGTTAGAACAGTGCCTGAAACATAATAAATGCTTAGCTTATTATATGGCAGTTATTAATCGCTAGCAGTTAAAACACAGGCAAAATGGAGAATTAGAAACAAATATGGGCAATATAATCCAGAAACAATTTTAATTGTATGACTGAAGAAACCTAAGAAACTCTGACCCAAAAGGCATTGCTAATTCCAGGGAAGATTATATTGAATGCTGAACATTATCCCAAAATGCGTTTGCAAATTACCCTCACCAGAGGCAAGGTTCTTGGATGCAGTGTATTATCATTCATTTTTTTTTCCAGTTATTACTCTTTAAAGACAGGACTGCCAAGGGCTACTCTAGAAAGTCACTAATATAATACCTTTTATTATATTTCCCAATTTCACACCTTCCTCAACCCAATCCCCAAAGTTGTTGAAAGGTGACTGTAATTGCATCGTTAGTTCTTAGCTTTCCTGGAATCTTATCTAAGACAACTTTCACATCCCCCAAAACCCTAAAAATAAGCCCAGATTTTTGCTTTAAATTGCGAAGAACTTGCTTTATTTTGTAGGATGAGCTTGATAACCTCAGCGTGGATTTCAGCAGCTGCCGGAAACAGCACTCTAGAAGTTAACACAGGTACGCTCCGTACTGAGGCACTGTTTTAGCTAACTGCTCCAGGGACAGCAGGCTCAGTCCTCTTAGGTAAGTAATTTTGGAAGGTGGCACTGTGTTCCTAATAAATTGAATCAGATCCCTTAGGTTAGTCACTATTCTTAAGAAATAAAGCACGAAATCAACTTGAAGTCATCTGTTGAGAAGGCCGTGGATAGACCTGAAAAGGAACATTTTGAACATTTAATTGAACCTCTTTGATTTACAGATGAAAAAACTAGTCATTTAAAAAAGTCTTGCCTAAGGTCAAATGTTTTGTTTCCTGGACTGGCATAAAGCTCATCTGTCACAGTCGGGTGGATGTTCCTTTCTGTTCCTGGCAACTTGACCCCCCCGTCCCCCCAACCCCATCTCTCCATCTGATTTCATAAAGATCCAGACCTGGGATTCAGAAACGGGGAAGCTGAAGGAGTGTGACCTAAAACAAGAGAAAGACAAGCTATTAAATTGTTATTAGGAATTATAAGACGAGAGAGGCTTGCCTGCTAGAACGTCAAGAAGCAGTATCTTTTCTGTTTTGTACAACGCTGTATTCCCAGCACCTACAACTGTGCCTGCTAAGCCTGGTAAGGCCTAATAATTGTTAAATGAAAAACAATCAATCACTCAATCATAGATGTGTCAGATTGTGAGAGAAAACACGTCCTTACTGTTTTCTCTACCACCCTCCTTCCAGTAATACTAATAAAATGTGCACATTTGTATTCTAAAGAGGTGAAATCATATACACAGCGCTCTAGCACGGTGCCTGGCCCATTGTAATTAATACATGCCAGTTTATTTTCCTTTTCTTCCTCCACAAGTATGGGCTACTAGGGAGGACGAAGGGTTGGTGCCGTGGTGTTTATGTGCCTGGACAGAAAGTGAAGCGTATCCAAGAGGCTGCTGAGAGCGGGCTGTCGGTCTTTCTGATCCGTATAGATCAATTCCAGTGCCCTGAAAAACGCACAGCTATTTTACCCAGAGAGGCTGGTCGCTTTTGTTGATCGATTCTCGGCTGCAGTCAGCTCTTTAATACAACTTTTTATGAGCATCAGCCACATTGCGGCGGGAGGAGGGGCTGTGGTGGAAAAAGCAGGGAAACCGCCCCCCACTCCCAAAAAGTAAAGGAAGCCCGCGGGGCAGGGACTGCGGTTTGCCGGTCTAACGGGTCCTCGAGCTGGGGCGGCGGTCCCGGCCCCTTCGGCCCCGCCCCTCGCCCGCGGCCGCCTCCGAGGTTCAAGTTCGGCCCCCGGCTGTTAGGCCTCGCGCTCCCGGATCTGAAGCCGCCCGTGCGTCCCTAGGTCCCCCGCTGGAAGACGAGGCGGGAATCCCAGGGGTCATCCGGGCGCGGGGTCGCTCGTCCACGCACTGTGGTGCCACGTGGAGGAAAAGTTTCCAACTCTGCCAGTTGGTGCTCCCACTGCGCCCAGGCGGAGCAAAGGCCCGCGCTTTGGCACCCGCTCCCCGTTCTGTCTCCTCCAGTCGCGCCCCCTCCCAGGGACGCCCCCCTTGTACCCCTTCTCTGAATTCCCTTCTCTCCTCGCAGCGCAGGTAGCCAAGGGAAAACACCCTTGGGGGCTGGTGGGGCTTCCCGAGAAGGCGGCCTCGGGCCGGCCAGGGGTAGAGGATCCAGGGACAAGTGTCCCGAGGAGGATGTGGGGGGCGCGCGCGCGAAGTGGCCTGGGAGCAGGGGCCCACACGCGTCCCCGCTGCGACAGGCGGGATCCTCCGGCGGCTTCCACGCCCTGGCGCGCCAACTCTGCCCGGCCGCGGCCGACCCCACGCGGGCGCCCCCTCCACGCCCCCGCCCCCGCCCCCCTCACAGCTCCCCACCGCCCCCAGTGCGCAGGCCCGGCCGCCCCAGCGCGCATGCCCTGGGCTCGCGAGCGCGGCCAGCCCCCAGCCTTTTGCTTTCTACACACTCTACAACTGGGGAGGGGGCGGGGGAGGAGGGAGCCCAGCCGTCCACGTGATCCCGCCGGCCGGGGCCGCGGGGGCGGGAGCGCGCGCCGAGAGAGGCGCGGGGAGGGCGGGTGCGCGGGAGCGCGCGCACTCGAGCGAGCGAGCGAAAGCACGAACGAGCGAGCGAGCGAGCGAGCGAGCGGGCGGGCGCGGGGTTGGGCTGAGGCGGGCGGCGGCGGCGGCGGCGGCGGTGGGCTGGCCGCGGAGGGGGAGGAGCGGGAGCTGCGCGAGGCAGGCGGGCGGGCGGAGGATGGGGCAGTGCCCGGGCTCCCGCTGCAGCCGCCCGGGGACACGCCGTGCACCCTCCGGCTCGGGGCTTTCTCGGCGGCGGCGGCGGCAGCAGCAGCAGCGTTAGCGGCGGCGGCGAGAGCAGCGTTCCCGGCTGCGCTTCTCCCTCAGGCGGGGCGGCGAGAGAAGCGGCGGCGGCGGCGGCGGCACACCGGTGTCTCTCCCGCTGGAGATTTCTTTCTGCTTTCCTCATCGACTGACTGACTCACCCCCTCCCTTTTTTGAGGAAGGGTGACCTCTTCTCTGGGACTGGAAAAAATATTTTTGTGAGGAGGGGGGCGGGTGGCAGCGACAGGGTTTGCTTCTTCTCTTCTTTCATCTCCCTCTCCTCCCCCCTCGAAGACCGAAAAGCAAACCCCACAACTGCTCCAGCAGCATCCTCCTTCCCTTCCTCCGCCTCCCTTCTCCTCCGCCGCTCGCAGTTTCGCCCTCTCTTCCGCTAATGATTGCATTATTATGCTCCCCTCTCTGGGGGGTCTCGCCCCTCTTGGGTCGCTCCGGAGCCCCGGCCTCCCCTGGCTGCATTTCTTAAAAATTTGGGAGCCTGGGAGTGAGTTTTCTCCGAGGCGTGTGTGAGAGGCGGCGGGGGTGTTTTCCTGCGCGAGGGGCGGGTGAAGTTCATTGCCCCCACTTTTCCCGCGACCTTTTTCGGACCCGATTTTGGATCGAGTTGAGGGGGGCGCGGGCGTTTTCGGGGGGCGGGGGGCGCGGCGGAGAATGGCCGCGGGGAGGGCTCCCCGGAGCCTCCCAGTCTCTTGATCAAAGCATTCCGCTATTCTGATTTATTGCTTGCTTGGTGAGTTATTTTTTTTTCCTCTAAAGGAGACCTGTGTGTTCAGCCATTACTTTGCTCGGCGCTGCTCCCAGGCATCTCCGACCCTCGGTGCTGTGGGGAGCCCCACACTTGGGCTCCTCGCCTCTCGCCCTCGCTCCCCGTCCCTCCTCCCCTCTCTCCGCCCCTTCCCCCTTTTCTTTCTCCTCTCTTTCTTCCCCTCTCTCCCTTCTTTCGGCCGCCGTCTCCCCCGCGCCCTCCTCGGGGCGGAGGGAAGCCGTGAAGGGGGAGGGAGGGCTCGGTGTCAATTTTTTTTTGTGTGGCTGCGGCCGTAGCCTGTGGCGGGCAAGCGGGGAGACCCCGGCGCAGCAGAACCATGGATGGCCCGACGCGGGGCCATGGACTCCGCAAAAAGCGGCGGTCGCGGTCGCAGCGAGACCGGGAGAGGCGCTCCCGGGGCGGGCTGGGGGCCGGCGCGGCCGGCGGCGGCGGGGCTGGCCGGACCCGGGCGCTCTCACTCGCCTCGTCGTCGGGCTCCGACAAGGAAGACAATGGGAAGCCCCCGTCCTCCGCCCCGTCCCGGCCCAGACCCCCGCGGAGGAAGCGGAGAGAGTCCACCTCGGCAGAAGAGGACATCATTGATGGATTTGCCATGACCAGCTTTGTCACTTTTGAAGCGCTGGAGGTAAGGGGGACCCCCCTTCCCCCGGGTTCCCTTTATGCACGACCCCACTCGGCTGCGCCCGGCTCTCCTGCCTCCCTCGCCGCGCTCCGGGCTGTCTGTCTGTCTGTCTGTCTGTCTGTCTGTCTAGGCTGAGGTCTTATTGTTGGTGGGGGGAGCTGGGGGCGCGGGCAGACAGGCAGCAGGAGGGAGTCGCAAAGCCGTGCCTGGTCTCGTTTCCTCGCTCGCCTTTCCCCTGCGCCCCCTCCCTGCACCCCCTCCACAGCAGATGGGCAGAAAGAAAGGGGTTCGGGCATCACAACAATGCGCCCCCTCTCCACAGAGAGCTCTGCCCCCACTCCTTCCTCCTCTCCCTCCCCAATCATGGCTTCTTGGCTGGTGGAAGTCTCTTTGCTGGGTTTGGGGCGCCTGTGGACGGTTCTGTGTGCTTTCTACAGAGTCATATGTTCGTGTGTGTGTGTGTGTGTGTGTGTGTGTGTGTGTCTGTGTAGTATATACCTTTCCCGGGTGTCCTCGGGACTGGAGACTGATGGGGTTTTGTGATTTCTTTGCGCCTCCCCCCATTACCCCCCCATATTCTTTTTTTTTTTTTTTTTTTGGTGAAGCTGGGGAAGGGGGCGTTTTCTCCTGGTTGGGAGAAAGGAGGGAGGAGGGGAGAGAAGAGGGAAGGGTGGAATAGCTCTCTGTATTCTGTATGGGGTTCTGTTACAGAAAGGGTTAATTATAATATTATCTATACACATACATAGGCACATGTGTGTGTGTACATGAGCAATTTAGTTAAAGGACAGAAAAAGGTACACCAGGGAAGACTGGTGGGAGGGAAGAATAAAATCCTAGCTGCTATCTGAAGGGCTTGTCACCAATTGTCCCTCTCCCTTTCCTTTTTTGTGTTTTCTTTTTTTTCTTTCTAAGTGATTGGCTTTGTGTGTGTCTATGTGTGTGTCTTTCTTTATTCCTTGGGCACCTGCAGCGTTGATTTTCAAATGCACATTTTCCTTCCAGCCAACTGGCTCCTAGGGTAGGGGGAAAGGGAAAAGGGAGGGAGGGGGAGACTGTCCAGGGTTGGGGGGAAACTGTCTTTGCCTGGACCTGTCTCCTTTGGTGTGGTATTGGTCATTGGCCTCTATAAATTTAACCGCCTAATTTCCTCCCCCACCTCCCTGTCCCCACCCCCCACACACCATGCACACACACACAGAAGGCTTTGAGATTCTGCAGAGTTGGTCCACCTTTCTTAAGCACAAAACCAAGATACGGTTTATAGTTGGCTTATAGTGTTTCATGCACCTGATGTGATGGTTTGAGGTTCCTGAAGGAAACTTTTCCCTTTCCATTTTTTTTTTTGCGTTATTATGGTATTGTTTCACATGCTCAGATGCAAGCTTTGTTAATGACAGCTTAAATCTCACATACGGTAACTGTACAGGTTTAGATTGCTGGTTCTGTTTATGTGTTTGGGTGTCAGCTTTAAATATTTTTTTCAAAGGAAGGCTTCCTATCAGTGTTGTCCTTTTCTGTGTGAACTGCTTTTGGTTTGGGCTGCTGGTGGTGATGGTGGTGGATGGTGGCCAGTGGTTGGGAGTAAGGGAGGTATTGGTGGTGGTGGTGGTGGTGCAGGTGGTGGTGATGGTGATGTTGGTGGTATTGGTGGTGGTCGTAGATTTTGATGTTAGTGATTGAATCAGTTACTCTCTGGTTCTAGAATTGGTGCTTTATTGGCCAAAATTTTGAGTGTTGAGGTTCACCACTTATTAGAATAATTCCAACTGTGGCTTTAAGTTTGCCAAGGTGGGTGGTGGTTACCATACAGTGTGACCTCTTTCTGTCTCTCTCTCTTGTTTTAAAATAGGAGTTGAAATGGCAGCATGTTCCTATTAGAACATGCTGCTTGGAATTTGGTTCATCATTGCTGTCTGTGGTTGTTTTGGAAAGTACTTGTAAGAGCTGGTTACAAGTGGTTCTGCTTTCTGCATGGTTATCCTGAGCTCAGCAATCAAGAGGGGCCACTGGATTCCCACGAACATTTTTGGAGGACAAGTAGGGATATATGTGTGTGTGTATATATATATATATATATATGTGTGTGTGTGTGTGTGTGTGTGTGTGTGTGTGTGTGTGTGTGTGTGTGTGTATATCTCACTTATGCAGTTCTTTTTGATGGTTTTATTTTTAACAAATAGGTATTTGACTGGGCTTGTGATATATATCTATTTATTTGGCTTTTGCGAGAAAATGTGCTCATTTTAATTTATTTTGTGCCTAAAAAACTTGTAATTTTAAAAGCAGACCAAGTTCAAAATGTACAGTTAATACCATTTCTTTCTTTGCTCTGATTATTTTTTTCTGCTACTTTTCTAGATTAAAATCCAGGATATTTTGGTTAGCTGAATACTATGTCACCTTCATATCTAAATATCATATGTCTATCTATGTGTAGGTAGAAAAGGTCTAACTTTTAAAAAAGTTTACTTAAAATTCTGTAGAAAAAATTAAACATACAGAAGTAGACAGAACACCCAACATCCAGGTTTGAGAACTACCAACTCATATCTCATCTTGTATTTTCTATATTTCATCTATTTCCTCTCCCACATATGATCTCATCCATATTTCTCACACAGAAATACTTCTGTATGAATCCCTAAACCATAATGACTCCAAAAATCCTCAGACCCCACCAAAACCCGCACAGCAGTATTATCACACTTAAATGAATGTATAACAGTTCACTAATATCAAATATCCTGTCAGTGTTTACATTTTAAGAGGCCCAACTTTTGTAGGGAAGCCGTAAATACATTTGTCAGATTAAAAACACACAATGGGAAATAGAAATCATCATATATGTCTGGTTCTTTGGCAAAAGGTAGTTTTGTTGGCTGTGTGCTATCACATTGTGTCCATGCTGGATGGTCAGAACATATGTGTTAGTGATTGTTAAATTAAAACCTCTGGTGGTCCACTCTATTCAGTCTGGAAGATTTATTGAACTATCACCAAGAAATGTGAGGGCTTATTGGGAACAGGCAACTAAACTATGAGCTTGGACAAAAATGTGTGTTGGGGGAGTGTTTGTAAAAGTTAAGAATTATTATAGATGCTAAGAGTTATCCTAAATACGTAGTATGTTTTCGGGCCTTGTGTTTAGAAATGAAATCAGTTGTCACCACATGTCATTAAGGCTGCTGCTGGTATGATATTGTGAAAAGAAACCAGAAATATTGGCTTGCACAGCTAGGTTTATAGCTTGTGCCAGTTCAGAGCAATAGCTGGCAAACAGTGGAGTAGCATACTTTGTGTGTTAATGGACACATTATTTGACTCCATGATTTTGTTCTGAGTAGCTGGTTTTGGACTTCTCTTTTAAAAAAGAGGCTCCTAACTCATTATGAAATGTGCTAATATAAATAGTTCCAGTTCAACTGATTTTACTGATACTGGAGTAAAAGTGATAACTTGCCTAATGAGAACCTGCATTTTTATCTTGATTATTTTTTGCTGTTGTTGGATTCTTTTTTGAGATGATGAAAGCTTTAGGGGTAGTTTGACAAGTCTCACATTTTATAGGCAGTGAAACTGGCTGAAACAGTTTCATATTCACAGGGACACTTCTCTTGAGTAATTGTGCCCTGAAGTTCAAGTGTATGATTATGAAGAGCCTCATGATAGAAGATAAGAGGGTAGGCGAGGAGGCTAAAGTTGAACATGGTGTTCTTTTCATTATGCAGTTGAGAAGCAGAATTAACGTTGGTATATAGTATATTGTTTGTTTGGATATTCTTCGAGTGACAGGATGAGAGCAAAAATCCCCAGATAAGATGTCTAGTTTTCTTAAAAAGTGGCTTTTAGCAAAGTATAAATGGGAATGTTGGGGTCCTACTACCATCAGTGTGTCCTGATGTGTTAGATAGTGTTGGCTTTCTGCTATTTGGGTTTTTTTTCTGTGTTGTGTCTATTAGGAAGCCACGTGAGTACCATGGCTGAAAACTTGACTTTGCAAATCCATTATTTTTCCCCTCATTCCTCTTTTGTGCACTGGGTTCTTAGGGCAGCCTCCTTTTGTACAGCTGACCAAGGGAAGCTAAGATGAAATTTGTGGAATTAGCAGAAAAGAGGCCAATTGGAGCTTTATAGGCTTATGAAAGTAAAGGAAGACTCATTTCTAGTGGTTAGAGCATCAAACCAAGACTTTGATGCGGTCTTCACTTCCTGGCTCTGTTTTCAGGGCTTCCCCCACACATCAGTAGCATAAGTGGGCTATACAGAATTTGGTGTACTTATAACATGCCATGTTAATAGGCTCTCACAATTTATTATGGTCAAATCACTTTAGTTGTTTAAAAAACAACATGAGTCACATGCCTTCTGTCAGTCTGCAGATATTTATGGAGTGCTTAATATGTACAAGGCACTAAGAATATAGAGAAACCAAACATAAATCTAGCGTTTTGAGAAAGTATGTAGTTTAGTTGATAAAGCCAGCACCTATGAAATAATTTTGAAACAGGTACTTGAATGCCTGATATCAACTAAGCGCCATAGGCTTTTAGAGACAGGCTAGTGAGATAGGCTGAAGTGTTCCAGAAGGCTTCATGGGTGGGGAATGGGACCTAGAAGGGTGAAGTGATTTGGATATATGGGGAAGGAGTTGGAGCTAGGGAGAGCATTCTAAAGGAATAATGAAGGCACAGGAACAAGATGCTACATGGTTAGGACTTGGGGGCAAGGAAAGGCTGGTGGAAATGAGTACAAAGGTGGTAAGTAAAGAGTGCTTGTTAGTGGGGCAGGAGACCTGTGGAGACCCACATGCCAGGCTTGGCCTGCCTAACTAGTGTGGCCTTTGAAAGTTAACTTTCTAAAAGCATCATTTCCTTTATCCATTAGTGGAGAGGTTTAAACTAGTTTAGAGTAAAGCTTCTCAAGCTGGAAGGGAACATAGCTTTACAGGATGTTCATAAATTGTTTTTTAGTCTGAAACAGAGTGATCTACCGCCAAATAGTTTCTGAAACTTGATGGGCTAGACAAAATTAAATGGATGCCATGTTCTGTCAGAATTAAAAGTCTATTGTGTGAATGTGAATTTTGAATATCAGAGAAGGCAATGTGTTGTGCCTAATTTCCTAAATCTATTTTGACCACAGAGCACTTTTATTCTCTGCATTGTAATCTATAATCCAGTATGGGAAATACTAGAAAGGATCCAAAAAAGTCCCTCCAGATCTTGGAATCTGGTGATCTCTGAGTCTGGGGTGAGTGGGCTGATGGTAGACGACTTGGAAAACCAGGCACAGAAGCTTGTAGTCGGTGCGTGGGAGCTGCTTCTTAAGCAGGAGTGGCAAGGGGAGTGAAAGTGAGGAAGATGTAAACAGTGAGGGAGACTAGTCCATGTCTTTTCCTGCTCCCCTTTCCTGCCTGACATCTGCCTTTTTACTGATTGTTACCAACCCCACCAGGAGGTGAATATTGGTGAGTGGTTCTCATTAATAGCTCTTTCAGTGTGATGATACTAGCCCAATTCTGATGCCACCAAGCTGCCCTTCAGCCAATGTTTTATCCTCTTTGTCCCTTCTGGTTTCATATATTGCTGCTCTTTGGCAACCTGTAAAAAAAGGTTGGTTGGGAAAGGAGGTTGACATTGATGTTAAAACAACGATTTCAAATTATCTGCCTTTGGCTTGCTGTATATGAAGTGGTAGTTCAAAAAAGGGTCAGAACCGCTCTTTTGCTGTTACATAGCCAGGAAAAGCTGTGGAACTGTGTTTCTGTTGCATTTTTCACTTTCTTTTTTGGAAAATTTGGCCATGGGACTGTAAAATAAATGGGTCAGTTCCAGCATTTGACTTCTGAAAGTATGCATAGCTTTAGGATCTGAGAAGGGATGAGAGAATTTGGAGGAAAGGAAGGGTGTGAATAGTGTGTGTGGTTATGAATTCAAGTATTTTACTGTACTTACTGAGTTTCATTATTTTACTTTATAAGGCAGAGCATCACTTGAGGAGTATTTATGTGAGATGTGGTTGAACGTTGTGATATGATGATTCCATGCAGCTTTTGTTAATTGTGGAGATTAACTACTTGCACCTTTTTTTTGGAATTAGAATGTAAATGAATCCGTGAATTTAAAAAATGAATTATGAGGTTAGGAATTGAGCCTTTGATCCTGAGAGTAGTGTTCTGTAGTTCTCACTGTTGAAAAAGGGTTAAGAAAACAGAACAGTAAACATGATTCAAGGAGTGTTGAGGGTGATAGATTCTGAGACTCTTCTACACCACAGTTTTATGTATTATCAAAGATAAATGGTGATTATTTAGTTTTAAAGAATGTTAGGATTAGAAATGAGGTCCCCAGATGGACACAACAATAGTTGAGGCTAGCTATTAGGAATAATTTAGGTCTAAGAGCTACGAGATTTGGAAGCCTTTGGACGAGAAGGTCTGTGGCATTTCGGGTGTTTGTGTATGTGTGCACGCACCTGTGTGCACGCAAAGGGTGAAGGATGGTGGGTTAGTGGCTTTACATTTTATTTTATTTTACCCCTATCCTGTATAGTAGTCATAATATACTAAATGCAGCCTAACTTTGTAAAAGTGTTTCATGCTGTTTTTTTCCTCCTCAAGAAGCAACTTTTTTTTTTCTTTCAGAATTAGGATTAAACCCAATATGCTGCAGATGTAGGATAAAGAACCTAGTAATGGGAGAGCAACTGTTAATTTTAGAAAGTTCTGAAAAGATTCAGGTAGATTTGAAAACTTAGATCATTGAAGTTTAGAAGAGCAATATGATAATGAATTTGGTAAAACTTGAGACAGGAGAAGATCAAAAATAATTAGTGAGCTGGGGCAGAACTGTTTTCTCTTATATAATCAGAACCTGTTCCATGAATGTAGACTTTTTTCCCCTCTGGGAGGTGAAGAGGACATAGAATTTAAGACTGGTGAGACCCTAAGTGTGTCTTCTTTCTTCCAAATCTGAGCTGTGTTCTCCTTCGTTTCTTCTAACACAATAGCAGAGTAATGATAGTTTCTATTATAGCTTTGCATCTGTTGGTATGCAATTAATACATACTGTGAGGTCACAAAGAATAGGCCCTTTTTATGCTATTAGTATGAGGAGGGGAGGAGTGAGTTTTCTAGAATTTGACTGCCCCTGCTTGTTTAGGAAGAAACTAGACAAGTACAGGCTTCTGTGTCTTAGTCCTGTTCAGGTCTCTGATTCCATCCATTGCAAGGGGCTCTGGACCCTGAAATCATATGAATTGGTGCCTTCTTTGAAGGTGTTTATTTCATATATTAGTGTATGTGGCTCTCTTAGGGTCCAGTTAGATTCCCCGCTCACCTGCTGCCCACCTCCCTCCTTTCCTCCCTTTCTCTCTCCTTCATATCCTTCTTCTTTCTCTCTCTTCCTTTACTGAGGTAGAGCTATCAAAATTATGAATGCTGTTAATAAAAGGTAATGCATTTAGGACATTGTGTATGAAACGCAGAAATTCAAAAATTTTTAAATTTCATTATTTGAACTGTGACAATCTGCTTGAGGAACTCTAATTTAGCTCTCTAAAGGTGAATTGCTTGCCACAGTTTTCTTGGCCATTACAGCTCACTTTTCTAATTTCTCAGCTTATGTCTGAATTCTAGTTAGTTTGTTTGCCAGAGCAAACCTTATAAATGATCAACTACATACAAATATTTTTAAAATGACTTAACTGTCATTTTAGCTTGCACTATACCTCACGGTGCCATACCCCCTTGTTACCTCTGGAGCCCTGGAAAACCCATGTGCAGTAAAATGGAGTCACAAGAGAAAAGCCCACAGTTTGTAAGTAATGGAAAATTGCTAATGCAAGTTGGGATTCATTTTTGGCAAAAAGTCTTTAAATTGCAAGTATTGTGTGGCTGCTATTAACTGAAGCACAGCCTGCAAATATAGATTGTGACTCTTGGTTACATGGGTGAAATCTGATATTTTCTTTCTTTTATTTTGTTTTTTTGAGACAGTGTCTTTCTTTGGTTGCCCAGGCTGGAGTGCAGTGGTATGCTCATGGCTCACTGCAGCCCCAACCTTCCTGGGCTCAGGTGATCTTCCCACCTCACCCTCCCAAGTGCTGGGACTACAGGTGCATGCCAGCATGCCCAGCTAATTATGTATTTTTTGTAGAGATAGAGTTTTGCCATGTTGCCCAGGCTGGTTTCAAACTCCTGGGCTCAAGCAATCCACCCTCCTCAGCCTCCCACAATGCTGGGATTACAGACGTGAGGCACTGCACCCGGCAAGAAATCTGATATTTTCAAACTGTGGCTAAGTTCTAAACCTGAGACTGAGTTTTAGTCATTGCCAGGGACAAGTTGTGATGACGCCTGAGGGATCTCATTTTCCTTGTTGTCCCCACACCTACCCTCGTCTGCAGCACAAAATCTCATTTTAAGTTTTTGTAAAGTTTCTGATGGCAGTAATATTTTAGAACTTAAAAGGAGGAATTAAGAGATTACAGTCCCATATTATAAGTATTTCTTAGTTGTTATGTTGAAGTAGACTTCTTTTTTCTTGTTTTCTTCTAGATCTCTTTGTTCAGTTATACTCGTTGGCTAAAGGTTGCTGGTTAAATGTTGTTTAGCGAAATATTCTATAGTTAAAATCTTTACAAAGAAAAAAGTAAGAATGAAGATGTGGATAGCACAATAATTGAACATTAGATTATTACTTGTTTTCTAGCCACATGATAGAAATTGCAGTGACTTCCACCCATTCTGTCTGTACATGTTCAGTTGGCAAAGAGAATGAAGGTCCTGGACCGTGCTTTTCTAAGAAATGATTTTATATAGTTGACATTATACTTTCACTGGAGCAAAAAGGGAAACAAGCATTTGATTAGTGTGTCTTACTGCATATTGTGGTCTGCTCCCTCATTTGTTACGGTGGTCACTATGATTGCTTGACAATTACAGTTTTGAGATTAATATGCAGAGCTAAATCTTTAGGAGGTATCCTAAAGTTAGGACCTAAACTTTTTCATAGCAGCCTTTTGATCCATTTTATTCCAGCCATTGCTAGTTGATGTGCTTTCTAAGCCGTGTGGCATCAGAGGCACAGATGTTGTCTTTAGTGATGTAGTTCTACCTCTCATTTTGCAAATGAAAACAACAGCCCACAGGGGTTAATTGACCTGTTCAAGATCACACTGGGAGTTAGAGGCTCTCACTGTTACCCTATGAATCTAGGAGTCTGCTTCTTGTAAGTTAGTACTGGGGAGTCCCAAGGATTGGGAACCTTGGAAGGAGATTTTTTAAAAACAAAAAGTCTTACTACAAATGTGGATGAGCACCCATGATTGTAAAGCTTCCCATTTCAGCTAAGAAATGTTCTGATTTACACAATATCAAGAACCTTTAAAAAGCGTTGTTCTCTCCCTGCGCTCTCTCCCAGTGTATCACCCTGAAATTAGTTGGCCTTTCTCTGTAGGTACATTCATCGTTTTTAAACACTGCCTCCCACCTCCCTTTTATAAGGATGTAAAATAAAAAAATAAATATTAGGGTGGTTTCTCATCATTGAATGTCTAGTGGAAAGATAAAATAATTATTTGGAAGTAAGATGACCTTAATGTGGCCCATGTAAAATTTTTAACATAATTTCTTTGTGTAAAATATTTTCTTTAGCCTAGCAATCTGTGGAAACTCAGAGCAACTTCATAACATTGGTAGCAGGATGTATGGAGTGAGTGAACTTTGGAGTATAGTGGAGTTGAAGGCTCAACGAAAATTTTCTTCGAGGAAATACTTAAAATATTAAATCCACATGACGTGTTGACTAAGGCATCTTGTCTGTTCATTGCTGAACCAGAACATTTATAACAACTGTTTCTCATGTGTATGTATTCATAGCCATTCATATAATGAAAAGAAGTTTTCATGGGATTGTAATAACATATCAAGATGGATGTAATTAAAACAGAAGCAGATTGACACCCTGAATTAAATGTAAACCATAAACCAGGATACCTGAGCATTGTGCCTTACATATTTGCTGTAGGGGGCAGTCAGCCAAATATGCAAATAAAAAGACATTGATGAATCTTCCTGGGTGTGTATGTGGTTGCAGAGAACCCAACTATTTTATTAATCTTTTATCAAGCATTGTTTAGATTTGCAGCAGCCATGGAATGTATTAATTTGGCAGACCAAATAGCTTAGGACCAGAAAGTAGGAAATAATAAAGGGAAGACATGATTGATACGCTGTCCTATAAATAACACATGCGACTGACAAAGGGGCTGAGTAATCTTTAGATCTGTGCTTCATTTCATTAATGGAGTTGTTAAACCAGGATGTTTGAGTTGAACTTCAATCAGAGAGGCTCTGCCTCCCATTTAAAATGCAGGCCTACCTCTACTCACTCTCTGGACTGATATGTTGACAAAATTGGTGTAAATCGAATTTTTGTAAATTGGATCAAATGCACTAGGGGAATCTTGCTGTGAAAAATATGAGTCCTTTTTATCAACTATAGTACTCCTCCTCTCTGCAGGGAGGCTGGGATTTTGGTGGAGTGAGTCTCTTCAGATGGGCATTGCTTCCTCTGAGACAGTTTCCTGCACGTGTTCCCGGTGCTCTGTTCCCCGTGCTCCTGGAAGACAGTGACTGTGAGATTTGCATTTTTTCTTCAGGTTTTATACCTCACTTGGTCGGTGCTTCCAGGAATAATTGGTGGTGATTTGAATAAGCCCGCATCATTCAGATTTCAGAGCTTGGTTTTCAAGTGCTTGCTAAGGAGGGCTCCCAGCTATGAATATGGAATATGATTTCCATATCTGTTCCATTGGGGAGTCCAGGCGTGTCATAACCACTTCAGAGTCATGATTGTATCGAGACACCCTAGCTGTAATTTTTCTATATGACAGTTCAGTTTTAAAATTGTAAAGATGCCAAAAGCAGGGCTGCATTGTTATTAGGGAAGTCAGTGACATCTGTTATATCTTGTTAACCAGGGGAGGAAAATGCTTTAATCAAAACATCTAATTATACCCTATGAACTGATGAAATATCCTTTGCTAAATTTTTGGAATTGGCCTTAATGGAAGAAGCTGGCCTCTATCAGAACTGTGAAGTAAATTTACCCTTTTTATTTGGAAAAATATTTATTCCTAACCATAGTGACATAAGGGTATTTTAATTGTATCAGATTACTTTTATATGTCTGTTGAAAATAGTTATTTTTCAGAAGTTGTTCAAGCCAGCATCACGTTTTTGTTTTTGTGCTCTCTGACTCCCTTAGCATATGAGGCCCCCAGAGGGAGTTTGTATTTCCAGATGTGAGCCTAGGAGGATATGTGGTGTCTTAGAGCCACCTGGGGAGGGAGCAAATGATAATTGCAGGTGAGATGCAGGGGGATAATTCAGCCTGTGTGCTGGGAGGTGCGATTTCACACCTGAATGTTGAGACCTGCTGTGTTAGACACTTGTGTTGTTTTAAAATGTTTTATTACTCTAATATAGAAATGGACCAGATTGTTCCAGGTCACCTTCAGTTGAAAGAATATAAATGTTTTTAAATATTGAAGTATAATGTGATTCCAGAAATGGTTCCTGTGTTTAAAAGTAGTTTTACATATATCTGAAAGCATTAAAATCTGTTTAACTCAGCATGTCTATACTGCCTCTACCTCTGTTGATCATTTTTTAAAAATTGTAGGCCGGGCGCGGTGGCTCACGCCTGTAATCCCAGCACTTTGGGAGGCCGAGGCGGGTGGATCACGAGGTCAGGAGATCGAGACCATCCTGGCTAACAAGGTGAAACCCCGTCTCTACTAAAAATACAAAAAATTAGCCGGGCGCGGTGGCAGGCGCCTGTAGTCCCAGCTACTCGGGAGGCTGAGGCAGGAGAATGGCGTGAACCCGGGAAGCGGAGCTTGCAGTGAGCCGAGATTGCGCCACTGCAGTCCGCAGTCCGGCCTGGGCGACAGAGCGAGACTCCGTCTCAAAAAAAAAAAAAAAAAAAAATTGTAAATTATTTTGGCAATGTGGCTTTCCACTTTGAATCATTCAAGCTTCAAACTGTCCAGTAAAACTATCCTTTTATCTATATTTCAAAACTAGAATTAATTTTAACTATAGCTGTTAGTTGTTTCCAGAATCACTGACGATGATTATAATATTAATGATAGTACATTATTGATAGTCTTAATGCTGGGATATGGATTATTTCTGAGAAATGATTAGGTCTGAGAAATGCTTTATTTCTTAGTTTTGGGGGTATTTCATCTTTCTGACATGGTTTTCCCATGTATGGAGATCTTGGGGCCCACCTGAAGGAGTTTTTTGAAGTGTTGACTGTGACACTATGGGCTTCATGTTTACTTTGGGATCTGGTGGGAAGTTCAAGTGCTATTAATTTTTCCTTGGTCTGTTTTATGCTTTGTAATGGCTTTCTGTGTGTTTTTTGGGAGTTAAGACTAGAACCTTGGAAAAGAGAGAGCCAGAGTTTTCTCCCTATATTTCTATTTTAAAACTTTTTTTTTTTTAGACATGTTCTCGCTCTGTTGCCCAGGCTGGAGTACAGTGGCGCAGTCATGGCTCACTGCAGCCTCGACCTCCTGGGCTGAAGTGATCTTCTCACCTCAGCCTCCTGAGTAGCTGGGACCACAGGCGCGTCTCACCACGCCTGGCTAATTTATTATTTGTAGAGACGGAGTCTTCCTATGTTGCTTAGGCTGGTCTTGACCTCCTGGGCTTAAGCGATCCTCCCATCTTGGCCTCTCAAAAGTGCTGGGATTATAGGCATGAGCCACTGCGCAGCATTTTATTTCTTATGTATTGTTATTCTCTCTGTATTCTCTGCCTAAATGTAACCCCTGCACTCTTTCTGTATATATCCTTCTGGGGATATTTGAGGCTTTCAGAACTGTTTCTTTCTTCACTCAGTAATCTATGCATAGTAGGTACTCAGTCATTGCTTATTTACAGTTGACAACAATTCCATGAAAAGAAATTTTTGAAGAGGGAGCTGCTATTTACTATTCGCCTTGTGCCAGGCATTGTGCTAGCAATTTTGCATTCGTTATCCCATTGACGCACCCCATGAAAAAAAGAATAATAATCTCTGTTTGATAGTTGAAGAAACTGAAGCACAGAGCCGTTAAATCAACTTGGCCAGGATCAGTATAAGAGAGGCAAGAAATGTAGCAGTTTTTGCCTGACTTGAAAGCTTGGGCTCCTTATCCCTTTACTCATTTTCATACAGATGCATTTTGTGAAAGATGGCCACATGGTCTCTAGTAGACCACATTTGTTCATTGTTGTGCTGAAAATTGTTACAAAGGATTTTCTAGGTATAATAATAGGATTTAGGGAGGGGAGAGTACTTATTGTCCAGGTCTTTATTTCCTTTGAAAAGTTGGAGCTTACAGTTAGGTTGCTGCCACTCATACAATATATCTGTAACATATTCGTTGTTGTTTTTTCTCTGTTTCACTGTTTCTCCCTGTTATAAAATCTGACCTTTTCCCGGGTTATACTACTCAGGTAGATTTTAAACCATTGTCAAAGGCAAGGATTCAGGCTGATGATATAGAGGGTTATTGTATGTCAGTGTCTGTTCTAAACCCTTGCACTCATTTATCTCACTGAATTCTAAAAGTAGCTCTCTGGAACACAAATGTAAAATTGGAATGAGGACTAGCATGCCCTCACAGATTACTGTGCATATAAGCTTATATTCTGCTATAGATTCTGAAGTATTTTGTCTTGTCTGCTTTTAAACTGTTCTAGGAAGCAGCACTTGTCTTGAGAATCTATTTCACAATAAAAGAGACCTTGTTTTGAGGGCTAGGTGTATTTTTTTAAAATCTATTAGGAACTCTATTCTTTCTGGTAAAAGACCACACTAAATAGCTCTTTTTGCTTTTCTTGATATCTGTATCTTGAAGATACCAGGTGACAAATAGTCCATTGATTTCCTCTGTCATTGTTTCCTTTCATTATTCTAAGCAGATTTGCAAATTGTTCTCTCCCATTTCCCATTCCACCCTGTTAAGGTTTGTTTATGCTACAAAGAGTATGCTAATGAATATAACTGTTAGATTTACTTCTTAAGGAAATCCCAACTGCATTTAGAGTACTGTACATTTTTGAGAAGGCTCCTCCTCATTTCCCCTCGGCTAAGATGGGCCTCCTCACAGGTCATTCTCTGGGACTTCACGATTCAGAACTGGTCCATTACCATTCATTTACAAGGAATGGGGGTTAGTATAAAGATACACACACAGAATACCCTCACTGGGCCTGAATTTTCTAAAGATTTCTAGATGAATATGAAGATCAGTCAAGTTACACACTTCTCTCAAGAGTCACTCTCCGTCTCTTTCTTTCTTTCTTTCTTTCTTTCTTTCTTTCTTTCTTTCTTTCTTTCTTTTTTTAAGAGATGGGATCTCACTCTGTTTCCCAGGCTGGAGTGCAGCAGTAATCATAGCTCACTGCATCCTGAAACTCCTGGCCTCAAGCGATCCTCCTGCTGCAGCCTCCTGAGGACCTGTTGGTGTGTGTCACCATGCCTGGCTAATTTTTTAATTTTTTTTTGTAGAGACAGGGTCTTGCTGTGTTGCCCAGGCATTCTCAAACTCCTGGGCTCAAGTGATCCTCCTGCCTCAGCCTCCCAGGTAGCTGGGACTGCAGGTGTGAACCACTACCCCTGCTAATTTTTTTTGGAGGGGTAGAAATGGGGTCTTGCAATGTTACCCAGGCTGATCTAGAACTCCTGGTCTCAAGTGCTTCTCCTGCCTTCACCTCCCAGAATGCTGGGATTACAGGTGTGAGCCACTGCGCCCATCTGAGTGTCCGTATGAAGAGAGGTGGCAGTTTCTTCTTGGAATCACCATGCTCTGAGACACACAGTCTTGCCTTTCTCTCTCCAACTGTCTCAATAAACACAATTGCCCCTTTGTATGTCCCGAATGGAAATACCATACTAGAATTCTATTTTACAGATTGTAATTGTTGGGGAGACCCAAGTCAAAACATGTTCTTTGAAATTTAAATATAACTGTAAAAGGAACCACAAAGTCTAGGGCTTTAAAGGTGATCTTTTATGCTTTGATTTTATGTATTTGTAAAATACAAGTTCTATATTGACTCTAGGGCCTGTCTCAGATTGTAAACCCTTAGATAGTAACTGTGTCTTTTTAACTGTTCCTTGTATCCTTCCTTGCCCCTCTGGTGGTCTATAATACCCCTGTTGTGATGATTTTGATTAAAGAAACATAGTGTGAAGATGGGCTGTCAGGGATGGGTGTCAGTTTCACTTCAGGGTAGTGGGTGCCATCTATTTTCTGATTACAGGTGAACATTACTTTAGCATTATTTTTTTTTGAGACAGAGTCTTGCTCTATCGCCCAGGCTGGAGTGCAGTGGCATGATCTTGGCCTACTGCAACCTCTGCCTTCTGGGTTTAAGCGATTCTCCTGCCTCAGCCTCCCGAGTAGCTGGGATTACAGGTGCCCACCACCACACCTGGCTAATTTTTGTATTTTTAGTAGAGACAGGATTTCTCCATGTTGGCCAGGTTGGTCTCGAACTCCTGACCTCAGGTGATCTGCCTGCCTCAGCCTCCCAAAGTGCTGGGATTATAGGTGTGAGCCACTGCATCCGGCCTATTTTAGCATTCTTGTTGTAGATTTCTACATCTGCTGCCCATATTTCAGCTGTACTCTTATTTTGTTTAGTATGGTGTACCTGGGATTAGGGACAGACAAATATGTATGCTCAGCCTGATTTGGAAATTACATTGTTGAAATACAGCCCATATGGCCATTGTAAAATGGTTAGTGCTGCATATAATTGCCTTTCCAATGATGTGCTTTGTCATTACTTCCATCTTCCAAGAAGCACTCCTGTAGCATGCTGACAGCAATAGCATCATTAGAAAACATATGGACATGCAAAGGCATTAAATCGTCTTTAGTTTAAGGATTAGATTACAGTGTTAGAGGATAGGTCACCAGGCTTGCAATCGATGACTCTTGCTTAGTTCAGCACTGCTAGACTGGATGATAGAGATTTGCAAAAGTCCTATTTACTTGTCTGCTGAGTGTATTTCATATCTTCCCTGCAATTGTGAGAAGGTCCTTTAGCTGTGTATAAGCCTCTATCACAGTATTGCAGCCAGTTGGCTTCTCAGGAGTGTTTTTTTCAACTATTCATGTCCTGTGCAGAATTCTTTTCTAGGATGCTCCCTCAACCTCTGTTTTTCTGAATGTGAGCCCAAAGCAGGCTAAGCCAGGAATTATTTTATTTGGGGGTCATTTAGATATAAAAAGAGACTAAGTGGTGGAGTCAAGAAAGTACCAGGTGGCTGCCATGTTGCCCAAATATTTCCTCCCTTGTACAGCATCTATCTCCACATGGGTCTCAAGTCCACCTCCCTTCTTCCTTTCCCCTCTTAGAAGCAATGGGATTATTGCAGCCTAGAGGCTCAGTGGTAGGTCCTAGAGGCCGAGGGACCATGTGATAGAGCCTGGAAAGAGACCACCCCCTGAATCCTGCCCTTTGTAGTTGGATGTTTTTTCCCCCCACAACTAGATAGGTTTACTATCTGGCTGTAAATATTCTAGGGATGCAACAGTTGTGGGACATGGTATGATTTGAATTTTCAGGGTCCTTTTTGTAGTTGCCAGTGAATAGTAAGTGAAATCGCAGAATGGAACATCATTCATCAAATTTAATATTTCTTCTTTGGAGTTTAACAGAAATAATGTGGATTTGGGGACTTTCAGAGTGATAAGGGACTTTGGAGATCCTCATGGGCAGTGGTTTTGGGTACCTCAGGGTACGCTGAGTCATTTGAGGGGAGATCCTGACTTTATTAAATCAGAACTCCACCTTTACCTGTCTTCTATATTTATACTTATGTATTAGGATTACATTCTCTTTGAGAAGAAAAAAGTGTCTGGATTTGTTTATTCTTTCATTCAAAAAAAATTTATTGACAGCTTCTGTGTGCTAGGCAGGCAGTACTCCAGGCACAGGAAGTACCATAGTAAATTAGAAAAAATAGATATCTATTTTAATGGAGTTTATATTCTAACAAAGGATGGGGGGACATACTGTAAATAAACAAATATATAATATGTTGGGAGGTGACAGGGGATTTTATAAAGCAGGGTAAAGCAAGAGTGAGAACTTAGCACAGCAGGTCCTCAAATAACATTGATTCTTTTCATTATAATGTTGATGAGAAAAAAAATTGATTCCTGGCCAGGGCAACTGTGTGGAGTTTGCACCATCTCCTCATGTATGGTAAAATTGCTTTCATTATGCATCGTGTCACGTATTTAACTGAGGACTCACTTGTATGTGTATGCTTACGTGATGCTTTATCCAGGGTGGGTTAGATAAGGCTCCTCTGAGGAGGTGATATTTGAGCAGAAACTTGAAGGAAGCGAGGGAGCAAGAAATACAGATAACCCGGAGGAGAGCTTTCAAGGAAAGGGGAGAACAAGTGTAAAGGCTTTGAGGAAGAAGGAGTGGCATGGTATGTGAGCAACACAGGAGATGTTGGCGGCTGGAACAAAGCCATTGAGGAGGGGACAGAGAGTGGGGAGGGGCCTGCAGTCACTTTAACTGAGTGACGCCAGAAGCTTAGAAACAGCAGAAAGCAACTGTCCAAAGCCCTCATTTCCCAACTGAAAGTGTTTTTGAATTTCCCCAAGGTCACCCAGCTGATGTATAAACAAGAGCACATCTGGAGCTCACGTTATATTCTTTTAAAGTAGCTTCTCATTGTACCTTGTGCCACCACTCCAGGTCTTAGGAGACATGGGGCATCTTTTTGGAGACAAGATTTGTGTCTCCTTTCCTGTTAGTGGGTATGGCTCCTCCAAGAGATGTGCTTCAAGACTCTACAGAATTCCAGTGCCCAGTCATCACAAAGTGGGAAACGGCTTTGCCAGTGCCAGAATCACCACCATTTGGGGAATTATTTTAACCACAATGGCTCATGTTTATCACAGGCTTACTGCTTGTGATGTTTGTTGTACCCAGAGCTTTACATGCATTAACACATCTAACCCTCACAACAACTCTGTATAATAGGTCACATTATCATTATTTTAGAGATGAGGAAATTGAGGTGCAGAGAAGTTAAGTAATTTCTGTATGGTCATGCAGATAGAGTTGTAGAGTTGGGATTTGAATTTAGACTATTTGCTTCAGGGCCTGCACTGAGCCTCTGACAAAGAGGAGGGGGATGAGCTTGTCTCTAGATAAACTAATTGGAATATGCTCCCCTCGCCTCCATTTTAAGATGGTTCTAGGTAGGGCCTAGCCTTGGGAGTAATACCAACTTGTCACAACCCACTTCTGTGACTCCAGGTGTTAGTTTGTGTAGAGGATTTCACAGCCAGTCTGGCTCAGTACTGGCAACTTTGCTGATTTTAGGTGGATTCCTGATTCAGCAGGTACCTTTGGTCTTTCTGAGCTGAGTTTGACTGGAGCGTTTTTCAAGACCTGCATGAGAGTGTGTTACGGAATACAGGCCAGTGTTTTCAAGTCAGCGGACCCAGTTTTAGCTGGTCTGTCTTTTTTAGCCCCAGTGAAGTAAAAGCCCCAGACACCACCAGTGCCCATAATCCATAGGAATGTAAAATCATCTTTTTAGTACTGGTGCTTTTGAGGACCAGTACACTATGTGCTTGCTTTAAATTTGTCTAAAAATGTATGCATATGTAGATATGTGTATATATGACTATGAAATATTTTCTAGGTATGGAAAAGTATAAAGCATAACATAGCCAACACCCATGTACCCACCACCAACTTTAAAAAACCTTATGACTTTACTGTAATTTTCTTAAAATTGTAGGTTATTTTTAGTGAGCAGGAACCACAGTCAACCGTAAGTTTTAGAGTCCAGGAGGCTCAAACCTGGCCACACATTAGAATACCCTGGGGATACCCTGGGGAGCTTTAAAAAAGTCCTTGTACCTCTGGGAGGGTGCAGGAAGCCCCCACCTCTATCATCAGAATTTTAAAAAGCTCCCCAAGGCGAGGATTCTATCATGCAGTCAGGGTAAGAGACCTGCTGTTTGGAGGGTTGTGTTTGGTTTTTCTTCACTGGGTTCTCAGATGCCTGGTACCAAGCCATGTGTGGTACTCCTGGACTTTATATTTCATTTTCTTAAAGCATTTTTTAATGTGGTTCTACTTTCAAGATTCTGGAGGGTAATGTCCTGGGGAGTTCCTCTCCTTAGACTCTTCCCTCTTCAGCACCTTATGAGGCAAGCTGCGGATATATTTACATATTCATTACAAAGCATAAGCATCAGGAACTTAGAGAGTAGGAGTGAGGCATTAGAGAGGGGACTAAGAAATTCAGAAGTATTGGGAGCTACTGTCTGTTGAAAGTGTTTGAGATGAGTGAAAGTTATAGCATTACCTTGGAAGTCAGGGGGATGCAGGGTTACATTTAGAAAACCTGGAGTCACACATACCTTCACAGGAAGGCTCTGAGCTGTGGGATGGTAGTTGAGGGCCTTTTTGGTCTACATCACAGGTTTATCAGTGAAATATGTGGTAAGATGTACAAATAAGATGTGCCCCACCACCAGAATGATCAGTTCTGTGTGGACACGTCCGTGACTGTACCCTCTTTCAGAAGTGCTATCAATTATGTGTTATGTGTGGCCTGATTATCCTCTGTGGGCCTTGGCTCCATGCAGCACCTCCATCCCCGTCTGCCCACTCATTCATTCAACAAATAGTTGCTGAGTTTCTCTTCTCTATGCCAGGTTCTGTTCTAGGCACTTGGGATAAAAACAGTGAACTAAACAAAGCTTCTGCCCTCAAGGAATGACATTCTGGGGATGTGGGGGAGAGGTGGGTGAGTGGGTGGTGTTACATTCTGGTGTCGCATTGTTTTTTGATGTGTCTAACACAGAAAAAGATGTGTAACTGTAATCCTCCTTTAGAAAGCTCTAGGGGAGCCATTTGGCAGGTAGGGAAGTGTTTTGCCTAATTTGGCTTAAATTATGATTTTTTGATTCTGAGGATTTTGATTACAAATGCCTTCATGAATCTACTTCTTCAAGAGAAATTAAGTGCTGAGACATTAAAGCTTCCAGGGACCTTTTGAATTGGTTGGATTTTATTAGCAGCTTAAAATGAGCATGACATACAGTAAGGTTCAAGCTTAGGGGAGATGCTGAAGAAATAAGGATACTTGATTTTCTTTCCACTTGAAGTGGAATCCACTAATCCATCTGTGCTCATAAATTTGAGAGAAGGAGGGCGGAAAACGAAAGTTTATTTCTAGGGCTCTCTACTGGGCAAGGCTATCAGGTTACCTTCATTGAAAAGACTTAATCAGAAGTGAAACTTAAATCTGTTACAGTCTTCCACAGCTGTCCAGGGAATTGGGCACTGATGAATACCGTCAGATGGACCCCTGAATAGAGGGAATGCCTTAGAGGTCATGTTTGGAGTTAGTCAATAAAATGGATCTCGAGAAGAAAATAGAAAGTTTGAGGGAAAAAAATTACTGGAAAAGAAATCTTAAAGCTTTTGGGTTAGATGTTAGATGGATGACGAAAACAGTGGGTGATATGATTTCCTTTCTGGATTACCATCTTCATCAGATATTGTTGTCGACTACAGAAAAAATATTCCCAGCACGTAAGGACTCTTTATACCTGTGAGCTCTTAAAAAGAATCATCTAAAATACTAAAAAAGCAAGAATATGTTGTTTCACTAGCTTTTGATTCCTAAAGTAGATTTTGACTTCCGGGTGTGGGAAGGTGGGTGGAAAATGAGTTTTTGTTAATATTCAAAGGCATGAAAACATTTTTACCAGTTTATGTTTTCCTGGTGCATTTAGAAATCTGTGGATCCTTGGGGATGGTGTATGCAGGCAAATAGAGAATCCAGTACTTGTGAATCTGCCTGAATCCACAGGTTTGGGAATAAGGGCAGGGACTTGAGGGTTCACAGATGTGAAGGTTGTACACAGAACTCATGCAGAGAGATACAAGATCTTTTTGTTCCCCCTTTGATTAGAAAGAATAGGACATGAAAGTACTTAATTGTCAACTTCGTCTTCACCATAAGCCCAGTATTGATGCAAAAATGATAATAATAATGAGAACAAGCATTTATTGAGTATTGGGTATTCTAATTGCTTAAATCAACTCATGTAATTCTCACAGAGTGGTTCTATGAGGTTGGTGCCGTTTTGATTCCTGTTTTAAAGGAGAGGAAACAGGCACATAGAGTTTACACCCAAGGACGAGTGTGTCAGTGGTGGAGCCTATACATTCTGGCTCCAGAACCCGACTTGAACCACTACATAAGGGAACTAAATAAATGCTTCTTAAGAGTTTTATTCTGATGTTGCTTTTACTGGGACTTTCACTCTTTTTTCTACCCAACCCACCCCACCCCTACCCCACTCGCCTCCACTTTATCTTTGGATGTCTTCAGAATCTATAATATATCTTAAGCTTGCACCTTATTACAGATGAGAAAATAGAGAGCTATAAAATTATGTTATATAATTGTTCTGTATGACCTAGTGAATCTTTGGTAGAACAGGGATGTGGAACCCAGGTTTTCTAATATTTAGGTCACTGCTTTTTCTCACTGCACTGTATGGCTTCCATTAAAAATATTTTAAACTAACTGAACTAAAAATTTATAAACTTAATTTGTGTCACTCATACTTCTGTGGATGAACTACATTAAAATAACTAGGTGCTGTGAGATTTTGCTCTAGGGAGGAGGGTGGTAGACATTTTAGGAGCTAACATTTGCCTCTGGGGTTATTTGACCTCCTCCTGAGGATGTCTTTCTAATCTTTGGTAGGCGTACTTAAAAGTGAGGAGAAAGTATTTGAGGAAATACAAGAGCCATTCGCAGACTTTAGTATGATCTGTGGGTTTATGGAAGGGCTTTTTTTTTTCTTTCTTTCTTCATTTAGGCCTTTTTTACTTTAACCTCCAGTGGGGACACAACTAACTTAAATCTTAAAAACAAATAAACAAACAAAAACCCTAAATACAAGCCTTCTTTCGCTATTGTTTGGCAAATAAGATTTCACAAGAGGGTAGAAAGAACTGCCTTGATTCTTGGTGTTTTAGACTTTCCTATAGTCTAGTTTTTTGTTTTTGTTTGTTTTTTCTTTTGGTCCTGTGATTCCTTTTGTTGTTACCTGTTTCCTTGGCTAATGCTTTGTTTAAAAACAAGTGCTCTGGTATTCCAAAACAAATTTCCAGCAGGCTTCCCGATTGTGTTCTCAGATAAAAGACCCCAGGGTAGTGCTTTAACTTGAATTTTGGTTGCCTATGCATGCCTGAGAGCAAAATTCAGTTTACTAGGTGGCTTCCAACCCAGATTAATATGGTTATATCTAAAACGAGGGAATATACATTTGAAACAGGAAATGTGGATTGGATTTACCCTTTCAAAGAGCCCTAATGTGAATGTAATGAGTAGAGTTTTGTCTGGGGTTAGATACTGTGGGCTCCAGTTTGTTTTTGAGTTTTTAGCTGAATGAATGACTTTAGTCCTGTCATTAAACCTCTGGAAATTTAAACTTTCAACAATGTAATAATGATAATGAAAATAGGGAAAGGCTCCTAGACTGTGCTGTGGAAAAACACATGTTCAGATTTTACTGAAGACCCAGAATCCCATGTGGCCACAGATAATTTGATTTCACAGTTTCTATTTCTAGATATACAGGATGGGGTTGCCAGCAGAAGTTACATAGTGATAATAACATATCAGCTTCCTTTTTAGGGAAGATATTGTAATTGTGAGAAAAATATTCAGAAAAGCCTTGGCCAAATATTGTTTGTAGTTGGTAAGAGAATACTCAGTTATTAAAGCTTCTGCGAACCTTTTCCAAATAATTACACTTTTTCCCTAAAGGAATCCTCCCACCTCAGCCTCCTAAGTAGTTGGGACCACAGGTGCTCATTACCACACCTGGATGGGTGGATGGATGGAGATATATATATATTTGTAGAGACGGAGTCTCCTTATGTTGCCTAGGCTGTGTTACATTTTTTGTCACACATGTTGGGTATGGAGAATTTGGAGTAGGTAGTTTCAGATTTGCACATCACAAGTTCTTGCCTTGTGCAGTGGTTTCTAAACCGAGTTGCATATCTATACTCCATGGTAACTTGGTAAACATACTGATTCCTGGACCCTGTGTCTGATCTACTAAACATTAATCCCTGCTCTGTGGCTCTGGAACATTAGTGTTTTGTTTTCTTTTTGGGGTTTGTGACAGGGGGACAAGGTCTCGTTCTGTCACCCAGGCTGGAATGTAGTGGGACAGTCATGACTCACTGCAGTCTCAAACTCCTGGGCTCAAGCAGTTCTCCTGCCTTAGCCTCCCAAAAAGCTGGGACTACCACCACCACGCCCAGCAATTTTTTTTTTTTTTTTTTTTTTTTTGCAGGGGTAGAGACAGGGTTTCACCATGTTGCCCAGGCTGGTCTTGAACTCCTGGGCTCAAGGAATCTAGCTGCCTGGGCCTCTCACAGTGCTGGGATTATGGGTGTGAGACACTGTGCCTGGCCTGGAACATTAGGGTTTTTTGTTTGTTTGTTTGTTTGTTTTTAACATCAAGTTCCAGTATAGAAGTTTCAGAAACACTATTTCTTAAAATATTTTTGAGTGTTTTCCTGGGGCAGTGGTAATGGTGATGGTTTACAATAATTTATTTCTATGCTATGTAACTTTTCTGAAAAGAAAACATTCCTGTGTATTTGGTTTTAAAACCTTATTTACTGTAAAATAGAACACATCCTGGAAAAAGTGTAGTGTACAGCTCAATGAATGATCCAATGAATGATCACAAAGTGAATACCCAGGTAACCAGTACTCAGGTAAAGAAATAGAACATTGCCCCCTCCCCACAAAAAATGATTTTTATTAGATTCCTCAAATTTTCTTTTCTATTCCTCCTCAAATCCCAAGAAATTAGAGATATAAGTAAAGGTTGATGAAACAATATAATAAGGTGTAAGTGAAAAAAGCATTGTCTTTTGGTAGGTGGTGTTTCTTAATTACTCTTTTCAGTAAGTTTTTGGTGATGTTAAGTTTGTGTTGTTTATCTATGTTTTGATTCAGCCTTAAGCCAGTTCTTGACAGTGACTGTCTATTAATGCTCACAGCTGATATTAAGATTACGTTCTAAGATCTATCTTTTCTGCAATCTGTTTCACTGAAAATATTCTCATGATAGTTTTGAAAATGCGTAAGGACAGATTATCTTCTGACTCTAATAAACAAGTGAGTCTTGTCATTACTGTCCAGGTAACTTAGGAAACCTGTCTCAGTAGCCAGGTATCTTTATCTGGTACATGATAAAATGTGGTTTCTTAGTTTTTTTTAAAAAAAGTTCCTTCCTCCTCTCTATCCACCCAGAATAATCTCTCCTCCATTCCAACCCAATCAGAACATTTAAAGCCCTGATGGTTTTTCTTTTTTCCACTGAAGAATCATTCAATTCTTAGTGAGAGAAGGTCTAGCTGTATTAAATAGCAAGCTTGCCCATTTTCTTTGGAAAGGGATGCTCATGGTAAAAGGACCTCAAGCAAACCCTGCACTTAAGCTGTGTGCAAGTGGAGGGAGAGAGCTGTCTGCAGCCACCTGCCAGCAGCTACACATCTGTGCTCTGCTAGCAAGCATGTGGGCTCTGTGGATGTGAGAGCTGCTCCCTTTCCCCTCTCTGCCTCATGCTCCCCCATCTTAGTGATCGCCACTATCAACTAAACAGGTGACAAGACTCCAATCACCCTGCTCTGAATGGCTCTCCATCTTCCCAAAAGTATACCAGAGGCCTGTTTTGTTTCAGTACATTGATTAAATAAATATTCCTGTGTGCACAAAGGAACTGAAATCTGTTATGGCACTCTGCAGTTATCTGTCCATTAATAGTGGAGAAACTACTGCCAGTTTTCTCCCCTCGGTGCCCCCGCCCCCCACCCCCTTTCTTGTCACTACCACGCAGATTCTCAAAGGTGCCAGTAACAGATAAATTATCTGACCTCTGCTTTCAGGCTTGTGTGAAGCGGGAGGAGTGGTGTCATGCTCTTTGGTGAGGCATGCCGTTGGGGCAGTGCCCAAGTGTATGGATAATAGGAGAGCCCGAATGATTTAGATTAGAAGATGCTTTCTTGCTTTGGGGTTGTGGGACCTTTGTCTCTCCCCTTCAATTCTTAGCAGAAGCGGACTCAGAAAGGTCTTTCAAATTAGCTTGCCTCTCTTTTATAGGAAAAGGGTGCTTCTGGCCCTGAAGTAGTTCTGTGTGTCTACTGTCAGATGTGGAAGCCACAAAGTGCCTGTGAAACTTGGTCCCTTGCGTTTATTTACAAGTTTCTTTCAAATGGCAGTGGCAGGAAGGATCTTTACCATTTGGGCAGATAGCCCTAGTGGTTGATGGGAGGGCTTGGTGGAAGGGCAGGCTTTGTGAAAGATCCAAGTGTGGAATGGTAGGAATTCTAGCCATGGTGGTGCTGACTGGTTTCCTTTCTTTTTTGGCGGGGCAGGGGCTGGGGTGGAGTGTTGGTTAAAAGAACACCTAGATAAAAAACATGACGGATTTCGAAAGTGTTATTTGGGCTGCGCACGGTGGCTCATACCTGTAATCCCAATACTTTGGGAGGCTGAGGCTGGAGGATCCCTTGAGTCCAGGGGTTTGAGACCAGCCTGGGAAAAACAGTGAGACCCTGTTCTATAAAAAATTTAAAAATTAGCTGGATGTGGTGGCTTACAATGGTAGTCCTGTCTACTCGGGAGGCTGAGGCAGTAGGATCACCTGAGCCCAGGAGATTGAAGCTGCAGTAAGCTGGGATTGCCCACTGTACTCCAACCCGGGTGCCAGAGTGGGGCTCTGTCTCAAAGAAGAAAAGAAAAGAAAAAGACAGGGAAGGGAAAGGGAAGGAGAAGAAAGAATGACAATGGAACATAGGAAATTAGGGTTGTAGAGAAGACTCTATGAACATTATTGTGGTGTGAAGGAATGGCATGCAGAGATAAGTGTGATGGAAGGGAGGTGTTGAAATGTTTACAGCTCCTAACATCTACCACCAAGGAGGGGGCACCCCTTTGACAGAAACGAGAGGGTGTTCCTGAGTAGTTGTGACATTAAAAAAAATTGCAGGGAACCTTGTAGCTGCATGGATGGCAGAGACACATAAGTAGGGAAAAATGTTGGAATAGGTAAAGTGAAATCTCTTAGTGTGTGTGTCTTCCAACTGACTGTGGGTAATTAGTTGGAAATGACATTAACCTGAGCTTAATTGTAATTTTGCATAGTAACAACATACCAGCTGTTCACTGTATTCTTTCCTGGAGGTGCGATTTAATTATTATTATTTTTTTTTGCTATCTTTTAAGCTCCAATTTTCTGTTATGTTTTACTTAAACCCCGCCTGGTTGCCGTGTCCACAGTCCCCACAGTTTAGCAGTAATGTCATTTTTGTTGCTTTCATGCCCACTGTGTGCTGAGGGCTTGGGATGCTCTTGATTTTGCTAATGACTTGGATTTATAAAGGGCCACATTGGAAGGTCACTGAGAAGCATGGGTGATTGGAAACCTTGTGTTTTGGGCTCTTCCACAAGGTTTTAGTTTATTATATAAATCATATGCATAATTCTAGGCCTATCAGAGGTGCTCAAAGTATCAAGTGAACAAGCTGAAAGAGAAGTTAATTACTGAACAGTGATTGTTCTGATATAACCAATTATTGGATCATTAAATGTTTATTACCTTTTATATGCTCCTTTCCCCCATAAGGGCAGTTTCTTTTTTAAGTCATTAAAACAGAAATGGGATCTTAAAAAAATTCTGCTTAAAAAATTTCCACGAGACTGAAGTATTAAAAAGGTCTTGTGTGATCTGACAGCTAAATAGCCTGTTTTTCTTTGGTCTGTTGAATTAGTAATTAATGAAATGTATTGCCTGAGCAGAGAAAATAAGATTAGTTTTGTTTAGGAAGAAAACAAAAGCAAAACATTAACCCCCAAATGCAGGTTAATATTAAAGTGCAGTATAAGAAATAGAAATAAAACAGTCTTCTTGAATGATAAGATGCCTAATGGTAACATTTGTTTCATTCATTCATTCGTCACTTTCTTGAGCACCAACATTATGTTTAGAAGGAATGGGTTTATGTAAATACAGAGGAGGCAAGGTGCCCTGTCCCCAAAGACACATGGGTTAGCAGAGCAGTTAAACCAGACACTTTAGGCGGCCAGGCACAGTGGCTCACACCTGTAATCCCAGCACTTTGGGAGGCTAAGGTGGGCGGATCCCTGAGGTTGGGAGTTGAAAACCAGCCTGGCCAACATGGAGAAACCCTGTCTCTATTAAAAATACAAAATTAGCCAGGCGTGGTGGCACATGCTTGTAATCCCAGCTACTTGGGAGGCCGAGGCAGGAGAAACACTTGAACCCAGGAGGCGGAGGTTGCGGTGAACTGAGATCACGCCATTGCACTCCAACCTGGACAACAAGAGTGAAACGCCGTCTCAAAAAAACCCCAAAAAAACAAACAAAAAAAAACAATAAAAAAACTCAGACACTTTAGTAGCTACTGTTGCAATGTAGAAAGTGGTAGGATAATAGGTACAGGGGCATTTCTTTGGGGAGGAGTGGTTATGAAGACAGGTTACTTCTGGAGGCTGAGGCATCCTGTGGATTAAGAGTAGGGGAGAGCATGGTTATGAAGATGAATCTTGCTTTTTGAGGTCACGGTGTCCTGTGGATTGAGTAGAAGCCCCATTACTTGGGTTCACAGCCCAGCTTTGCCACTACCTAGCTGTGTGACCATTTATCTCAGTTTCCTTGTGTATAAAATGGAATAATAGTAATGCAACCCTCACAGGTTTGAGGATTAAATGAGTTATTATATGTGAAGTGCATATAACAGTTTACAGCACATAATGAACATTATAATCTTAGGTTGTGGTTATGTCATTTTTGTGGGATAATGTGATAGAACTTCTTAGGGGAGATTGCATTTGATTGAATGATGAGGAGCGGAAAGATGTTTCAGGCATTTCTTGTATTGTCCCATGTAGCCACATACCTAATTTATAATGCCTGCAGTAATGTGTCGGTAATGTGTGCTTATGTAGTGCCATTGTCAAAAGATTACAAAGGGCATTTACAGACGTTTATTCTAAGAACAGTCCCCTGAAACGAGATGGTTTATGCATATTCTTCTGAAGTGTGAGAGGGTGCAGAGCAAGCCCATCCTGTTCTTCCATTGAGGTGTGCTTGGAGCCTGTGTTTGTTGTGGGTAATTTAGACTCACAGAGAGAGGAAACTTTTAAATCTTTTAAATTATATCTTAAATTCTTAAGTTATATTTGCAAACAAATGTGGTAAATAGATTTTAAAAATGTTTTCTGTAGCTTCTAGCAATAGTGGAACTTGTTTATTCCTGAGGTACCAGATCATAGGCAGTTGAATTTAGAGGAAGTTTATAATAATGAACATTTGTCGTAACTGTGAGGTTGCCACTCTGTATTAGTTTTCACACTGCTAAAAAGAAATTCCTGAAACTGGGTAATTTTATAAAGAAAAGAGGTTTAATTGGCTCATCATTCCACAGGCTGTACAGGAAGCATGGCTGGGGAGGCCTCAGGAAACTTACATGGTGAAAGTTGAAGGGGAAGCAGGCGTGTCTTCATATGGCTAGAGCAGGAGAAAGGGAGAGGGGGAGATGCCACACTTTTAAACAAGCAGATCTCATGAGAACTCTTTCACGAGAACAGCAGCAAATGGAGAAATCTGTCCCCCAGGATCCAGTCACCTCCTACCAGGCCCCACTTCCAACATTAGGGGTTACAATTCAACATGAGATTTGGGAGGGATACAGACCCAAACTATATCTTATTATCCTCATTTTACAGTGAGGAAACCGAGGCACTGAGATGTTCAGGAGTGTTGCTGAAATCAAAAAGAAGTGTTGACCCAGGATCTAAGGTCTTTATTGCATTTGCGTAAACCATTTCATTTGATTTGTGTGTTTTACAATAACCCTTTGAGAAAGGTCAGTCAGCTGCTACGTGCATTTTGGGAAGTATCGTTTATGAGAAGTTGGTGGGGCATCACAGTGAGCTTAGCATGGACTGAAAATTTTGGGGTGGCTGTTGTATACCCTTTTGCTACTTCAAGCAAGACACTTTTGGGCCTCAAGATCTATAAAATAACAGAGTTTGGAGGAAACATTGAGTCTGTAAACTATGAAATTCTTGTGTAGCTTGGAGTGAGACCCATGTGGGAATCTTTGGCAGCCACCGTTTACCACCTTAACTTTTCTGAGCATGTTTTATTATTGGTAATATGGAGCTGTGGTACTCCCTTTCTTCAGGGCTGTTTTGAACATAATGCTTATAAAATACCTGACAGACCTTGCTAGCTCTCAGCCAACGGAGGTGGGATTCTTGTTAATTGTTTCAAACTAGGGGTCATACAGGTAGCTGAGCCTGGGTGAGAAGTCCAGCTTCTTAACTCCTCTGGGGCTGGTTCTCTTCAGCACCCAAGCCATATTGCTGGGGATAAGGAAGACATTTTAATGAGATGAGCCCCAACTTCTCATTAGAAGCTGCAGTCCTGATTCTTTCTCTAGATCCTATCAGGTTGCCAGTTGATCCAGTAAGTAATGTAGTAAATGTAATGGATCCAGTAAAGAGTTTGGGGTTTTCATGGAGTAATTTCCTAAAATCACCGCAGTCAGTAGCCTGTGAGCCACATGAGGGCAGGGGACTTGCTCTCTGTGGTGTTCACCTTGTATAATGCAAGGTGATGGGACAGCTGGCACATAGTTCGGAGTCTGGCAGTATTTATTTTGTGAAGGAAGGAAGGAATGAACAACCTCAGTGAGCTGTAGAAAATGGTATGAGAAAGGGAACAGGATTTTTAAAATTTCAGTTTTGTGGGACAGAGGAAATTGAGGCACTGAATCAGGCAGGTTATGCCCAGTCTCTGTGGTCACCAGGCCTTAAAATTGGGCATAATTTATACCCTTGAAGATGTTGCATGGCAATACCTTCTGGTGGGTGGATCACCTGAGGTCAGGAGTTCGAGACCAGCCTGGCCAACATGGAGGGGAAACCCTGTCTCTACTAAAATACAAAAATTAGCCAGGCGTAGTGGTGCACACCTATAATCCCATCTACTCTGGAGGCTGAGACAGGAGAATGGCTTGAACTCTGGAGGCGGAGGTTGCAGTGAGCCGAGATCGTGCCACTTCACTCCAGCCTAGGTGACAGAGCAAGACTCTGTCTCAAAACAAAAACCAAAAAACATATTTCTATTGTGAAACAAAATTTTATCCATGTCAGGAATTTCCTCTGAACTAGAGTATGTTCATTCCTCTTTTGTGATTTGAGTCTGTGGGAGTCGGAACTTGTCAGGAAGACTTAGTGTAGCTGTGCTTCTAAGGATGTGCTATTCTCACAGGCAGCCGTGCTAACCATCTTGCTGTAAACTAGCCACGAGTAAACGTCTGGTTGTGAATCACAGCGTGACCTTTCAGGGAAAACAAAACAAGCAAACCACCAAACACATGAATCAGATTTTCTTTAGTATCAGGATTGTAAAGTCTGGTATTTAACAGTTTGTCAGGCCCACTTGGAGCAGTTGAGACAACTTCCTTTCTCTGTTTTTGTTTGTTCAAGATGTGGAAGTGTATATCCTTCTTTAGCAACATATTAGGATAAAAACTTTAAAGTTTTCTTCCACTGAGTTAAACTATATTAGTTTTCCTAACTGTCATGGACTTTAAACAATTAAAGATTCCTGGTTACCACTCAAGACCTACTGAATCAGTCTCTTGGAGTGGGACCCAGAAATCTATTCTGAAGAGCACCCTAAGTGATTCTATGGTTAATCAGATTTGGAAGCCACTGAGATACAGAATGATAATATTGTATTTTCTATCCACCCATTTATTCTTTTTTTTTTCCTTCTCTGTGGTCCGAATATCCATTTGTTCTTACTCATTTATCCACGTCTTGAGTAGATTAGAATTGATTACCTATAGGGCATTGGTCATTTTAAGAACTAGGCGTAGAAACAAGAGGTAGAACACAATGCCTGCCCCATGGGGTTCACAGGTGGTCTCAGAAGTTTTTAACTTTGGGTTGAGTGTTAAAGGATTCACATACTTCCCAAAAGCCAGGAGCAGAAGATTTTGTGTACACACTTTTTTTTTTTTGTTTTAAGCTTTCATCAGATTCTCCAAGGGGTCAGTGACCCATAAAAGGTTAAGAACCAAGGTCTTGTGCTTGCACAGCTGTTCTGGAAAAAGTAGAAGAGGGCAGTGTTTCTGTTGCCACTTAAGATGTTTTTGACCTTTTGAGAGGCAACAGCGGTTTGAGGACTGTACCTGTTTTCTGTCCTACTTAAAATATTTAAAAAGAAGAAAAAATAGTTTAACATCTGGGTCAGGGTCAGAACAAGACCAAGGGATATGGAAAATAGTTATTTCGTGAACTGCATCACATTTAATGTTAAAGAGCTGCTGACAGCCAAACAGCCTGGTGGTTAGCGTGATGGAGGAACTTCTTAAGCTGGATAGCATAGGCAAGGTTCATTCCAGTTTTCTTACAGTATATAATTAGCCAAATTATGGATAACAATTTTCACCCCATGGATATACATAAAGACTAATTGTCTTATTTTTGTTCCATTTTAGCCCCAGCATGTCCATTGAATTGCTTAATTCCAAAATAACTTTGCCAGCCGTACAGCTGATACATTCTTCTTTATCTTCTAAAATCCCCAAATAACACTGTTCATAGCAAAACAGAGTTGGATATTAAGAAAGAACATCTTTAACTGCTGTGGAAAGTGTTTACTTTGTAAAACACTAGAACCTTGTATGTATAATGTTCTTATCCCTAAGGATAACTTTATAATTGAATTTCAATTAAGGATGTTCTCTTCCTTTTCCTCCTCCTCTTCTCTCTAAGTTGTACTCATTGAATTCATGTTTCAATGGGGAACAAAAATTTTTCAAATATTGTTGTTCTGGTAATGCTGCATTTTAGGATCTGGAGAGGGCAGTCAGTGGGATTAAATGTTATCAAATAGGTTAAATTATTTGGCCATTTACTTTGGTATAGTTCCTCTGGAGCTCAGGAGGATGTTAGAGGTCTTTGTTGTCAGTGAAATCTTGTAAATGTATTTTTAGGCTGTTCAAATGTCTGGATCACCTATTTTGAACTTTTGCATATACCACCTTACATTACTTATTTTTATAAAGTGGACATTTTATCTTTATAAGGTTTTGCCTTGCTGGACAGTGATTATGTGTTCTAGGTCTTTATAGCTTTGCCATTACCCGGCATACTGAGCACATAACAGACACTCAATAAATATTTGATTAATTGGATATGTTGATTGGGTACCCAAGAAACCAGAAGATGAAATAAGTCTGGAGTTAGAACTTGATACATGCTTAGAAAGGTAGGAACGTAAAAGTGGATTATGAGGTCTATCTCTTAGGCTGACGTGCTCTCCTTTCTCCTTCCCCATCCCTCTCCACCCCCTCTCCTCCCTTCTCTCTTCCATCCTGCCTCTCCTCTCCCTCCCCCTCTCCCCTCTCCCCTCTCCCCTCTGCCTTCTCCCCTCTCCCCTCTTCCCTCTCTGTTTTCTTTCTCTTTCCTTTCCCTTTCTCTTTCCTTAATTTTCTTTTCTTTCTGTTCATATATAGGTAGTAGAGCCAGCTCACGTTTGCTAGTTCTTTAAAAATCTTAAGTATTTAGAATTCCACAGTTACAAGAATTTTATGGTAGAGCCACAACACTAAGTTTTCATTTGGAAAATGTTAAATGTAGTGAACCTTGAGAGAGGTTTTTATTAGTTATTGCTTTTATTTATTTTTAAAATAAGTTTCATTGTGTATTTGTAAGATATATAAGATTATAGGATGCATAGAGATAGTAAAAAGGTTACTATATATAGTGAAGCAAATTAACATATTCATCACCTTACATAGGCAAGAGCAGCTAAAATCTACTCATTTAGCATTAATCCCAAATACAGTACAATTTTATTACCTTTAGTCCTCATGTTGTACATTAAATCTCTAGACCTGTTCATCCTACATCTCCTCCATTTCCTTCCTACCCCTAGTAACCACTGTTTTGTTCTCTGTCTCTGAATATTTGAAAAAAATTTTTAAGATTCCATATATAAGTGAGATCATGCAATATTTTTTTTTCTGTGTCTGGTTTATTTCACTTAGTACAGTGTCCTTCAGGCTCATCCACATTTGTGGCAAATGGTAAGATTGAGTTTTTTTAAGGGCTCAATAATATTCATACACACACACACCCACCCACACACACACACCCCCCACAGTTTATCCATTTGCCTGTCGACAGATGCTTAGGTTGTCTCCATATCTTATGAATAATCCTTCAGTGAACATGGGAGTGCAGATATCTTTATAAGGGGGAGATTTCATTTCTTTTGGGTAAATGCCCAGAAGAGAGATTGCTGGGTCATATGGAAGTTCTATTTTTAATTTCTTTAGAAACCTCCATACTATTTTTCACAATGGCTGTATCAAACTACATTCCCACCAACCGTATACAAGAGTTCCTTTTCTCCACTCTTTCCAACATTTGTTATCTTTTTACTTTTTGATGTAAGAGCTGTCCTAATGGGTGTGTAGTGGTATCTCATGAAATGGCATTGATTTGCATTTCCCTGATGAGTAATGATGTTGAGCACCTTTTCATATGTCTATTGGCAGTTTTATGTTTTCTTTGGAAAAATGTCTATTCAGGTCTTTTACCCATTTCAAAATCAGATTATTTGTTTTTCTACTATTGAGTTTTGTGAGTTCTTTATACACTTTGCATATTAACTCCTTATCAGATCTAGTTTGCAAATATTGTCTTCCAATTTGTAGGCTGCCATTTCATTGGTTATTTCTTTTGCTGTGCAGAAGCCTTTTAGTTTGCTGCAGCCCCATATGTTTAGTTTTGCTTTTGTGGTCTGAGCTTTTGTTATGTTATCCAAAAAAATCATTGCCAAGACAAAGTCCAGGAGTTTTTCCCCTGTATTCTCTTCTAGGAGTTTTATTGTTTCTCGTTAGTTAGTGCTTTTAAGAAGGAAGGAGGCCTCACCAGACTTGATTATTATTTTTTTTTTTTGAGACGGAGTCTCGCTCTGTGGCCCAGGTGGGAGTGCAGTGGCGCAATCTCGGCTCACTGCAAGCTCCGCCTCCCGGGTTCACGCCATTCTCCTGCCTCAGCCTCCCGAGTAGCTGGGACTACAGGCGCCCGCCATCACGCCCGGCTAATTTTTTTGTATTTTTAGTAGAGACAGGGTTTCACCGTGTTAGCCAGGATGGTCTCGATCTCCTGACCTCGTGATCCGCCCGCCTCGGCCTCCCAAAGTGCTGGGATTACAAGCGTGAGCCACCGCGCCCGGCCCAGACTTGATTATTAAAAGACATCTGCTACTCAAATAGATGCCACCCTTAATCTGTCCTAATCAAGTAAAATCTTGTTAGTTATATTTGGGTAGAGGAAATATTGTAGGCTAATGAACAGTGGCTGTCAACAGTTATCTTGAAAATCTAGACTTGTAGCCTTGAAGGAGAGGGACCCGAACTGTGAAGAGATTTGTCACTAACCATGCTATATTGGATGTAAACCTGGGAGTGGTTACAGGAGGTGGCTTAGGGTAATATGTGCTGGCATCTTTAAGTATTTCGGGAAGAGGGATTTAGATCCAAGTGGTCACTCCTACTCCCATTGGAGACGCAATTTGGCATTGTGTATAAAAGAAGAGTTTTTCTAATAGTGCTGTGTTAGGGTCCTGAATTCCAGCTGCTGCCATTCAAACAGGCTCACTTAACACTCACCTGGATTATTCTAATGGGAATTCAAACTGGGTATTGGTGACCTTTGAGGGCTCTCCCTCCCAAAGAGACTATGAGTGTGTGATTTTTCAGGGCAAAATGTTCTAAGTAAATCAAGTCATGGTTCAAAGTCTAGATCCGCTCCTTGTAATTTTTTTTTTTTCTTTTTAAAGAACTCAGTCTTGGGTGCTGTTTACTTCATATTTAAGCCCATGGTCCCCATGTGTATTGAACTGGCACAAACTAAACTTGTCTGCTCCTCTAGGTCTCTTCTCATAGTCTGAGTTCTTAAAATTAAGGTCAGTTAAAAGAAGCACCTTGGCATTTTCCTTATTGGAGTTTGCTGTGTGTTTGCAAATCAAAATGGGAATTGATTCAGTCATTTGGGCTATACAGGTTTTCATCTCAAGTCACTTAAGTGAAATCCATAAGGAAAGATGTTCATGCTTTACCTACCATAGGGCTCACTCACCTCTTTTCTTAAATACAAAACAAAAAGCACCTGCCAGTTTTAAGGGACTGAAAAGGTGTTTTATGATGGCTGAAAATACATCTGAGAATAATAATATAGTTATACCTAGACTGGTGATACATCATTACAGTATCTGCGGGGAAAAGTAGAGGGTGGAAGTCTGTATGTGGGGTCAGTCTTAACAAGGAAAGCTGACATGAATGCTCTAGCCCTGCAGTACCAGAGGGCACCTGGATTAATGTTCTGGGCCCTAATTCAGCGTCCTGTCTCTCAGACACTTGGCACTGATTTGCTCATCTCAGAGCTGAAGTCTTAAGGACTAAGAGGAGAGAGGAACACATCATTTTCTCTGCCAGAGGAGGTACTTAAACTGGGAAAGGAGGAGGAGACCTTAACAAATCAAGCCTTGGCAAGGAAATCTGTCATGAATCAGCAATGCCTTGGAAAGCCTCTTTCGCTGTATTTTACAAAGCTAAACACTTGTCGCTACTGACATTTCTCTATTGCTTACCTTGAGGATCAGCTTTAGGTAGCACTATGAATGGAATGAATCCTTTTTTGTGTGTGCCCATTTTGACATTAGGTAATTAATTTACAACTAGCTCAATTAGAGTCCAGCCCATACAGTGTGTACATGGCCTTTTAAAGAGCCTTTGTTTTGACGCTAATTGAACTGGTTGTAGCAGAGACAGCCAAACAATTTGCATTCATCTTTGGCAGAACACAAGGGCTCTCCCTTGGTATGGACAGCCCCATTTTTTATTCCTTCTACCAAGTCTGGCACTAAAGTGATGTGTGCTTATTTTATTTTTCTAATTTAAAAAAACTTTGAAGAGGACAAAAGCCACATAGGTTTATTGTAGAAAAATTGGAAGACATAGATAAGCAAGGAAGAAAATAAAGATCATACATTATCTTTTCTTCTTAAGACGGAGTCTCAATCTGTCGCCCAGGCTGGAGTGCAGTAGAGCAATCTCGGCTTACTGCCGCCTCCACCTCCTGGATTCAAGCGATTCTCCTGCTGCAGCCTCCTGAGTACGTAGCTAGGATTACAGGTGTGTGCCACCACACGTGGCTAATTTTTGTATTTTTTGTAGAGATGGGGTTTCAACATGTTGGCCAGGCTGGTCTCGAACTCCTGACCTCAAGTGATCCGCGCCCCCCCCCCCCCTTGGCCTCCCAAAGTGCTAGGATTACAGGTGTGAGTCCCCACACCTGGCCTGGAGCACACATTAGCTTAATACCAAGAGAAAACCATTTACAACCTAGTATTTTTCTTTCTATACCTTTTCTGTATATGAGGGAATGCATGCACCTGTGTATGTAACTGTTTTCATGTGTTGTTTTTACAAAATGGGAACACAGCATACAAACTGTTTTGTAGTATGCTTTTTTTTCCTACTTAATAAGATGGAAGTGCCTTGTCATTTTATAAAATGTTGTCCTACAACATTTTTTTTTGAGACGGAGTCTCGTTCTGTCGCCCAGGCTGGAGTACAGTGGCGCGATCTCGGCTCACTCCAAGTTCCGCCTCCCAGGTTCACGCCATTCTCCTGCCTCAGCCTCCTGAGTAGCTGGGACTACAGGCGCCTGCCACCACGTCCGGCTAATTTTTTGTATTTTTAGTAGAGACGGGGTTTCACCGTGTTAGCCAGGATGGTCTCGATCTCCTGACCTCGTGATCCACCTGCCTCGGCCTCCCAAAGTGCTGGGATTACAGGTGTGAGCCACCGCGCCCGGCCTGTCCTATAACATTTTAAATGTCTGCATAATAGTCAATTGTGTGGATGTACCAAAACATATTTAACCAATCTGTTATTATTGGACACTTGAGCCCTTTCCAGGTTTTCGATGTTATAACTAGCCTTGTGATATATATTCATGCTACTAAATCTTTGTGAAGTCTTAATTATTTGCAACCAATAAATTTCTAGATATTGAATTACTTGGACAGGGGCATGCATGTTTTAACATTTTTTATGCATACTGCCAAATTGCAACAATTTCCACTTTCAGTAATGACAGCTTTATGTTTATTCTTGATATTCAGGAGTACAGTATAGAGAGTATTGACTCAGAAGTGGATTAAATCCTGATCAGTGATTTTGCTATTGCCCCTGAAATTTACGTCAGCCTTATAATCTTCTGTTCCCAGTATCAGGTGAAAGAGGCCAGTTTATATCATATAGTACAATATAGGTTTACTTATCTTGACTAATATGTGTTATTTAGTTTTGAAAAATTGTAGAATAAAAGCAGGTAGCTGCTGCTGTAAGACAAAAGTGCCTTTGTTTTTCGTAAGGCAGGATTCTGAAACAGTGTTTTCACTATGAATAAGGACCAACCTAAATAAATAGATGAAAATCAAAGCGATAGTAGATGGTTTTGCTAAGTATATGAAAAAAATATTTGGATCTTCTTGAGGCAGTGAAACCCAAGACTGGAGGAGCAAGATGAACTGTGGCATCTTGTATCAGGGGTGGCCTTGGAGAGGCTGTTATACCTCGTGTATGTGGTCTATCATTGACTGAACATTTGTTATGCTGCTCATGATTGTATTTGCAGCACCTGAAAGTGCAGTTGGACAAATAGATGCTCATTGTTGACTGAATGAATAAATGAATAGAATAGATACACAGGAGAGTGAGATTTCAGAAAAAGACCTTTCAGGTCATCTAAGACCCTCCCCCTAATTTTATTTTACTTTATTTTTTGAGACAGGTTCTTGCTCTGTCACCCAGACTGGAATCCAGTGGTGCATTCACAACTCACTGCAGCTTCGAACTCTTAGGCTGAAATGATCCTCCTGCTTCAGCCTCCCAAGTAGCTGGGACTACAGGTGCATGCCACCGTGCCTGGCTAATTTTATTTTTTTGTAGAGACAAGGTCTTGCTTTGCTGCCCAGGCTGGTCTCAAACTCCTGGCCTCAATCAGTCCTCCTGCCTCAGCCTCCCAAGTGCTGGGACTACAGGCGTGAGCCACTGTGCTTAGCCCATCCAGTTTTCTAATTAAAGACATAGAAGTTCAGAAAGATGAAGTGACATCTTTCTCAAGACTAAGTTAATGATCACAGCAGAAGTTGTAGTTCTCTGTATCAATGTATTTCTGAGATTCTCATAGTACTAGAATTGTATGTTTTTCCCTTGATATGGTACTTTGTATGATTAAATTTCAAAATCAATAGTAAAATTTTAATTTCAAATGCAGTATAAGCACAATTTCCCTAACTCCTCTTTTTTTCCTCTGTTTGGAAATAGCCTCAGTTTTTGTTAAAATTCAACACAGTCTTAAACTTGCATTTCTTTTTTCCTTACTTTCTTTCTTTCTATAATATTTTCACCTATCCTATTTCATTCACAGTGGAGGTTTTAATTTACTTCAAGCAGTATTGCCATCTGGATGTCAAAAGACATTGAATTGACTTCTTATCTGTAGATCCCAATAAAGGTCTCACCTGCCTAGAAACAAAAGATTTAGTCAGGAATTGAGGAGGAGCAAAGCAAAGGCTTCACCAGAGGCCCAGGTGCTACCTATCTGCCCACTTGTTCTTTGATTGACAGTGGGGCACAGAGGTGCCTTGTGTTTCTCTAGGAAGTAGCTTTTGCATACAGTGTTTGTTTGGAACTTTTCAATTTGCTAGTGCTGAATAATGTCTGCAGTAAAAGTTGGTTTAGGGTAAACCCGGAGAAAGGAATTAAAGAGAAGTTTTAACATTTCTATTGTTTTTCTTCTGTGACTTTAGCCTTTCCCCCTTCTTAGTGAATTATTATAGAGTTTTATTAAAATGTAAGTTCTGGAAATTAGACACCATGGTATTTAGACCAGCATGGGATACTGTACTCTTAGGTTCCATAATATTTCATAGTACATCTCTTTATTGTATGTTAAATGATAGCGAAGTATAATAAAATGCACCTAGAGAGTACTTATCTATTTTATGTCCTGTAACATTCAGTACTTGATGCAAATGTAGCAGATCTCGATTCAAACAGGAGCAAAACTGGTTATAACTCAAGAGAAAGGGGATAGGCTCATCTTGATGGAAAGTTCCCTGTTGGTGGCATAAGTTCAGCAAAACCATAGAATTTGAGGCTCTAAGGGACCTTTGTAACATCTACTCCAATCTTTTATTTTGCAGATGGGGAAAGAATTAGCCACTGGTTCAGTGTCACTCAGCAGGTTAAAGAAAGACCTGTGGGCAGAACCTAGAACTTAACGCCTGCTCTGCTGTGTCTTTTCATTTTCTGATCACAATTGAAGCATGTGGTCTACCCTGTCTTTAAAAGAGCATACCATTTGATGTTTGTTAGCTTGAAACCTGTTGTGCCCAAGGGCACCTAAAGGCTTCCGTCTTGCTCCCTTTTCCTGGATGCCCAGGTCATTCTGTGCCTCTGAGGGTGGGTTTGGATATGGCTGAAATGAAAGCTGTGTTGTGGCAGTGCTTAGAGAATTGTCTCTGATGATAGGACTCTTTTAAGAAAGCAGTGAAAAAGCAGTAAGGAGACTGTTACTTCATAAAACAATTGGCTCTGGACTTGGAGAAGACCCAGGTGGCGGATGGTTACATCCCTTGGCAGCAGCTGTCTTTGCTATATCTCTTACAGTCTTAGAGATCTGGGAGTCTTTGGCTCTTAATTTTAACCTAGATTCACTGTATGATCTTGGTCAAACGCCTCACCTCTTGGGCCTCAGTTACCTTGTAGTAAATTCAAGGGGAGTTAAAGTGGATGATTTCTATGGCAACTTCCAGGCCTTGAATTATTATTTTTATAAAAGTTTTTCCACATGATCAAGTAACCAAACATGTATTGCTGACAGTCCATTTTATTACTGTTTTGATTGGTTTTCATGAGAATTTGGAAAATGTCTGCAGACTTTACTGTGATCAGGCTGCTAGCAATTATTTACAGAGCACCCATCAAGTGTTCAGGGCTATAAAAGAAATAGTGTCTAGCTTCAGGGAGACAGAAAGACTTCTTGATCTCCCCAGCCGGGGATGGAGGGCATTCTCTTCCACTGGATTTAAGCTCTGTGAGTGCAGGGGCTTTGTCTCTCTTAAGTAGTGCACAGTTCAGTAAACATTGGTTGCATTAATGAAAGAATGAATCCAGTTGTCAGTCTTGCTTATATTTACTGAAGATATCCCACTGAGATTTATTGGTTTCTTCAACCCGTAAATGCTGCTAACTTGAATACATTTCCCAGAAAGTATTCCTTACCTTCCATAGAAAAATGCGGCCAGGATGCTCTGAGGCTATAGGGAAAAACCATAAATATTCCACTCCTTTCTTGAAATTCAATTTAATATTAGCATATTGAATGCCCTGAGATTACCTGCCTTCAAATATTTTGGTTTAACCCAGCATTTTTGAAATTCATTTGACCTCAGAATATTGTTCATTCCACTCTCCCATGACACACTTGTTAATATCCCCCAGAACTTTGATTTGTAAAATAAAAAGGTTGATATAGGGAGTAATAATATGGAATAAATAGAAGCAGCAACATTAGTTAAGAATAATTAATTGAACACAATGGAGCATATACATTAAGTGCTGTTCCTAGCAGCTCTGTGTGAAACTGTGGTAGACTTGTAGATTTTTTTTCTTTTAAAAATGACTATCTATGTCTCATTACAGATACAAGGTTGGGTGGTAGAGAGATTGAAGGAAGTTGCAAGTGACCTAATAGCTAATTTACAGTTACGGAAGTTGAATGGTAGCATTTTAACTTGTGTCAAGGGCTGCCCTGTCAGGTACTGCAGGGGAATAACGATGAAAGGGAGTCTGTGTCTGCTCCTTCTGGAGCTGGCTGTCCAGTGGAGGAGACAGACATGTAAACAGATTATAGCAATAAAGTACTCAAATGTGTAATGAACAGAAATAGGACACAGGAAGGAATGGTATTTTCCCCTGGTTTAGAACAGGGTTGCTGTTCATACAATAAGCCCAAACCACATTAACTGGAACCCCTCTAGATCCTCCAGACAAAATTCTACTCATACATCAAGATTCAAACAACTCGGCCTCTTCATGCTTTCGCTGATCCAGAATTAATTGCATCATCTATATTGCCTGCAGAGCCTTGCTTACACCTGTGTCATAGGCCTTATCATAATCTGCTTTGTATGTGAATTACTTGAGGGCAGGATAGAGTTGTCTTTGTCCCTGTATCTCTGGGGCCTGCAGTTACAGCATGGACTGCATATTCGCTGCTTTGTTTAGACTTGGAGCAAGTTATTGGACTGTGAAAGCTACTCACTTTAAGTAAATTCAGTAAATAAAATTATGTTTTATGGAAGACAGATTGGACAGGTGGTGGTATTATTAGCATTTTCTCTCAATGCTTAAATATGATTTACATTTCAAGATTTCAGTTACATTTTTTAAGGAATTCAACAATTCTGCATCATGAAGTATTCTTTCACACAAATGTTCCATAGTCATTAGTTTTTACAGAACCCTTTTCTTATATTCTGCATTTCATCTGGAATACTATAAGCACAAGTTCAGTTTGGCATTCTGTTCTCCACTAGTGATTGAGTTTGAAGCCCAAGGTCAGGATATTGATTGATGACATTTCCCTTTAAAGTATTTGTATCCATTTGCAATTTGGGGACAGAGTGATTCCCAGTATGGTGCAGGAAATAACTAAACTGGAAGTCAGCCTGACTCAGTTTTGTAGTTAATTTTCTTTGTGACCTTGGGCAAGTCACTTAACCTTCCAATAACTGAGGGAGTTGGCCCAGAACTAGCACAGTCTTCTAATGCAGACATTCCACGATTCTCTAGGGAGGATTCACTTCCATAGAGGTTTAAAAGTGGATACATTTTTAGGTTAAATGGCTTTGTTCATTTAGTTTTTTTCTCCTTAACCCATTTTGGAGCAATAAGACTGTCATGGAGTAAAACCAAATTACCTGGAACTCTCAAAAGGCTGCAGTTCTTATCCTATTTTTTTTATTTTTAAGGGAAGGGAAAAAAATGGCAACAAACAAATTTATATCCATGAGTCAGGACAAATCCATCCCAGTTTTCTAACATACACAGTGTACATAAACATATTCAATGAAGCACTGCAGATTCTTAACCGAAAATGGAATATTTGGTTTGACTTACCATCCTAAATGTGGGAAGAACTGTACTTTGATATATACTTTTTGAGTATTTTTAGCAAAAATTGATATAAGCAGTTGTCTTGGTTGGCAAGGACTTGTGTATAGGAACCTGGCTCCCAGCTCAGTGACGAGTGTATTCTGTAACTTTGAATAAGTCACTGAACCTTTCTAGATGTCAGTGTCCTCAGCTGTTAGATTTGATACTGTTCTGATTACTAACAGATCTGTGATTAGACATTTCCATGCATTTATTTCAGGCCTCTTCCTGTTCTCTTCCTTGAGAGATTAACAAATATACCCACCCCTTCCCTCACACAGTCTCAGGCAATTATTGATTTGTGAGGGAAAAGGGGTATTTTAAAACACTTTAAATGATACATTCAAGAAAATTATCTCGTATTGGTTATCAATTGATATATAACAACATTACCACAAACTTAGTGCCTTAAAATAATACACATTTATTATCCCACAGTTTCTGTGAGTCAGGAGGAGTCTGGGCACTTCTTAGTTGGGTCCTTTGCAAGGCTGCAATCAAGATGTTGTCCTGGGCTGGGGTCTCACTTACACGCTTGACTATGGAAGCATAAGCTACTGAGCCCACTGTGATTGTTGGTGGAACTTATTTCCTTGCAGCTGGAGGACTAGAGGGACTTAATGTTTTTGCTGGCTAGGGGCTGCCCTTTGCTCCTTGAGGCCACCCACATATCCTTGTAATGTGTGCTTCCCTAACATGGCTGCTGGCCCCCTCAGAAGCAGCAAGGGAGAGAACAAGGCAGTGCTGCAGTCTTTTGGAATGTAATCACATAATCATGTATACATAATCATGTATGTCCATCATCTTTGCTCTACTCTGGTTAAAAGCAAGTCACAGGTCCCTCCCACGCTCAAGGTGAGATGATCACACAAGGGCATTGACAACCAGGAGGCAAGGGTCATGGGGGCCGTCTGAAGCATCTGTCAGCCACACCATATTTCAGGTTTTTTTTTTTTCTGTATCTTCCTTTGGATCTGTGAATAAGTATCTCACTTCATACTAAAGCCTCAATAAACACTGATTGACAGAAAGTCTTTGTGCTCATTTAAAACTTCTCAGCTCCACAGAGTATTTGTACCATGCCCTTGTTTTATGGAGTCCCCAGATACTGATGAGGGCAGGGTTTGAGTTTGAGGGCTGTTCATTCTTCTGCCCGCCAACCCCCCACCCCGCCCCCAGCACAGAACTGCCAGTGTTAGGTGCTCATTAAGTGTTTGTCAAAGGATTATAACTGTTGTTCCAATTGCAGCAGTAAGTAAATTTGAAGAAGCTCCCTGATATTGAGTGAATTGTATTCTCCACCCCCCAAATTCGTATGTTGAAGCTCTAACCTCCAATGTGATGGTAGTCCCAGCTACCAGAGAGGCTGAGGTGAGAAGATTGCTTGAAGCCCTGGAGATGAGGCTGCAGTGAGCCTTGATTGTGCCACTGCACTCAACCTGGGCAACAGAGTGAGACCCTGTCTGTAAATAAATATGTGTGTACAGACATACATAAGGTTCACAATTCAATTTAAAAAAGAGAAAGTGACCATCTACAAGCCAGGAAGAGAGCCCCCACCAGAACCCTATCATGCTGGCACCCTGATCTTGGATTTCCAGCCTCCAGAACTGTGAGAAAATCAGGTTCGCCTGTTTAAGTCACCCAGTCTTTGGTATTTCGTTATGGTGGCCTGAGCTAAGACAGGCCCTGTGTTCTCTGTGTAGCAAGAGGCAGGAAGCTAAGCACAAAGGTTGCCAGATAGCAGGGACTGGCTGGCTGTTAGTGAGCCAGGGCCAGTGGCATTTAATTGCAGTCATTCCCATTCTTTGCTGAGCTTTGGTCATAACTATTTGTAGAGGACCCCTAGACTTTTTTTTTTTCTTCCAGGACAAAAGTGATCCAAAACATACTGTCTTCAGTTTTTGAGCATTGGACTACCAAACAGGAACATTTAAGGAAAACAAAATGTTGCTGTTGTAAAGCCTTGATGGTGGGAAGTTATGTAGTGAATTCTCAATTTCTTCTTCCTGCATCTTGTCTTAAAAAAAAAAAAAAACTTTTAAAGTTTTTGTTTGTTCATCATTCATTCATTAATAAGTCAAGATGTAGAGGGCTCAGTAGCCTTCCCCTAGTTTTCTACATTTCTGACTTTGGTAAACTTCCTTTACTTCTGCAATTTCCCTAATTGTAATATTAACATATATCTAAAAAGAATACAATGGTTATGTAAACCTCCTAGCACTTAATAGGCACTCAAGACAATATGACTTAACTGTATAAGAATGACTAATGTGCTATGTTTATTTATTTGGCTTCATTCATTTTGCCAGCAATGGTGTAGTATATATGTAGTATATATTAAAAATCTCTTGAGTAAGAGAGGTTTGGAATGGGAAAAGGAACCAAGAAAATCTCACCATCTTTCTTCTGCTTGGCAGCAAGTCTTGAATTCTGTTTTATTTTTCTTAAGAGACGGGGTCTTGCTCTGTGCCCAGACTGGAGTGCAGTGGTGCTATTATAGCTCACTGCAGCCTCAAACTCCTGGGCTCAAGTGATCCTCCTGCCTCAGCTACCTGAGTAGCGGAGACTACTGGCACCTACCACCACACCCAGTTAATTTTTTTTTTTTTTTTGGTAGAGATGAGGTCTTGCAGTGTTGCCCTGGCTGGTGTCAAACTTCTGACCTCAAGTGATCCTCCTGCCTTGGCCTCCAAAAATACTGAGATTACAGGCATGAGCCACTGTGCCTGGCAGAGTCTTGAATTCTTCAACAGGGCTTTTGAATATTTTAAAGCCACATAAAATTTCCTTTTTAAAATTGCAATGAAAATTGTCAAGTAAAGTGGGTCATTTTTTGACCTGGTGCTTAATTGTACTTAGAAGCAAATGCATATCTGTAAGTAAGGGGAGGACTCAGAAGTGATTTAAAGGGAGGATTGTAAAAGAGTTTGGGAAGTCCATCCCTTTCATTTTACAGGTTAGGAGGCTGAGGGCATTGTGCAATGATGTATAGTCAGGTAGAGAGAGGAAACAGGAATCATAAATCTTACCTTTTGTACAAAGTCAATGTTTTCAGTAATTTTGTTGAAAACAAACATTAAACAAATTTGGACCTGTAAAATCCATTGAACTGGTGGAGGTCAGCCTGACCTAGCAGGACATGTGGCATCTCTGTTTTGTGATGCTGTATCTGCTTTGGGAGTCCCAGTGCCCAATCCCCTCAGTGTTGAAAACTTAGCTCCTGAGTTTAAGGTGGTTTCTGTGGGGTTATGGGGCAGGGGGAGAGGGTTTGGAGGAGGGGAGGAGCGGAAAAAGAGACTTCCAGTCTGGGGCTCCTGCTGTGTTACCTTAGGGGATTTAGGGCCTATAAAAAACACATTTACATCTCTGAATGGCAACAGATAAATACCAACGAGCGTTAATTGAAAAGGAGGAGACCCAATGGACTAGAGGTCAGGACTCTACAGTGATGACTGGTGGCCTGGGGGTGTCAGCTGAAACGGTCTGGATTTTTTTTTTTTTTTTTTCTCCTTCTTCCCCTACCTCCTTCCTGGGCTTAGAAATGCTGGAAGGAAGAAGGAGGGACCATTAGTTGAACTAAGAGGTATGTTGTTTATACTGTTGTTGTGGTTGTCCCTGGGTGGTCTGAAATTTTGGAGGAGGGGGTAGGGAAAGGCCCCCTAAACCTTTTTTAAACTAGTATAATACAACCTGACTGCTACCTGCAGTTTCCCAATTACCCAATTATAACACAAATTTGCACATTTTTTTAAAAAAGCAGGCTGCTACTGTTTCTCCTTATACAAGGATTTTAGTCACTGTACATCTTGTGTCTTTAAATAATGTATTAGGAACATTTTCAAGTCTGTAAGTGCTTTTTTAATGAGAGTGTGAAGATTTTAATGGGACTAGATTGCTTTTCATGACATTTCAGAGTGACTTAATTGTAACAATGTTGAGAGGCTGTATTTTAAAGTTTGCTAAGTATGTCTGTGTGGATTATAGTCAGACACTTAAAAGGACGGATGGTTGGATAGTGGAATCAGATAGCTTTTCCTTACTACTTTCTCCAAATATTAGCTCTTTGCAAATATGGTTATACCAAACCAGGCACAGGTCAGGATTCTCTTAAACCTTTTAATTTTCAGATAGGAACAGAGGCTAATAACAGACCAATGTGGGTAATTTTAGAGACAATTTCCTTAAAACTTAGTTGGACTGCAATATTGGTCCTAAGGCCTCTCCTCTCTCCTTTTGTAGACCCAGGAGGCCAGGCTGTCTTTGTGTATACTTCCTGTTAGTCCCTGAACTCTCTTCCCTGTTTGCTTTAAAAACATAGTGACCTTGACCGGGTGCGGTGGCTCACGCCTGTAATCCCAGCATCTTGGGAGGGCGAGGCAGGCGGATCACGAGATCAGGAGATCGAGACCATCCTGGCTAACACGGTGAAACCCCGTCTCTACTAAAAAAATACAAAAAATTAGCCGCGCGTAGTGGCGGGCGCCTGTAGTCCCAGCTGCTCGGGAAGCTGAGGCAGGAGAATGGCGTGAACCCGGGAGGCGGAGCTTGCAGTGAGCCGAGATGGCGCCACTGCACTCCAGCCTGGGCGATAGAGCGAGACTCTGTCTCAAACAAAACAAAACAAAAAACAAAAACAAAGCATAGTGACCTTGTGCCTCATTTTTTTTTCAGGTATTTGAGTTAGCGTTTCTAAAGCATTATGACTCTCCAGATAACAGTTTACCGTTTTAATGATTGGAATTTCAGACTCAATTTTTTTCTTATCTCCAAAACAAGAAGGTTATTCAGAGGTCTTTTCCTATGCAAACATTATTAGGATTCTAGAACCTGTGGCAGACTTCTCAAAATTAGATCAAATGGTCAGACACTTTCACTATCTTTTTTTTTTTTTTTAATGGTCTTGCTCTGTCACCTAGGCTGGAGTGCAGTGCCATGAGCATTGCTCACTGTAGCATCAACTTCCCAGGGTTGAGTGATCCTCCCATCTCAGCCTCCTTCCTGAGTAGCTGGGACTACAGGCATGCACCAGCACACCTAGCTGATTTTTAAATTTTTTTCTAGAGATGAGGTCTCACTATATTGCCTAGGCTGGTCTTGAACTCCTGGGCTCAAACAATCCTCCTGCCTCAGCTTCCCCTAAGTGCTGGGATTACAGGCGTGAGCCACCACGCCCAGTCTCCTCAGTGCCACTCTTAATAGAAGCTTGTATTAGTTTCCAAGGCTGCCATAACAAAGTATCACAAACTGAGTGGCTTAAAACAACAGAAATAGTCTCATAGTTTTGGAGGCTAGGAAATGTGAAATTAAGGTGTTGGCAGGACCATGTTTCCTCTTAAGCCTATAGGGGAATCTTTCTTTGCCTCTTCCTAGCTTCTGGTAGTTTATTGACAGTCTTTGGCATTCTTTGGCTTGCAGCTGCATAATTTCAATATTTGCCTTTGTTGTCTCTTAGTGTTCTCCTTGTGTCTTTACATGGCCATCTTCTGGTAAGGACATCTGCCCTAATCCACCCTAATCCAGTATGCCCTCGTTTTAACATTGGTGTCTGAAAGAACCTTATTTCTAAATAAGGTCACATTGTGACATACTGAGGGTTAGGGCTTTAACGTATATTTCTGAGGGGACACAATTAAACCCATAACAGAGTTCTACTTTGAAAAGTGCCTAGGAGATTCTGATGCAGCCTGCATGGGTTCCCAAAGCATGATTCCTGACCTATCTGTACATAATTCATCAAGAGCACTAACAAACTTACAAGACATATATGTATAATGGTATATAAGTATGAGTGATATACAGAAGAAAAATAAACCCAAAACTCATGTACTCATCACCCTGCTTAAGAAGTAAAACATTACCAGTACCTTTAAAGGCTCTGGAAAGCCTGGGGTGTTTGTTTAAAACATAGGTTCTCCTCTGAGGGGTTAGGTCAGGGAGGTTTGGAGCAACAATGTGTATTAGAATTCAGTAACTTTAAAAAAAAAAAAAACTCCACGTGCATTTTAAAGTTGGTCTTTAAAATTTTACTTTGGAGTGGGATGGGATTTTTTTTTTCTATTAGCGAATAGAAAACGTGCAAGAAAAGATGTAGTAACTTTTTTCATAGTGTAGTAGAACAGTCTTTGGCTCCTCTTCTTTTTGTGAGGTTTCTTGAGAAATCTCACCTGTACTTGGTATAATTTTCCAAATTAATTTAGATCTCTGACCCAGAGAGACTTAGAGTGATGCACAGTCATGTAGGGGGAGGATGTGTATGTGTGAAGGGACCTGTTATTGATTATACGTCTTACATTCTTGCCTTTCTTGTGGGATTTTGTGAAGATTAATATCTGCCAGATAGGTTTAAGTTTGCAAAATGCCTTGAGTTCCTTGGGGGAAACTGTTACATAAATGTAAATAAATTATGCAGCACCTGAATTTGGTTGTTCATCATTTTTTATAGTGTGTTTTAATTAAGAACTTAGTGCTATTTAAGTTGGATGGCTGGGGAGAGGGTTTAATCACTCCAAGATGGTTAAGTAAGTAGGTAGGAGCAACATTTAGGCTGGAACCCATGGAGGAATAAATGAACAAGACTGGAGACCAGTCATTTTCCATGGCATTTGCTGAGCGGAGCTGTGGATTAATGTCTCTTCTTGTACGTGTGTACATGGTGCTGTTAGAAAATCAGCCAGTTTTTCACTACACTTTGTCTCGGACCTGTAGATACCTTGGACCTCTCTGGTTTTCCTGAGTAAGCTGGAAACCCTAACAACAGCCAAAACAAAACAAAAACGGAGTTTGTCTTACAGTCTAGGTACTTGGGGAGCAAGAGGCATCCAGCAAACTGCATTGGCTTTTGGTACACTGTGTTTCTGTAGTCCAATGAGCTGGGTTCCAAACTACCTCCTTTTGCCTGTTACATACAGCTTTGTGTTCCAGTGGATGATACTGTTCCTTAACTCTTAAAGAGTGGACATACGAAACAGTTGCCAACAACCCGTGGTCCAGTTGTGCCTCCTTTGTTTGCTGCTTTGTCAGAGTCTCACTGTATGCTTTTTTTTTTGGCCTTTGGCGCTGTGAGCAGAGTCACCTCATCCTCCTTTCCGTGGCCAACTCAAAGACTTACAACCTTTCTCCCTCATTCCTATGTATCTACAGAACACTCACTAGTTGCTAACTAGTGGATACATGTGAATTATGTTTTGATGCCATAGGGCTGTCTAGTGGAGGATACAAACATTAAAAAAAAAAGCTAAATCCAGCAAATAGCTATAATTAGATGAGGGTTATAGAGAATAACCACAGACTCTTTCAGAGCATATAAGGAGGCGAATCTAACCCAGTCTCGGATTCTGGCAAATTGCTTCTGAAGAGTGACTCTCAGCAAAATCTGGAAGGATCACTGGGAAGAAATTAGCAAGGAAGGAGGAAGAAAAGAGAACAGTGCCTTCTAAGAAATATACCATGAAGTCATTTTTTTCCTATTCCTTTCTCTGCCCTTTTCCTTCCCCACACAGTCTTATGCAGCAGCACAATTTTAGCCATCCAAACTGGGCCAGTTGTTTTGTTACACTGTGGATGGTTGGAGATTGAGAGCTATGGGAATGGGTAGGAGTTAAAAACTGAATATAAATTAGGTGACAAGAGATGGCAAAATCATTTATTGGGATGATTAACTTATTAAATTGGGCTATTCCCATGCTGTTTTTCTAAAATTGTGCTCTGATGGCCATTTTGGAAGCCTGGTACTACCCACAGACTGGAGTATGTCCTAAGTAGGTTAAGAGCTTGGGAAAGATGCTTGCTGAGGGAGGGCCTTCTTTGTACTCTTTCTATCAATAAGAAATAATAAAGAGTTAAAGCATCGTTACATTTTAGATATACTTTCTCAAACTGCTGACATCAGAATTGCCAGGAGCCTGTTAAAAAGGCACTTTCTGTAGCCTTCCTATCCCAGGCCTTCTGAATTAGAATCTTAGCAGTAGGATTCCTGGCCACTGTAAAGTACTCTATTGAAGGCGTGGATTACCAGTGGGTTATTCAGAGGAGAACTTTCATCATTTTAGCCCCGTGGGTCCCTGCCTGATTTCCTGCCATCTCTCACTACCAGGACCAGCTATGTAATTTGTGAGGCCCCTTATTTAAAAAGAAATATTAGGAATTTCGAGACAGTGATGGTAGAGCATTAAACCAAGTATGGGGCCCTTTCTGGATGTAGGTCCCTCTGGGATTGCACGGGTTGCAAGCCCATGAAGATGTTCTTGTTCACCATTCCTGTTTGCCTTTTTAAAATGCTCCTGCAGTAATGAACTGCTTATTGCTCCCTGTGCATGATACTGTTTTTTGCCTTTGTCCCTTGGGTCTCACTATGTGGCATGCTGTGTTTCATCTCTTTTCTGTCACCTGGGCTTACCTCAGTTTTTGCACATACTGCGTTAGAATCCTGTGCAAGTCGCCCGTGCTATGCTGTGTGCTTTGAGGGCCCGGATCTGCTCTTCCTCATCTTTATATTCCCTGCCCTTAGCTGAGGCTCTGCCTTGGTCTTCTGTTAAGTGTGCTGAAAGGGATACTTTTTTAACCTGAATCTTTTCTTAAAACCTAATTAGGTTATAGGCCATTGGGAATGCAGATTTGGTTCAGAGTGAGGAGTTGGAGGCTGTGTTGCCCTAGTAGTGTCGTGAGGACTGCCTGGGCGTGACTGGTCTGAGACAGTGTGAGGAACGGGGTGTGAAACAAACTTATGACATCTCTGGCAAGTAGTGCATACTCTGCTGTTGACACCTTTGATAGCTGCTACCCTCTGATAACCAGTGTTTTTTTTTCTGGATCTCTCATTGAACTCTGAGTTTCTGGGAACAGCAGATTTTTCTGAGCCACAGGTTCAGATGTGTTAGCAGAACCTGAGGAAATGTTTCTTGCACCAGGAAGGTGGCCATTTTACTCCGTGGCTAATATTTGGAACTAGTCATTTCTGGATTGTTTGAACTAGCGTGTTCTGGGGAATTCCCCAAAGCTGGACGCACTTGTTAAATGAGGTTATGGCTCTGTGGGGTGAGAAATAGACCCGCCTACTATACTTAAAAGGACTGACTGTGTTTCTGCCTTCAGGTAACCAGAGGTAGTTATGAATTTGGGTGAAACCTCTTCATCTCATGATAGACTAGCAACTAGAGGTTCAGAGAAGTTACACAGAATATTCAAGGTTGATTCAGATAGTGACTGAATTGGGACTAGAATCCATGGTTTCTATTCTGTGGATTTTGAGTAAGATCACTAATCAACATGTGAAATCTTCCTTGTGTCATTCAATTAGAATTTAAGTGTCAAATGGATGGTAAAATCATTTCTTAGCTTATGTAGATCATAAAGATTAGCAAATCAAGGCAGAAAAAGACCCCCACACATATTTGTTGCCAGGTCTGCACTAATTTCTGGATAAAGGTTAGTATATATTTGGTCTACAGGGTGTGATTTGAGTGTAAGTTTTTTCTTTAGTTTTTAGATTATTGTTCAAAGTCCCCACTGACAGAATGCAGGGAGACAGCCTTGATTAGATTAGGCCAGATTAGATTAAATCGAATGGTTAAGGCCTTTGGAGCCTCCAGCTTGTAGGAGACACCATAATGGCCTTCATAGCGTCCTTAAATCCTATTAGGTAAGTTAATCTTATTGAAGATTTCAGGTCTGCATAAAGCAGTATTGCTCTTATACTCTCTATGGTGGGCTCTGCTTGTTAAGGTGAGCAGGCATTTTAACTTTCCGGGAATAAGTTGGTTTTATTGGTTTGGGGCAAGTTAATCTAAATAACTTGAAAGTAGACACCTGTGCCTGATAGAGAGGCCATTCCATGTAGCAAAATAGGCTGTCTCCTGGCTTCCCCTTTGCTTGGTGGCTGTTAGTACCTGTGACAGGGATTTTTTTTCTTTGCCCTGATTTGGGGAAAGAGAGTCAGGTGAGATGTGTAATAATAATGTACGGAGACAGTAGTATGGTTATGACACTGAGGCACTACTAGATATTGAGAATAAAGCACTTTGGAACTTAGGAGCTGGAAGCATTCTTAGCTGTCATTTTTTGAGTGTTTATAGTTTTATTATAGGTGCTAGTTGGCTCTTGCCTGTTTCTACAGGTGCAGTGACCATTTTTCTGAAGCAAAATATTCTTGTTGTCACAGGCTTTTCCTCAATTTGTGAATTTATGGACCTGCAAAGTTTTACAAACACATGAATTATGTCAAATTTTGTAATGTCTTTTGAAAAAAAGGGGGAAAAGTGTAAGAAATTTAGACCATGTAGGTCTGAAAGTATGCTTACTACATCGATAGTGGGGGCTGGAGGAACTGTGAAAAAAGTAATAGTAAATTTCCTTTTTTAGATCTTTGCCAAAGGTAGTTTTGTTAGATATAAACAACTTCAAGACCCACAAGTGACTACTACACACTGGATTGGCCTTCAGAGATACTGGGATTTTCTTTCCAAGTATCTTTAAAAATGAGGTTCGTAGTGCTTTAGCTAGGAGGCTGAGTGCCCACTATTAAGATCCTGTGAGTTAATTGGTTTGGTTCACAAACTAACTCATATTGCAGTGTATCTGGCTGTTTTGTGGCTGGGAGAAGGTTCCTGCATTGAAGGGACTGAAGTGACACTCTGACCTTGGGACTTCCAGTGCTGTTGTGGAGTGGGGACTTCCTTCTTCATGTGGGCTTGCTGGCTCTTCATTTATTGTCCCACCTGGGCTCTGCCTGTTACTCTTCTCAGGCCAAGAAGTGAGTTAGGTTCCTTATTTAACTTTTCTAATGGGGCAGCTCTGCATCTGTGTCCTGTCCCCAAAGACTAAAGAGAAATTTCAGGTGTGGGCCAGATTATGGAGCCTGAAGAACAGTTTTATGATTGATTAATGGTTTTGATTTGCTTTTAGGAAGAAAAGTGCAACTAGCCCATTGGATGAAGATAGTATCTCTCTCCAGCACTCCTGTATCAAGTGTACAGTGTTCTCTTCCTGTATAGCACTTGTATTTTCAAGAGCTAGGGTCATTGAGAGAACACTTCTCACTCATGAGTTTCAGAGCGTAGCAGAGTACACACACCTGAAGCAAGAAATGTAATTTTCTCTAAGTGTACTAAGAATTACTTTAATTCTCTGTATGTGCATGCATGTGCCCACATAATGGTGGTGGGTTTGGTTTTTTTTTTTTTTCATGCTCCTTGAGGAGAAATAACCCGTTTTTTGCTTTTATTGATTCACGATTACCTACTTTTCAGGGTTACCTTTGTTAGGAAGCAGCTGCTGGAAGAATGTGTGCTCATTTTGTACTTGTGTCCTTTACTTCTATGTCCTCTCTGACCTGAGGCTCACCCTGCCTGCCACCTCCTCTGCATCAGCCCAGCTTTGTTCTTCTGGGCCTGTTGTTTCCACTCTATGAAGAGACCTCCTTACTTCTCTCTGTCTCTACTTAGTATCCATTTCTGCTGAGGCAGATCCAGATGGGCAGAGGTTGGGGAGGGAATTTGAATGAGGGGAAAAATTGGATCAGTTAGGGGAAATTTATAAAACTTCTGTATTCTGTGCTAATAGTTCTCAGATGCTTTGGAATCATAAGACGGGATGTTGGTCTGGCGACCTTTGAGAGCTGCTCTTAACCAGCCAGTGGACAGCTATGCTTGCTTTTTCTTCCTGTCACCATCTCTGCTTTTCTTGCCCAATTTGCCAGGAAGAGTCCACCAATTCTTCATAAGCCCACTTTTTATTCTCTCTTTTGAAGTCATCTTGATTCACTTCCTACACCTGCAGCCCCCAGTCTTGCTTGATCTAGCTCCTAATCTTCTGCTTCCCTTTGGGACAGAGGAGAAGCTGCTCTCCTCGCCATGCTTTGCTGACATCTCCAAGGGGAAGGAGAGCACAGGCCCTTTCATATCCTGCCCCAGACCTTCACAGGGAGCAGTAATAATGCCTAAACCTTATTGAGTACTTAACATGTGCCCAGCACTGTGACAAACACTTCACACAGATTATCTCTTAAAATATTCAGGCCAGCCCAGTAAAGTTTATGTACTGTCATTGTCTGTCTTCAATTTGCAGATGAGGAAGTTGATGCTCAGGGAGGTTCAATAACATGCCATTATGTACACAGCTGAAATGAGTGATGCAATCAAGATTCAAACTAGGCAGCCCAGTTCCAGGGCTCTTGTCCAACTACTCAGGGAAAGGTTTTCGAGGTCACTGCCAGGATAGCTGGACTTGTGACGGTTTTCCTGTTTGAGATATCTACCCTTTTACATCAACCTAAGCACTTACTGTCTTTATATTTTCAATGAACTAAGTGGGGTGTTCTGGGTGGTCTTTGATGATGGCAACTGTGTGTTTTAAAGAACCAGAAAGAAAAATGTTTAGAGGTGGGCTTCTTTAGCTGTAGTCCCTCTTGACTGTGTGGTCAAATAATAGGGCTCCTGACAAGGAAATAAGGCTATAAGTGCTCTTGCTTTGTAAAGATTAGTTAATTGGTAGAGGTTGTGTTTCTGTGGTTAATTTGTGCTCCTGTCTTAGCAATACATGAGTATCCACAGGCAGCAAGTGTGTCGCCCAGCAGCCCCATAAAACAAGGCACTCTTCAGCACCAGCATCAGTTGATGCACCTGAATAACAATAGGGAAGCTTGTTGACCATTTGGCACTTCACAGCCTAGTAATTAGAAACTGTAAAACAATAATACAGACATGAAGCAAATCCTCCAGTTAATGAAAAAAAAATCTACAATCTTGCATTGTGGCTGAGTGCAAAATCACAACCGGCCGCTTATACAGCAAAGCAAACACTTCAGGATTTTGGCAGCTGTTTTGTGGATATAAAAAGCTCTAGGCTCTGTATTAATTTGGGGCCTGTCATATTTTTTAAAAACTGAAAACAATTACCTGACTTTCTAGTTTTTTGTTGTTGTTGTTGTTGTTGTTTTTAATTTACTGCAGTGGTTCTCAAATTATGGTCCCCAGTCCAGAAGTGTCAGCGTCATCTGGGAACGGTTAGAATTGCAGATTGGTGGGGCCCACCCCAGACCTACTGAACCAGAAATTCTGGCAGTGCGGGGCACAGTAATTTGTTTTTACAAGTCCTCCAGGTGATTCTGATGGACTTTAAAGTTTGAGAAACACTGAGGGTGTGGGAAGGGTAATTTGGGGGAAGGGAAGTGGAGTCCCCTCTTGGCCCCACCCAGAGATGAGCTTCTCTGTCTAGTGGTGGGATAGTTGGCTTGAGATGTGATATTGAGAATATATGAAGGCTCCCTACTGGGTCAGGAAGTTGGGGGAGTGTCTCAGGGGAGGGCCGTGCCTTCCTGGGGACCTGTTTAGGAGAAGGGTCCTGGGCAGTAGCTTGTTACTAGCCTTTCGGGAACAATTTCAATGTTTCAGTCACCCTCTGGGCTGTTGTACTATTGCAGTCAGCCCTGCTAGGCCCACAAGTTGTATGGGGCAGAGGAGAAGAGGCATGGGGACAGAAACCTTATATCCCAGGCAAAGCCTTAGCAATGCTGCTGATGTCATATGCTCATCGTTGTCAAGAATTGAAAATTAAGATAGTGATGAGGTGGTGGCAGGACAAATTTCTTCTTTTCACTGTATGTCCCCTTTCTCTTCTGGATCTCATTTCCCTGCCTCCAGCTATCTTGGCAGATGGGATTATTTAATAATTTTCTTGGGGCCTGTTGGCAAATGGCCCCTCTGCCCCTTCCCCAGTGTGTGGTGACCACAACAGTGACATAGCTTCATTTCACAGCCATTAGGAATCTTGACGCAGCTGACCCCTAGATCTCCTGGAAAGGCCTCTTGGGAAATATAAGCTTGCCACCAGAGTGAAGTGAATTCTCGAGTGGTATTACCACAGAGGCTCAGGTTCCTGATGCTCCTTGGAGTGCTAGGTTAACAGTCTCTCTGTTGGGGAAAAACTTGATACAAATAGAAGATTTGCTAATTTTGCTCACATTTCAAAATTGTTTAATTTGCTTACTTTTTTTTTCTCTTTCAGACTATTGGGTTTTATCTATCATTCCTTTTATTTTACAAAAAAGAACATAGGGCATGTTGGCCAGATAATGTATCCTGTTTTTTGATTTAATCACCCAACATAGCATGGGAATAAAAAGCTGAATGAGATGTAGCCTTGCTCCTCCCTGACATTGAAGAGACTGGCTTCTGGGAGAGGAAAATGACCAAGAAAAGAACCACCCAGATCTTGGGTTCAGTTTATTCTCTCTGTATTTTCAAGTGGCAGAACTTGCTTGAATATGTGAATTTGATGTTGGATCACAAGCCCAACATGTGGCTTCTGTGGGCATATGTAGTTATTTTGGATTTTATTTTATTTTAAAGGGTCTGTGTCCTGTTGGCTTTTAGGAGGTGATAGTTGCTGATTCTCCTTTCATGTGACATTCAGGGCTCATGGAGAAGTCAAAGGCTCACACTGGTGTTCACCTTCCTGGACTTCAGGAAAGATAGTCCTTTTGCCAGATGAATGGGAGGATCTAAGTCTGTTAGATTTCCATGAGTCGTGCAGCCTTTCTGGATCGGGACAGGAAGACTGACCCACTGTCCTTCCCAGGCTGCCTGCCGTTCATCTTGCTTTAATTAAATACACAGCTGATGATGTCAGCTTGGCTCCCGGCTCCTTCAGCTTTCCCCTCAGAACAAAACATCCGGGCAGACAGTTGTGACAATTAAGTCTCAAGACCCAAGCTTAGTTTGTTCTGAGGTAGTTAAGATAAATCTGCCTAAGCATCTCCAAATGCAGATAAAACCTAGTGCTGATTAGAGGTGACCCTCTAATAAACCTGATTTGATTAGGCAGAACCAGCGAGGTGCAGGCAAATATTTGAGACTCTGGCCAAGCTGATATTCCATTGACCTTTCACTTAGGGGAAAAAACCTGTTTGATTTTTTTCCTATCCCAGAGTACTTGAAAATTATTACCTATGGCAGCTAAAGCACTAGGGCGAAATAAACAGGTGAGACCTGTGGACTTGCCCTTAAGAGTCGCAGTCAGCTACCACCTGGGTTGTGCTTGCTTCCTGGCAGATCAGTGGAGAATGGATTTTGCCGGAGGTCCTGGCCTGGAATGATAATTAAAAAGGATGTTTCAGAACACACCCAGGTGCGTTCTGATAAAGCCTGAGCAGATGTGGGTGGTGAAGGATTTTTTTTTTAAAGTCAAACTTTGTTTATAAAGGTAACTTCTAACAATTTATTATAGAAAAGTCAAACTAGAATTGCATTAGTTTGTTTATATCAAGACCTCATTAGAAATTAAGGAGAAATTTCCTTAATTGCTCCATCTCTGGCTCCTGTAACAGTGGGCATACTTCTCTTCTTAGCATTTATCACATTGTTCTGTAATTGTTGGTTTACCTTCCCTTTTGTCTTAAAAAGCAGGGAAATTGTATAATTATTCTTGATGTTGCTCAAATGCTTGGCACCTGGGCCAGGTACAGGGATTGGCAAAGTTTGGTCCACAGGCCAAACCAGGCCACTACCTGTTTTTATGCGGTCATGAGCTAAGAACAGTTTTTGCCTTTTTAAATGATTGAAAACAAATCAAAGGATATATATTTCATGCCACGTGAAAATTATGTGGAATTTGAATTTCAGTGTTCATAAATAAAGTTTTATTGGAATACAGCCATGCTCATTCATTTACGTTATTGCCTTTGGCATCATTTTGCACTACAACAGCAGAATTGAGTAGTTGCAGCAGAAACCATATGGCCTGAATAGCCTAAAATATTTGCTATCTGGCACTTCACAGAAGTAGTTTGTTGATCCCTTTCCTATTATATAGCAGGCATATAGTGTAAATGCTTATTGTTTGAATTATTTCAAATATAAATCTGAGTTTACAAATAGAGTTATTCTGATCCTAAAAGTGTTCAGTGAAAGTTAGATGAATGACTGACCAATCTATTTCTCTTGTTATTCATTTGTAACCTTAGGTTTAAGTTTTAGAGGTAGTGGTTCGTTTATTAGAGCTAGACAATTATATACTATTTCTCTTCTGAGAAACTTTATAAAGAGTTAATCCTTATTACTTTTCTAGGTTCTGAACCTACTATATGGGATGCAGAGACACCAAGAGGCACAGAGAGGTTAAACTGACTAAGACACACAGTAAAGAAATGGCATGACTCTTCATGTCTTCATCTCTTTCTTTGTTTGCTAAAGCCATTCTTTGTGATGAAAGAGAAGTCAAATCTGGAGATATTCATGAGCAAACTACTGTCTGATACTATATAATGCATTATTTCTTATAGACATCAGTATCTTTGTAGGCTCTTTGGTTCATTACCAGGGAAATTCATTTAAAAAAATAATAAATATGTGGTTTAAAAAGTAAATACTGCAGAGAATGATAGCAATTACCAAATGTAAACAATGTGGCCTTTGAGAACCACTATGAAATTGTTTAGTGAATTAAATTATTATGCTTTTGCTATTCACATATCCACTTCCATTGACTGTTAAGGAATATGCTTCAAGGAGGACAGATGAGATATAGGTAAAGTTTATTTTTAAGATACTTAGGTAAAACAAAATAAACCAGCAACTGGCAGATGTTTGGTGACCTTGAAATCTGGCTTTTGTTTTGAGACAGTGTCTTTAAAATGACCAGTGCCACAAATGTAAACAGGGGAGTTGGAGGGCATTGGAGTATTCAGGAAGAAAGTGAGAAATCAGTAATTTGTAGAACATGACTAACTGGAACTATTGTTTGGTCTGCTGGGGTTTGAGGGAGTAGAGGAATTTGTGAAGAAGGAAAGAAGGTTAGGAGATGCATAGAGCAGAGAAACAAGGGTCTAAGCTTTCCTAGGAATCTCAGGTCAGACCCTTGTTAAATTTTGTCCGTATATTCATTGTTTGCTGTGGAATCTTTTAGGAGAGTGTAATTTTTTTTTCTGTTTTTCTCTTATTAAATAATTTAAAGGGATGACATTCAGGGCTTTGGGAAGCAATTTTTTTTTTTTTTTTCAAAACGCCGCTATACCTACTAATTGGATATCCATCAGGGGATGGATACTTACAACAGCTCTGCATGATAGGGATAATATTCCTATTTTATGGATGGGAAAGCTGAGGCTTAGTTGTTTTTTTTTTTTTTTTTTTTTGAGATGGCATCTTGCTGTGGCTGAGGCTTAGTTTAATTGGCTTTCCCGAAGTTTTACAGTTAGCAGCCAGAGCCAAGTTTCAAACCCAAATCTAGCTGACTCCAGGGGCCTTCTGTTGTTTCTACTATCCCACTTCCTCAGTGGTTGCATCCCAGAGATTTCATCGTTTGGTGCATAAATCCAGCCTAAAGCCATACTTCACCATTTTGTGTGAATAAATCTCTTCCTCATTTTATGACTCAGCTACCTGCTTTCTCTTTCTAACCTGTTATTTTGTACATCTGATTTGTTAGCTTCCCATGTTCCCTTAGCTTCCCTGCCCTTAGTTGTTAACCCTTTTGATCAATATCTAGTTGATTTTGCTACTTAATAACAGACTTTAGAGGGACTTCAGAGGATAAAAACTAGAACCTCCACCCTACTGAAAAATTACATTTGGTTTGCCGTTGGTAGTATGTGCCCCATCCTTCTGCCCTGGCACTCCAGGGGAATCAAAAAGGAAGAGCTGAGAAACAGCATTCCAGGCTTAGAGGCTCCACATTCTTTGGGTTTGTTGGAAGACTTCTTGGCAGCATTGAAAGATGCCTGTGTTTTCATACTGATTTTCCATCCTGGGCCACCTGCTTTCTCCCTTCCTGCTGTTTTCCTTTTGTACCTATGTGGTTGGTGCTTCTGGGGCTTTTTATAGCAGCTTTCATCATTTATACTACTGAGTTTTGCAGGCGCTTTTCTTTTCAATTTTTGATGTTTGACAGTATAGACTTTTATTTATTTATTTTTAATATGTTCACTTCTGAACCTTTTTAGACTTCATGGTGACAGCCTCCAGGAGAGGAAAAACAAAACAAGGGAAATTCTAGGAAGAGGCAGAAGGTAGTTACTATTGATTTCTCTGGATGCAGATCCTAACTGTTGGCAAATTTAAAACTTACTTATTTTGAGTGGAGGTGGTTCTGTGTTAGTGAGAAGTTGATCTGGAAAAGATGCTGATTTGGACATGGCTGTTGTAAAACTAATGATGAAGCAAAACAAAAGAAGGAATAGTGCATTTTGGCCAGGCATGGTGGCCTGTAATCCCAGCACTTTGGGAGGCTGAGGTGGGCAGATCACGAGGTCAGGAGATCAAGACCTTCCTGGCTAACACAGTGAAAACCCGTCTCTACTAAAAATACAAAAAGAAGTTAGCTGGGTGTGGTGGCGGGCACCTATAGTCCCAGCTACTTGGGAGGCTTAGGCAGGGAATGGCATGAACCCGGGAGGCGGAGCTTGCGGTGAGCTGAGATCGCGCCACTGCACTTCAGCCTGGGCGACAGAGGAATAGTGCGTTTTCACTTTTTAACCTTAGTTGCACAGGGTATGTTGAAAGCTACTGTTGGCTTCACCATGTCATTGGGAAGTGGGAACGCTGACAATCAAAGCAGCTAAACAAGAAGCAACTCAGGAATTATGACATTGGCGGCAAGTCTTTTGCCCCTCTTCAGAGGTAACACTACTAGATCTGGAGAGAGTTCTGTACATTCAGGGAATCTTCCTGATCTCTAAAAAATTTGAGAGGACTAGAGAGGAGTAAAGACTGGAACCTGGATAGATTGATTTGTGAGGGACAAAGATTCAGAGAAGACATTTTCTTGAAGGTGATGAACCTGCTTTACCAAAATGTTGTAAAAATTCTAAAGAAAAGTTAATTGGATCAAGTTGACAATAAATGTTAGAAGGGAAAAATCTTAAAGGGTAAAATTTGAAAGTAGAAAGTTTGTCCTGTCCACAGTGTTTGCCATTTCATAGACCAAGGTGGTTGGGGGAGGTGGGGCAAAATTACTGTAGTTTCCAGTGATCATTGCCTTCTCTCGGTCCTATAAATGCAGGCACTATTTAGCACTGAAACCATCTGGTGTTGGTGGTTGTTTCTTATGTCGTATGACCTGCCTCTATAAATACATTGTGTATAAGCTTAACTGGGACAGTAATTGGTGTGATCCTTTTCTTTTTCTGATCTCTAAGGTCTGAGGCCCATGACCAAGGGAAAGAGAAGTGCTTTTTAAAAAAACGGACACTTTTGTTGTTTTGGTCTCATGGTTTCACTGAGGTAGTGTTCCACAGTGTAAGACAGGTTAGGATTGTATGTTCCAGAATTATGAACAAGAGTATCCTTGGGAATGATAAAAACCATGCTGCAGTGTTGCATGTGTATTTGTGTGTTCCATGTGGAAGACCTTCTGGGCTGTGTCTGTCTTTGCTATTTATTTATCACCTGAAATGGTGCTGCTCAACCACTCTGTGACAGTGTTATTTTAACTTGAAATAGCATGAGGGTTAGGAGAAAATACCTCATGAATGTGAAGGGGGATTCTCCTGGGCGTATGTAATTGCAATGATTTGAAATGCTTTCACAGGTTTGTAGGAGAGGGTAATTTTTCTTCTTTATTTGCTCCTTTTATCTTGTTCTAAAGCCAGTATTACCTCCTCTCCCACCGCCCATGTATACTTCTTATTCCCTTCTCCTTCCCCCTCCCTTTCTCCCACTCTCCATGTAAAGAAACTCTTTCCTAATAAGAATCATAGGTATTCAGAGCTTTTTTTTTTTTTTTAATTAACAGTTGATTTGACTTTTTAGTACTGTGTAGGAGATGGGAAAAGTCAGGGCCATTTGATAGTAATTGCTTCCTGGAAGAGCCGACCAACTTATTATAAGGGTGAGGAGTGTTTGGAGGCATTATTTTCTGGTTCCAGGTGTGTTTTGAGTATTGCTGGTGGTGCTCAGCACTCTTGACATTTGGGGCTGGATTACTGCATGTTGCAGGAGTATCTTGTGTATTGTAGGATGTTTAGCAGCATCCCTGGACTCTACACACCAGATACCAGTAGCACCCCTCAAGTGTGACAACCAAAAATGTCTCCATAGGTTGCCAAGTGAGGGACAGGATCACTCTGGTTGAGAATTTCTGCCTTAGAAAGAGGAAAATGGATTCCCTGGAAGCAGAGGTTAGCCATTAACCTTATAGGGCTGGAGCCTTCATTTAAATGCTTTGGTATATTGAAAGCACCACTCAAGTATCAGTGGTGAGGGCACATTTAGCTTGTTGAAATTCCTGTGTAATTCATAAATATCATATTAGCTCTTGGCTTCAATTTCCTAACACTAGAAATGTAGATTTTTCCCCTTATTTTCAAAATGAGGAGGATTGTAGTAAAATATAGTAATCTCTGAGGTCGCTCCCAACCCTTACATTTTATGATTTTAGTTATAACAGACATCTTATGGAATTACACAATATAAGAGTTGAAAATGTATTTGTGATCATTTAGCCAGCCCTCTTCTGTTAGTTCTATCCCGTGTGATTTCCACAAATAGATCAGACCAGAAGAAAATAGTTGCTTTTTACAAGTGGATGTTATTAAATGCTCATATTTAGAATATTTATCAGAACAGACTTATATTACAGTGTTTACTTTTCTAACTGATTGAGATTCAGGTGACTTAACTGCCTAAGCTTCAACTGTCTGTTGTTTGGAATTAGGCTTTTAAAAGTTGGTCTTTATATTAATATTCCTATGCCTAAGCTGGTACTCTTATTGTCAAATAGCTTTATGCTCTGTTACATTAATGAGGGAAACTTTGACTTTCCAGAGTGCCTTGGCTGATATATTGGTGTTAAATTGGTAAGCTTTCTATCCCAACTGCTTTATTTATGCTTTAAACATAAATGAAAGCAGAGAATTTTTTTTTTTGGCCTGAGAGGTAGTTAAGAGGGAAATCTAATACCTTTTATGGGTTTATATGCTTCATATGTGATGTGCCCAACCAGAAATAATAAGATACACCCCAGATGTGAAGGTACCAGCTAATATAATTATGCTGGAGATCATTTTCACCTTTTGAGGGCTGAATTACATTGAATTCATTTCTTCAACTCTAACAGGATTTGGTATAGTTACTTAAATTTGAATTGGGAGCTGAGATGAAGTCCCAACACTTGTGCTTTTACTGGAAGGATTGGGTTGTGTATACCTTTTGTATTTCTGAAGCTTGATAAACTATAAAGCCTTGAGTATTCAGGTTCATGGCAAGGTTTAGATGGATGGGGAGGTATACTCTAGTAGAATCTAACAGCTTAGTATGCTTTCTGTGGGCTCTTGCCTGGAAACCCAATCTGAAGGTATAGTGATCAGACACAATGCTATTCTTAAGCCTTCTTGGAAATAACAGGTGTCTTAGCCTGTGGTAAAAAGGTAATTTTGCATGTATTAAATATTCAACCAAGGGCATGATCTGTGCTTATTTTGGCAAACAAATAGATCCCAAAATGAATCAAACAAATTGTAATGCAGAACAAATTTAAATACTTGAGGATTTGTTTTAGACATTTAAACTCATATTTTATCCTCTGTGTCTTCATAGTACCCTCAGAAAGAAAAGAATCTTTGGAAATGTCAGTGAAAGGGCAGTATAATCTCACACTGCAGTTGTGGTTCCGGACTCAGTCTGTGTGCCTGTCTTTCCTTTCACTCCTAGCCACGTGACAACACAAAGAGGGTACTTAAAGTGTTTATTTCACCCTGGAAGATTTTTATAGAGAGCACTTTTTAATGAAGCACAGCACATGGCATCATTATCATTTCTAACACAGAGAACTCATTTTCAATTTTGCTATCAAAGAAAAATGACAAATAGAGAATGCAAGAAAAACCAGATGGACTAACTGTATTAGGAGCTTAGTATGCATATTTTGTGTCACATATTAGCATTCATTAAGTCAAAAGGGAAAAAAATGAGTTTTGCCTACATGCATTAAACCAATAAGGCTGGCAAAGTTCCAAGCTAGCTCTTGTGAATTAATTGTTTTATAACTGTTTTAATTAAAATTGTTCAGTATATGATTAACCTAAAAGTTTTAATTTCCACAAAACTGTTGAACAAATGAGACATTAATATTTTACGTTAACCATGGCAATATTGCTGTGGTTTTCAGAGCTCTGCTTGTTCAAGCAAAGCATGGCAAGTGGTAGGTGGAAAGTACCCTGTGTCTCATGCCACTACTAAGAAAACCTGCAAATCAGAAGCAAATTCTATACACAAGCATTTATGTAGGCATCGCCCCAAACCCCCTGTTCAGACAGTCTAGTTAGAGCTGGGCACCTGTCATAAATTGTCAGGTTGAAGAGGTTAACGATATAACATGGCAAGAATACATTTATTGTCTTTTTCTTCCACCTGGCTTCATAGTAGTGTTGGTGTACCGTGTGAGATCCTTAGATTAGAAGGGGTTGGCCAGTAGGGACTATGAAATGATTGTTGTTAAATTCTAGGGGTTTAATTTAGGATATAGGTACAAATGTTAGTTCTGGAATCAAAGGGAAGAAAGAGAAGATTTGGATGACGCATCACCTTTACTTGAGGTTCTTTAGGTTGGCATCAGGCTAACTTTGGTAAAACCACATCCCATTTTGCAAATGGTAAAACAGGGTTGGTAAAATTTCACTGTGTATAGCTGTGGCTCCTGAAATACACAGATTTGCATTTCTGTCACTCCTCCCTCTCCCCACTTTCCACATGTACCCCCATCCTAATGTACTTCACTTTGTTAAAAGATGGGGATGTCTTTCCTCTCTCCTCCCCTAAGCCTTTCACTTTGCTCTGTGGATTTGGGTCATGGTGCTGTATAAATTCAAGGTAATGATGGTATTTGAACCCCATAGAAGGATATTTTAAGAGATAAGATTAATACTGCTCAGCATAAATGATGATAAAACTCAGGCTGTCCTAAATGTCTAGGTAGTGATGCATTTTTTAAGGCACTAGACTGAGCTTACCTTTTAGGTTGTATGACACTTGATATAAGCTGTCCTTACAGGTTTAAAGCTGTAGGAGTCTGGAATGCAAAACTGAACCACAGAAGTATATTGGCCTTGCACTTACATAGTCAGGATCATACGGCATTGTGATCTATCCAGATTTCCAGCTGCAGTCCTGATGTGGTCTCTTCATTACTTTGTCCAGCTGTTTCTTCCCAGACGGTGCTCTGTGTTAGCCTTCCCTTCTGTATAATCATTCTCTTCCCTAAATTTTTCTGTTTAACTTGTTAAGCACCAGATTCTGAATAAATTATTCATATAATCAGTATTTTTGAAGTAGTTAATAATCAGAGTATAATAATAAATTTTATGATTGTACAGGTTGCCATATTTGCCAGAAATCAGCTTTACACAAGTGATTTTTGAGATAAATGCTTTATTGGGCATGTTGCTATCTGTTCATTTCTTCAGGCTCTCTTGATTTCTATTATTGTGTGAAGTTAGGCCATTAGAAATGCGCATACCTGGACCATATTATTTAGGCTCTTCAGAGAACTGCCATCACGGAGTTAGAGTGCTATGTCCTTGGTAAATGGAAAGTAAGAGCCCTCAATTTAATAATACAGTATTTTATAGTCAAATAATACATCTGGCTTTTGTAAAACCTTAAAAGTAATCTGGTATCTTAATGTTTCATTATACATATGCATATATGTGTGTGTATACTCACATGCATATATACAGACATACATATGTGTACATATATTTACACATATACGTACACACAGTCATACACATATAAAAAGCTTCTCTAAGAATTTGGAGCGAGGAAAAAATGTCTGTCTTCTGACCAACATGTATACATTCTTCTAACTCTCATGTGTTTGTTTAGTGAATGAATGAATACTATGTAATTAGGTAAGAGAACTATTGCCTTACCCTGGAAATTCGAATCGTAATTCAGTAAACAATTTTAGGTACCCATCCTAAGTACTTGTTGATCAAATACTATTACTCTTTTGCTTGGTGAGTATTATTTTTCATCTACTTTTAACAGGTTCTTCTTTGGTTAAAAACTGACTTCTAAAATAAAACAAACAGAAAACCTACTTACTTCTAAGCCGTGATATGTCTGTATTGGAAAATAGGCACTGGCATTGCACCATGTTCCCCATGATAAGGAAACAATAAGAGGAATCATGCGTATGGTTCCTGTCCTGTAAAGTCTAATGGGTGGCTCACACCTGTAATCCCAACACTTTGAGAGGTGAAGGCAGGAGGATTGCTTGAGCTCAGGAGTTCCAGACCAGCCTAGGCAACATAGCAAGACTCCCATCTTGACAAAAAATAAAAAATTACCTGGGTGTGGTGGTGTACACCTATAGTCATAGCTAGTCGGGAGGCTGAGGTGGGAGGATCGCTTGAGCCCAGCATATTGAGGCTGCAGTGAGTCATGATCATGCCCCTGCACTCCAGCCTGGGCGAGAGAGTGAGACTCTATCCCCAAAAACAAAACAAAACAAAATACAGTACATGTCTGGCAAGAAGGAGAAGTACCTAGCTCAGTCCATTTTCTACTGAAAATGGGTAATATATAAAGAAAAGGAATTTATTTCTTACAGTTGTTGGAGGCTGAGAAATCCAAGGTTGAGGGGCCACATCTGGTGATGGCCTTCTCACTGGTGGGGACTCTACAAAGTCCTGAGGTGGCACAGGGCATCATGTGCAAGGGGGCTGAACATCTAGTTCAGATCTCTCTTCTGATAAAGCCGCTATCCCTACTCCCACAATAACCCATTAATCCACCAGGGCAGAGCCCCCATGACCCAGTCACCTCTTAAAGACTGTATCTCTCCATGTTGCTACATTGAGGATTAAGTTTCAATGTGAGTTTTGGAGCAGATGAACATTCAAACCATAGCAGTGCCAAAATCAAGCTTTTGTTTTGTTGTGTTTTTTTTTTTTTTTTTTTTTGAGATGGAGTCTTGCTCTGTCGCCCAGGCTGGAGTGCAGTGAGATGTTGTCTTGGCTCATTGCAGCCTATGCCTCCTGGGTTCAAACGATTCTCCTGCCTCAGCCTCCTGCGTAGTTGGGATTACAGGTGCACGCCACCACACCTGGCTCATTTTTGTATTTTTAGTAGAGATGGGGTTTCGCCATATTGGCCAGGCTGGTCTCAAACTCCTGATCTCAGGTGATCTGCCTGCCTTGGCCTCCCAAAGTGCTAGGATTACAGGTGTGAGCCACTGCACCCAGCCCAAAATCAAGATTTTGACAGTGGGGCTGTAATAGTAGTTTGGAATATACTTCATTTATTCTAGTTCTTTTCTCTATTTTATTACCTTTCTGAATGTGCTCTCTGCTCCCCTGGGGCCCATTCCCAATCCAGTAGCGGCAATTACCATTGGGATAAACCTCCTACCTCTGAGGCCCACAGTTTTCCTGACCATCTCTCTACAGCCTCACTTCCACCTCTACCTCTCCATAAAACAATGTGTATACTTCTGTTCATCAGCTAAATCACTATACCTATCTTACTTGTTTTTCTGATGCAACAAGCAGCCTTCCAAAAATACCACCAAGTCTAATAATCCTTTTGCTGTTTAGTACATCTTTTGTTTGAGGCTTACTGTCACATGACAGATGATGACAGGCAACAAATGACTGTTTAAATGGTCAACAGATGTGCCCATCCAGGTGACTCTCCTAATAGTTGACACACAGTGGGTGGAGGGATTGGGTTGTTCCAGATATTCCCTGTTGTTGGGCTAGCTTGCTCTTGGTGATTATAGTTTGACTTATTTTGCTTTTATTCAGTTTTTGTGGTTCTGTTTTGCTACTTGGTTTTGATACATGTAGGTAGTGTGGGTTCCATTTTGGTATGTGAAATTTCATATCATGAAGAAAGTTATGATTATAATGTAGCGTTAGTAATTCCCAGTGGTCATTCCCAAAAAATATTTTCTGAGAATGCCAGGTGTATATAAAAGTTATTTTTGAAAGTACACATGTAGTGTGCCACACCCTCTATCAAAACAGGCCCACATTACTGAAAGAAGGAGGGAAACTACCCATCCACTATTACTTTACAGTACTTAAAATATGCAGACAAATACATTTTAGCACGTGGTGATCTTTGTGAGGATATCCTGTCAATCAAGAGAGTAAATATCTTTTCTCTTTCCCATGAACCTAGCAACCAATTTGCTTATAGTTCCTTCAAAGCTGTTGTTAAGATTATTTTGTGGCTGGTTATGTCACTTGGCTAGAAAAATGGTACTGGAATTAAGTCAGCTTTAGCCCTATGCTGCCCATCTTTCTTAACTTATGGTCAGCCATATGTTTAGACCAGATGAGGTAGGAGGTATGATTGGATACAAGTACATTCCTGGAAAAGATAACCAAAATCATGTTCTACTAAAAGTGAATTACTGTGTTTTTTTCCTTCACATAAGAACAGCATCTTCATACCTATGGCAAGAACCTGTCATTTTTTTTTCTGATCACATATGTAAAAATCATTTGTTGGTAGTAGCAATTAACATAAAAGTCAGGTTAGTGATGTGGTTGGGGTGAGGGAGATTTGACCATTGAGAGACACACAAGGGGGCTTTTGAGGTACTGTAATGTTCTCTTTATTAACCATACCTGTGGTTGCAATGGTGTTCATTTTATAATTCTTCTGAAAAACAGACATGTTTTCTACATTCTGCTGTATGTGTAATATATTTTGCTATATACGTATGTTTTACTGGAGAAGAATTTCAAAAATACCTAAATAGCACAAAGTAGAAAATGTTATCAGTAATCCTAACACTAAGAAATAATCGCAATTTTTTTGGACATGTATCTTCCCAGTGTTTTGGGGACAAATAAAAATAATAATGTATATCTACTCCCATGAGTTAAGATTTTAAGAATGCATACATGTATGTATGTATGTGTATGTACAATATATATGTGTGTGTATATATATATAAGTATATACAAACCTGACTTTTTGATTTATTATATTGTAATATTTTGACATGAGGTTTCAGGATTCTATAGAGTTAATTTTAATAGCCATATAGAGTACCATTGTTTGGCTATATCATATTATTTGCCCAATCCTGTATTCTCTAACATTTGCTTGTTTCTAATATTTATGTGTTATAAATAACATGTATTTATCTTGTAGGTATTTAAAATTTAAATAGGCTAAATGGGACCCTTCTTTATGTAGTATGTAGATATTTCATAAAAGGTACATTTTGTTGGGAAAGATAACTCTGGCTTCAAATGCTTTTTGAAAGATGATTTTTTTCCCCTCAAAGAAAATTGAAAACAATTTCACTTTTTTTTTCCTTTTATGAAGCATGTGTGTGTCATTTGTTGTAAGAAGGATATGGCCCTGACATCTTCATACTCGATTGTTCTCTGTGAAGTTATTTTATTTATTCACTTATTGAACTCATTTATTGAACACCATTTGTATGCCAGGTGCTTTGTTCCAGATCTGAGGATATAGAGATGGAGACCTGGTTTCTGCTTTCACAGCCTGGCGACATAATGGATAGCAGGGTTTGGGATGTTGTCTGTCCATAGACTCTTGAGTTTATGGATCCAAATGTTTTTGCTTAGATTACTTTGCTGTGATTTTTATTATTAGACAGGTGATTTAGGAGCTTATGTACCAGAGAGGCTGTTGCTTTCCTCCCTCCCCAGCCCTTCCACCCCCAGACTGTATGTTCTTCTTTAAGGTTGAGTCTTGGAATTCAGAACTTGGTGAGCAAGACCTGACTAGAACAGAAATGGAAATGACCTTTTCATGCACAGCATGAGCATGACAGAGAATGGGCTGTGTGTTAACTCCTCTCTGATATTGCTGAGGTCCTTTCCAGCCCTAAAATTCTGTGATTTTTCTGATACTTGGGCCTTTGAAGATCCTAATACCCAATCCTTTCTCAAACATTAAATTTGTAGCAGAGGGGAAAAATTAAATTCCTCCTTTTTGAGACACCAGCTGAACTTTGCAGTATAAATAGACTCAAGAGTGAAAGAAAGGAGAAAAGTGCATTCACCCATCCCAGGAAATCAGATGGGGATTGAGAGTGTGTCTGTTCATCTTCTGTAAACAAAACCATTAGTAACATGGTTGTTTTTTACTTGATCCCTCAAAAAAAAAAAAAAAAAAAAAAAAAAAAAAAAAAAAGCAGCTGGGTACCGTGGCACGTGCTGTGTAATCCCAGCACTTTGAGAGGCTGAGGCTGGAGGATGGCTTGAACCCAGGAGTTGGTTACCAATCTGGGTAACATAATCAGACCCTATCTCTACAAAAAGATTAAAAAATTAGCCAAGTGTGGCTTTCCAACTACTTGGGAAGCTGAAGTGGGAGGATCGCCTGAGCCTGGGAACTCAAGGCTGCAGTGAGCTATGATTGTACTAGCACTGTACTCCAGCCTGGGTGACTGATCGAGACCCTGTCTCAAAAAAAAAGCATCGTTTTAGGGTTTCTATTTGAATAGACATTTCTGTGGCTTGAGTTTCGAGTTAGGAATGTTTTGGCATAGAAAAACCTGTTGGCCCAGAAACATCTGGCATCATTCACAATCAGGCCAAAGTAAAGGAAAACTAATTTTTTAGGTAGAATGTTGGCACCTGGAAGAATGGAGGCTGTAAGTTCTTTTGCTGGCAAAGTATAAAAAGAAATGTTTAGTGGACAGGTGTGTGAGTTAAACTCTAGAGTATAACTAAGCAGTGTGGCTGCCCATTTTTTACTTGATTTGCTTGTGCTTCTACCACCTTCTTAATGTGTCCCTGGAATGCCTACATGTAAAAGGATTCTGATGGAGAAGAAACTTCTAGACCTTAAGTGACTGTCCTGGTTCCAGCACTCATTTAGTTGCATAACCTTGGGCAAATCTCTCAAGAAATCTGTTCCGTCTTCTGTAGAATGGGGTAATAAACACTTACTCAGCCTGTTTCACAACATTGTTGGAAAGATTAAGAAAGCATATATGAAAGTATGTACTATAAGGTGATACTTAGGTATTATAAAAAAAGTGAACAGGGATCAGCACAAAATGTTTTGGCTGCTGCTGCTGCTGGTGTGTGTGTGTGTGTGTGTGTGTGTGTGTGTGTGTGTCTGTGTGTGTGTGTTTTGTGTCTCTGTGCCTTTGTCTGTGTTTCTCTACCACCTTAGATTTGGCAGCCCTAGTATCTAAGTGTGAAAGTTTGGGATGGATCTCAGGGTTTTTTTGGTAATGATGACTGACTGGTATGGCTATTGAATAAAATATTGAAGATGCTATTGGTCCTTTAGGACAATTAGTTTTGTCTCTCTCCTTTAAGGTCATTTGGATGAAGCAGCAGTTTGTGTAGAGGATACTAGTTTTTAAGATATTTTTGTCCTATTTTATTTTATTTTATTTTATTTTATTTTCACTGTTATTCCACAAAAATCTTTGAGCTGGCTTACAAAAATGTGTACAATGCAACAGAATTAAAATAAGTAGAAAAGGAATTGGGGCACTGGGAAATGGGTAGGGAAAATACAATAAAGCCATGTTAAGGCTTCTGGGCAGAAACATGCAAGGCAGGGTCTGAGGCAGTAGGTTGAGGGGGGGTCCCATATTCAGCTTCCCAGAGAGTAGAACAAAGAGGGGAACGTAACTTTTCTTTTTCTTTTTTTTTTTTGGAAATGGAGTTTCATTCTTGTTGCTTAGGCTGAAGTGCAGTGGCACGATCTCAGCTCACTGCAACCTCCGCCTCCCAGGTTCAAGCAATTCTCCTGCCTCAGCCTCCTGAGTAGCTGAGATCACAGGCATGCACCACCATGCCTGGCTAATTTTGTATTTTTAGTAGAGACGGGGTTTCTCCATGTTGGTCAGTCCGATCTCGAACTCCCGACCTCAGGTGATCCACCCGCCTCAGCCTCCCAAAGTGTTGGGATTATAGATGTGAGCCACTGTGCCCTGCTGGAACTAACTTTTCTTGAGAAACTTTGTCAATGGAGAAGATGTGTCCATGAACTCTATCTTGGATATACTTATCAATACACACAACGGTGATTTGTGAACAGTTGCTTTTATACCGTCAATGCAAATTAATAACACTGAGACAAAGCATGATTTCAGGAAAGAGTAACTATAAGGGGTCAAGATCATGTGTCTCACCTAGATAGCTCAAAGGACTGGCTTGAGCCAAGGACAATTTTTAGAACATGTCGAGGAGAGGATAAGCTACCTGTCCTCAGGCAGTCTACCACAAATACTCTTTATCTCAGCTGGGAGCTGACATCTCTCCCTGAAAGGTTTCCAGTGATATTGTGGCACAATTTGTTGGCCAGAATCCTAGAGACCCAGGGATGGAGATGCCAGTGCTGTCTTGAGAGTTCAGTGTCTTCCCTGTTGGCATCTTCTCTTTCTTGGTTCTGGCATATCTGGTTCAAGGATTAGACACATGAATTGATTTAGTTCTTTGCTGGAGAGGGCAGCAAAATGCCAGTTGTGATTTTTGGGCTTGGCTATGTTGGGAACCACTGGGAATTTGTGGACTGCCAATAACTCATTTTGTACTAGCTTTTGGGTGACCATTCAGTGGCTGTTATTTCAATTCATAGTTCAGAGTGACTGTATTTAGACCCATCATGTTTCTAGAGTTTTTTCCTAGATTCAAATCATGGTAAATGCTTTCATTAGATAATTTAGCTTATGCCCTTTTTCCTACTTTTATGTTTCCCTGTTGTTACTAGCCCTAGATACTTAAAAAAATTTTTTTTGGAAAGGACTGTGTGTTTTTAGATATGGGGATTGTATTCTGTGCTTTAGTGGGGCACAGAAGGAGACTGTCTGGTTAAGGCAAGAGATTGTGGTGCTAAAAAAGGAAATTTGGCAGGCCTGTTCCTGGTACTTTTAGTAAGTAAAGAAAGAGAATGACAGGCTGGCTGGGGATTGTATTAAAGGGAGCCCTGATCCTCATATGACCTTATTCCCTGAACCTAGAAAGATGGTCTGCCTATGTGGCAGTTATTCTATGGCGCTAAAGACAGTTTTGTTCTGCTTTCTGCCATGTATATTTAGGGGCCTAACGGAGAGATAGAAACCTGTTAAGGAATAATCATGGATGTTCAGGCCTATTGCTTCCTTCACTTATCCAGAAGCCAGCCTCACCAATGTCCATGGGCAAGTTTGTGTTCACACAAGTTGCTTGTAACAAGAGGGAAGATTCTCATTAAGAAGTTGGCCCTAAAATCAGGATAGAATCAGGCTATATTTGTGTTTCTGTCAATAGTCTGAATTCCTTATTGGTAGAAAGGTCTTATAATTATGGGGTAACTTTGCCAACTAATAGTACTGGGGTTTGATGTGGGTTACTTACATCAGAAGTCACATCAACTTTTTGACATTAGTTTCTATTCCACCATGTGCTCCAGGGAAAAGGAGATTGATGTGGACTATTAAGCCAAAAATGAGAATCTGTTATTGAAACCCAGAAGTCTGAAATAAGGGTTTAGTGATTGTTTTGTTTAGACACAAACTTTTCTTCATAGATGCTTTAACTTCCTAAGTGAGTTTATATATTTTTCTAAATATGTAATCTTTTAAAAATATTGCAAATATTTAATTTATGTATTTGCCATTTAACAGGTAAAACAGCACCAGGAAGTCTTGCTCCTGTTTTGCAAAGGCACATTTAGAGAGTGACAGAGGTTTCCCACTGTGTCTGGGACAAGCCTCCCAGTGTGTCTGGGACAAGCCTGAAAAGAGTGCCATTTTGTCTCCCTGACCATTTCACTGATTCTGTACTTGTTGTTTATGAAACTTCATTATGTAACAGACAAAAAAGCAATTTCATGAGCAATTCCTGGAATAGGCAAGTGGACAAAAATTTCTCAGGTACCTTCTCTGGAGGCTGTTTGTCTTCCATTCTGGCTGCCTCTCTTGAGAACTGGAGTGGCATAGTGGTTAAGACCAGGGGCTCTGGAGACTGCCTGGATCTGGGTGCTGGTCTGACTCTTGAGCTGTGGGACCTTAACTTCTCTGTGCTTACTGTCCTTACCTGTGAGATGGAGATGATTGGAGTCTCCACCATGTCAATGTATCAACACTTCTAAATTATTTAGAGCAGTGCCTGAGACATTGTAAACACTTAATATATGTTGGTTGTTATTGTAATTTTAATAATAATAGCTATTAAATTATTATTCTATGGCTGTCATGCCTGAGAGTTCATCACAGGGGCATGGGTGGGTGGGTAGGGAATAAGGGCTGAGAATCTAATCAGTTATTTTTAATTTATTGGGCAAAAATGAATCAAATAACCGTGGCAGGCATAATGAAATTGAGGTATTCAGTGTGTGGTGAGGATGAACTGTTTTATCACAGTTCCTCTGGTGTGGCCTGTGTGCTTTGATTGCAGGTCAGATGGCTAGGGAAAAGAGTAGTCAAGCTGAATGCTCTGTGGTGAGGCTGTGAGAGGGACAAGAAACGTGGGTCAGGACAGAAGGCGTACTGCAGGAACAGATTCCGAAGTGTGTGCACAGCATCCTATAATTTGGGCTCCTGTGTATTTTCTTTAGTTGGTTGCATTTGTTAATATGTTAGTCTGGTGTCTTTAACCCTGTGACTGACAGTTGACAATGGTGTAGCTCTTTAAAAGAGGTGAAACTGGTCTGACCACAGTTTACCCTTGATAGTGCTTTCACTTTGGCAACAAGACAGAGGGAGAAAGTCCCTGCTTCTCTGCTCTGGGAATCTTACCAAATCAATAAGGAGTCTCTGGTAGCACTAACCTCTTTTAAATAGCCTAAGTGTGAGATCCTGACCTTTTTTTCTGTATGTGGCCTACTTCCTTGATGAGAAGCTGGCTTTTATATTAGAACTTTTTTAGACGTACATGAAACTTGAATCTTGCTATTTGTTTCCATTGTTGCTTTTAAAAAATAATTTTACAAATTTATTCTAATAATATACTAACGTATTTTGTCTCCAGGACTAGTGAAACTTTTTAAGATTTTTAACAGATTCATCTAGACACCTAAATCTCTCTAGGACTTGATCCTTCTCCACCCAGCAGAATACTGTACTGTGCTGTGATCATTTCTCAGGGTGGTTTTGGCTGAGGGTTTTTTTTTTTTTTTTTTTTTGAGATGGAGTCTTGCTCTGTATCCCAGGCTGGAGTGCAGTGGTGTGGTCTCATCTCTGCAACCTCTGCCTCCCGGGTTCAAGACATTCACCTGCCTTAGCCTCCCAAGAAACTGGGATTACAGGTGTGCGCCACCACACCTGGCTAATTTTTGTATTTTTAGTGGAGACGGGGTTTCTCTATGCTGGCCAGGTTGGTCTCGAACTCCTGACCTCAGGTGGTCCTCCTGTCTTGGCCTCCCACAGTGCTGGGATTACAGGTGTGAGCCACTGTGTCCGGCCTTGGCTGAGGTTTGACTCTTTGCACCCACAGTCCCATGATGTGTGTACTTGTATGTATATATATTCACATCTGAGGACTGACATCATTTCGCAGACCGGGAAACTAAGTGTGAGGAGTACATTTTAAAATAATTTTTACATTATATATTGGCAGATCATCCATGTGCTTGTAGAAGGTATTATATTGGTAAGCTGCAGGTAGACAGGAAGACTGAAAGAGAAGGTAGAACCTGCTTGGATCCCAGTCTGTGCATACCTAAGGAGTTGAGTTGGCAATTCCTGAACCAAAGGTTCTGGTGTTCAGAAATATCTCCAGTTATTCAGAAGGATGGCATGACATTCTAAAAATAAGAAATTATTTGTAGTCACATCAGTGTGTAATATACCTTACAGAATATTAGAAGGGAGATGAAGCATTTGGGGATTCAAAGGAACTAGTTGTAGACCCTTAGGTATGGCCCTGAGACTACCTAGGGTGGCTTTTGTAGCAATCTAAACCTGTATCCTGGGATGTTAGCATCTCTGAACAAACCTTTTCTCTCCCCTCCATTGAGATCACTTTCTTTAAAGTCTTTATGCATTTAGAGAGTTGCTGAGGCAAGGCCATGTCCTGGTTTGCTCTTTTTAAAATGCAGATGTTTCTAGAAATGACTATAAACTGAGTCCTGAGCCACCTCTTGTAACTTTTCAGGTCTTGGTCTGGGGGAAGATAAAGAAATGGAGGTCTTATGCTTCACAATTTGGTTTAAGTCAACTATGGCAAGGTATCTTGACTTAAATAAGTGTGACTTAAGTAAGTCTGACAATTTAAATATTAGAATGGTAAGACATTTTTGTGCCTCTATAGCCATATGTCCATCTTGGGGAGGAAAAACTGAAAATAAACGATGATTACTTTTCAGTATTCTGTGGAAATCTTACTTCTCTTTTTAGTTAATTTTTCAGTGGATAGGCTCCCTACCTGCCAGCCCTAAATTCTTATTTATTCCTGAAACTCTGGTTTTTTTCTTTTTTCTTTTTTTTTTTTAAAGTATTCTGAAACTGTTTTCTGACCATGCTTCATATATTGAAGTAGATTTTTTTCACAGAAGGGTAAAGGAAGTGCATTATGTTTCATATGTAGATGCTTTTCAAGAACACACAGCTTCTCATCATTCATTTTAACAGTGGACAATTTTGGTGCCTGTTTATGGAGATTCCTTGGGAATTATCAGCTGATAGAAAATTTCTGAAGAGAGATAGAAAATCTAATCTATTTGGATGTCTTGTTAAATGGAGCTTTTTGAGTATAAGGGTTTCTGAAGAAATATAGGCTGTCAGAGCTGATAGAGTTTAGAGAGTCTCTGTGTACCATTCTTTATAAATAAAGACAGCCAAAAGCCCAGAGAAGTGAGGTGCTTGATGTTAAGATTTAGTTAGTGGCCCCCTACTGGTCTCTGAGCTGCCCATCACTCTACCTTGACTAATAGTGATAACTGATGTTTCTGGCAACAAATCCAAGGTACAAGTTTTCCAGGGTCTTCAAAGGAAAGCTACATTATATTAAAGTTCATGCTGAATATCTTTTATTGTGTTCTGATAGTTTGAAAATTGGTTATTTTTGTACTGTTGTAAAACTATAGTGCTTAACTGGAAACCCCAGCATTAACCCAGCCTTTGCCAGCGTTTCCCTTCTATAGGATGAGAAAGTTGTTGAAGAGTGAGGAAAAAAGATGGTATCTTGTCCTTAACAAAAGGTCTACGTGGATGAAAGGAGAAACTGACACTTATTGTTAGGGAAATGGTAATGCTTACATGATGATCTAATCTGGGTTTGAGTTTCGTTTTTGAAGTCACCAGTTTTTATTTTGGTGTTTTTCAGATATTCTTATAGCCTTCCTGGGGAGATTTATTTTTTGGAGACATCGCTCACATTGTTTACTCCTCTAGGTTAAATGTACTAGGCCATCTGTTGTTAATTTTGTAGTTGTATTAAATTCCATCCTTTGGCTGGATTTTAAGCACCAAAAGCAAACTTAGACAGAAGCAGGAGCATTTGCAAATTACATAGCTTTGAGCCTAAATGGTGGTTTTTATAAGTGCAGTTTTCAAATGGGCTGAGATTCTATTTTGAGTTTTGGGATCAGTAATTTAAACACAGGGACCTCTACGAGTTCTCTGGAAAAGCCCATTTTGAGACCCTGAACAGTTGTTATGCCAAAGCAAGCTCTTGGGGTAAGGTTGGCAGTGATGCTGCTGATAAATTACTTTTAAGATGCTTGGGGCTGAAGGACAATGATTTTGTAATAGTGTTTTAAGTTCTCAGGCTGACCTATGAAATCTGGAAGTGCTCATCTGAAAGGCCAGTATTCTTTCTGACAGGCACAGGAAAAACTCGTCCCCTGCTTGATCCTCATGCAAGCATTTCTTGGAGGAAGCCAGGCCTGTGGGTCTTGGGGGCCAGAACAGAGACACTGAGAGCAACACTACTGGCATTTTGAATTTCTGCTGAGGCTGCAAAAACATTTCAAGGGAAATCTGAAGTTATCCCTTCACTGTCTACAGCCTCTTGAATTGACTTCTGGGTGTTACAGATGGGACCAGCGTGTGTAAAAGCAGAATTTATATTCTATTTGGATATCAGAATCAAGTTTCTCTTTTTAAAATAATTTTATGGTAAGTCGTGGTTTCTCTGATATGATTTCTGTTGTGAGCGGAACAAAAATCATGGCGAAATGGTGTTATTACTTAACCAAATTGCCTCGTGTACAGACAGGCTGAACTGGTGCTTTGCCTAGAGTTGGCCTGGAGTTTTCAGAAACTCAATTGTGGCCTTTATAAGGCTGTGCCTGGGGTTGTATTTCCAATCTCTCTCAACTTTTGTTCTTGTGGAAGGGAGGAAGTAGAGCTGTGACAGATATATTGCCAGATAGCACACAATAGCACACAAAACGAGAAAGACACGGCGTGAGCCATTCATGGAGACAGATTTACGCTCTGTGCTGCCCTCAAACCATAGATCCATCTATTTCAGAGAAACAACTTGCCCACTGTATTATATTTCAGACAGGGACATGGCTTAGAAGAGAGATGCTGACTCCTTCTGTTTAGCTTTTGCCGATAATGCTGCACGTTTTGCTGTAGAATTACTTTTGTGGGGATGGGAAAGTATGTTTGGCAAAGGAAGGCCTGTCTCTAGATTGGAAGTGGAAGAAGGGAGATATCAGGAGAGTAATTGGCCATGCTGTCGCCATAGTGAAGTATATGTGTATATTTTTGCTGGGTTTTGTTTCCAGCCAACTATATTATCAGGTGTTGGATTTTTTAAACTTACTTCACAATAAGAAAAACAAAGCTAGAGAGATTGTGACTGGCCAAGGCCAGAATGTTTGGCATTCGTAGTTTCTCTTTAGTTCTCTCTGTAGGACCATTTCCTGGAGTTACAGAAGAATTGACCAGTGTGTCAGTGTCTTTCATGTACATTAATGGGCGATAGTATTGGTAGTGGTTAATATAATAGCATGGGTTCTGGAACCAGTCTGCCAGGATTTACATTCAGGCTCAACAATGCCTTAGCTACATGCCTCAGTTATCTTACCTATAAAATGGGGATTCCAGGTCTTACCTTATAAGGCAGCTCTGAGAATTGTTTAGTTAATATTGAGGCAGTTATAACTAAGTGTTCAGTAAACTTAGCTATTGCATTTTAAAATTTGTGTTGATTTTATGGAAATAAATGATGATGTGTGATACCTGGTAGATTGTTCGGCAGACATTTCAAATGTAAAAAAATAACTCTGTCTGCATTGAAATCTTTCTAGATTGATAGTTTTAAATAATGAAAAAAATACTTCTGGGAATGATCTACATTTGGAAGAAATCAGGAAAGAGAAGACTGTGTGTACTTTTGCATTTCTATGTTTTGGGCTTGTAAGATATGTGATTGTATATTTCATGTCAGTAATAATTTATTTTGGGGAGTAGAAGCAAATGTCAGTTACATACATCATCTATGGAATAGATTTTTAGTTTTATTTATTTTAACTGGATGAAATGGTTGAGTGTTGCCTTACTTGGTTGAATTTAGACATTTGAGAAAATTTTTTTTTAACTTTTGTGACACACAAGGACCTTTGAATGAAATCAGTCCCCTTTTCTTCCTTTAAAAAAACTTATAAGAATTACCATTTCTTGACTAAACAGTTGTTTTCTTTTAACATTATATACTTGTCTCTACATAGATACTACATTTTTTAGTTAGATGTGTTTTGGAAGAGCATTGACTTTTTTTCCTGTTACATTGGAAAAATTTAATGGCACGTGTATGTTATTCTTATCATGAAGTGGGTTTAGGCATGCTGCCTTATACTAAATAGAAATCCTATAGTAGTTGTTTTTCAGAAGTAATCCATTGATTCAAGTCATTCATTGATTCATTTATGAATACTTAAGTATGGTTACATAGGTAGGGATTGTCAGAATTGGCTTTTGAGCATTTTGTTTAGCAGTTATAATCCAGGTGGCAAATATACTGTCTGATTCAATTACTTGCATGAAATCACTTTAAACAGCTACTTAAGATGAGTTGTCCCTAGGCCTGTCTTTATCTACTTATTGTGCATGTGTGCTAGCATACACGCATTATCATTGTTGTTTTTTATTGTGTTAAAAAAATATTACAAAGTGTACCATCTTAACCATTTTAAAGTGTAGATACTTCAGTAGTGTTAAGTATAGTCATTTCATTGTGAAACAGAGCTCCAGAAATTTTTCATCTTGTGAATATGAAACTCTATACCCCTTAAACAACAACTCCCCTCCCTTGTTCCCTCCAGCCCCTGGTAAGCACCATTCTCATTTCTCTTTCTATGAATCTGAGTATTTTATTTTATTTTTTATTTTTTGAGACGGGCTCTCTGTGTTGCTCAGGCTGGAGTGCAGTGGTATGGTTTCGGCTCACTGCAGCATCCATCCCCCAGGTTCAAGTGATTCTCCTGCCTCACCCTCCTGAGTAGCTGGGATTACGGGCTCGCGCCACCATACCCAGCTAATTTTTGTATTTTTAGTAGAGACAGGGTTTCACCATATTGGCCAGGCTGGCCTTGAACTCCTGACCTCAAGTAATCCGCCAGCCTCAGCCTCCCAAAGTGCTGGGATTACAGGCATGAACCACCACACCCAGCTGAATTTGAGTATTTTAGATACCTCATCTAAATGGAATTACATAGTATTTGTCTTTTTGTGACTGACTTATTTCACTTAGCACAATGTCTTCAAAGTTCATGTACCATATGACAGAATTTTCTTTCTTAAGACTGAATACTGTTCCATTGAATGTATATACCACATTTGTTTATCTCCTTATCCTGTGATGGACATTTGAGTTGTTTTCACCTCTTGGCTATTGTGAATTAGTGCTTCTATGAACACGAGTGTGCAAATTTCTCTTCAAGATCCTGCTATCACTTCTTCTGCATATGTACCTGGAAGTGTGGGATTGCTGGATCATATGGCAGTTTTATTTTTAATTTTTGAGGAACCTCTGTACTGCTTTCTATAGGAGTCATACCATTTTGCAGTGTCACCAACAGTGCACATGTTCCCCAGTCTTTTAAACAGCCCCTTCCAGACTGACAGAGTGGCTACATACAGAACAGGGCAGCTTTGAAGATTAGGGTGGCCTGTTCCAAGCTTCTTCAGACTCCTCGGGACTGGCTAATTATTTTTGTTAAGGTCATACTGCTGGACCAGGGCCTATAGGTTGGCACTGACTTACGCATAGAATGTTGGCCTGGGTGTTGATAGACTTAGGCTGCAATTGCTATGAGTGATCTTAGGCAAGTTACCTCCACTCTGTTCCCTGCCATTGTCATCTGTAGATGAGGTGGTTATGCTTCTCTCTATTTCTTAATTTGTTCCAAAATCTTATTGTTTGTTGTAGAATCCAGGCATCTAAAAAATATACTGTGTGTAGCTTCGTGTAATTATTTGATAGACTGGATTTCTTTTTGCACCAGATAGTTCGGTTTTTTTGTTAAATGTCTCCTTTTTCTTTTCTTACTCTTTAACTGCCCCAAATACTAAGTGACGAGGATGGAGACCTTGGCAATTGAGTGCTATCAGTGAGTCTGAATGCCTGGGTTCAAATCCTCCATTTACTAGATGTGTGACCTTGGAGAATGTAACAAACTGTTGTTTCACAGTTTCTCCATCTGTGAAATGGAAATAATAATACGTTTGTGAGACTTAGGTGAGTTAATGCCTGTAAAGTGCTTTGCATGTGTCTAGCCCATAGTAAGCACTCATTAAACTCTTAATTATCATATAATATGCTAATTATGATGGTGGTAAATGAGTGAGGTCATCTTCCATTTTGGTCATACTCCACATTTGGGTAGCTTTAGACTTTCTGAAGATACTATTTCCTGTAATGTTTCTTTGTAGGTGGGGAGGATATACCTATTACACAGTTAGAAAAACTGAACAGTAGAGATTATGCTTTATATGGCTGGGATTAAAACTTCAGTGTCGTGTTTAGAGCCTAGTACTTCCTGGCCTGGCATGTTGTCCTACACTTAATGACTGTGGGGCCTGAGTGGGTTCTAATGTTAGAATCTGGTAAGAACTCTTCCTGACCTCTTTGCCCATTTATAAACAGCCTTCCAGGGTGACCTGAGTAAGATCATTTTCTAGCTGTGTAATCCTGGTGGTATGAAAACACTGGATGTCTATAGTTTTTTAGAACTGTGACTTAGTACTAATACTAGCCTCTTCAATACTCATACTCTTAAGGCTTAATATTTGTCTCTTTATTGATTTACATATTTGAAACCTAGACAGTCTTTTCAAAGGTGAGTAGATATTTTATATGTCTGCCTTCTGGTCGGTAGCAGCAGTTGTGCAGTTACTCAGCTGTTGGCAGTTCTGTTACTTAATACAGAGGCAGAGAGCGAAAGACTTATTCAGAAACAAAACCTCTGCTTGAAAAGTTCTCAAGGCCAGCCATGGTGGTTCGGCCTGCAGTCCCAAGCTGGTGTGGCCTGCAGTCCCAGCACTTTGGGAGGCTGAGGTGGGAGGATCACTTGATCCCAAGAGTTTGAGGCTGTAGTGAGCCATTGATATGGCTCCGTTGTCTGGAGAAACACCCAGGGTCTCTGGTCTCGTGCTGAGAAAATCAGCAACATAGATACACATGGAGTGGTTTAAGGAGCGGAAAGTTTAATAGGCAAGAAAGAAGAAAACAGCTCCACCGTACAGAGGGAAGAGGGCTCAGAACGGAAAACCCCCATTGCTGGGGGGAATGCCGTAGGTTATATTGGGAGGCTGGATGAGGCGGTATCTGATTTGTATAGGGCCCAGGGGATTGGTTTGACCAGGCTTGTCATTCACATAGCCCATGAAAAACTGGCCCTCCTATCCTAGTCTTTTAATATGCAAACGCAGCTACCTGGCTGGTTGCCATGATGTCCTGCCCACATAGTCTCTACCTGGCTGGTCGCCATGATGTCCTGCACACGTGGCAACAAAAAGTGGCAGGAACCGCCATACTGGGTGGACCTGGCTTTTAGTTGCCTGCATTTGCATATCAATGCTTGCAGGTCTGGTTTTTCAGTCTGCTTTCTGTTAGAAAAGAAATGTTTTGGGGGCTGCTTTTTCAGTAAAAGAAAAAGCCTCACCGAGGACTCTTTTACCCTCTCTATCTGCTTAAAATAATTCTTAATAACTCCTGTAATACCATGATTGTGCCACTGCACTCCAGCCTGTGTGACAGAGCAAAAACTATGACCCTGTGTCTAAAAAACCCCCAAAAACCCAAAACCAAAAAACGAGACTGGGCGCAATGGCTCACACCTGTAATCCCAGCACTTTGGGAGGCTGAGGCGGGTGGATCACTTGAGGCCAGGAGTTCAAGATCAGCCTGGCCTGTTACATAGTGAAACCCTGTCTCTACTAAAAAAAAAACCAAAAAACAAAAATTGGTCTGGCATGGTAGTACACGCCTATAATCCCAGCCACTTGGGAGGCTGAGGTAGGAGAATCACTTGAACCTGGGAGGTGGAGGTTGCAGTGAGCCGAGATTGTGCCACTGCACTTCAGCCTGGGCAGTAGAGTTAATGAGACTCCGTGTCAAAAAACAAAAAACAAAACAAATGTTCTCAAGTCATGTTCAAGAGATAATGGCGGACATAATGGAACCTCCCTAAATCTGATTTTCTCCAGCTATAAAATGAAGGGCCCAGATCAGGGGATGCTTAAGGGCTTTGCAAGTTCTAAGACTCAGCCATCTTGAGATTGGAAACAGCCCTGTAGGTTCTTAGGGCATGATGAAGACCTTTGAGGAGAAGTATTTTAACAGCTTTGTGTCTTGGGGAGGAAGAGTCATGGGGAGGTGATTAGGTGGGCATTAAAGGAGCAACTGGAGAAAGGAGAGACTAGGAGGCTGTTTTGATAATCCACATGTGAGGTAGACTGCCCCTTCCTGAGTGCCTGAGGGGCACTTGCACCTTGGGACAGGGTCAAGGTTTTCTCTGAGATAGCAGCTCCCACAGGCCTAGGAGCCTTCTTTCATGAGCTTGCTGCCCTGGTTCATGAGGGAGGGATTGATGGATCTCTGCCCCGTTCTGTTTTTTTGCTAGCACTGTCTTCACACCCTGTTGCCGTTTATGTTTTTTGATGAATGATTAATTAGAAAAATAATCATTTGTAAATTGTGAGTGAACCAGACATTTGGCCCTGACTGTAGGGAAATGGCGCCTCTGAGCCGGGTGTAGCTTGCAGCCAGTACATCAGAGCTCCAGTATTCCCAGACCAGTGATGAATTTACATGAAGTTCCTTTTCAGCATGTTAATGACTGTTACAGCTGAGTAACTAGCGAAAAATAATAGCAAATGGGAAGAGTAAATATTTAATGCTTTTATATCTTTTAGCTTACTGTGGAATATGTATTTTGATTTAGGAAGGACATGAGAGTCTTAGAGACATTAGAGACAATGTTAGTGTGTCTGAGCCTCATTCCTTGTTTCCTTTTCTTTCTTTGCACTTAATTAAATTAAAAGGATAAAGTGAGTTGTTGTGAGATGGATTTTACTAGGGGAGTGGTTTTTCTGTAAGTTTTAGGTCACAAGATGCGTCTTTCCTGGCAGTTAAAATCTGTATGTTCAGACTACCTCATTGATTACGTGCCTGGTGTGTACAGGGACTCATATTGTTTCTAAAATTCAGCTTTCATCATTTTACTCTCCTGCTTAAAAACTTTAGTGACTCCACACCGCTTCTGGGCTGAAAGATATACTCAGTAGCCTGGCTTTTAAGGGAGGGCCTCTGTGCTGTGAGTCCAGCCTCTTTTCAGGCTCTCTCCCTAAGGCAGCTCCATGTGGCTACATTGCTCAAGCCACAGTGGTTGACTCCCTGTTCCTGTAACTTGCTGGAGGCTTCCTCACCTTTGCACCTCTGCTCAGATCATTTTGGGGCATGAAATGATCTTGTCTTTTTCTCTATCTAAAGCCTGCTTTTCCTCCAAGGCTCAGTTCTAGACGTTTCTGTGACTACTCTGACTGGATAGGAGCCTGTTCATTTTGGAATATAGAGAAAATTGAAAGTAGGTCACAGTTCTCTATTCCTTCCAGTTTGCCACCTCTCTACCACAGACAATTAATAATGAACCCTACTTTTCCCCACTTCCTGTTTGGCCACCATCTAGTCTTAGACAAACTAAGCTATTTGTCCAGGTAAACAAGTAGTTGTGGACTACAGAAATTTCTGAAGATTAGAATTGAAGTTAGTAGGGAAACAGGCCTCAAGGATAGTGCCATATTTTCTGAGAGCAGATGATTTTCAGACAAAAGGTTTTACCAACAGCATTCATATAAAGTACTGCTTTAGTCTGAGTTTGCAATGGTAGAAGTAGAGTATCTAAAGAAAGGATCCATGCCCTTTTTTTTTTTTTTTTTAAATAGAGACAATGTCTCACTATGTTGCTCAGGCTGGTCTGGAATTCCTGAGCTCAAGTGATCCTCCTAAAGTGCTAGAATTACAGGCATGAGCCACCACACATGGCCAATCCATGCCTTTTTACTCTGTTGTAGAGACTGTCTTGGAGTGTTGAGTTCAGACCCAGATAAAACAATAATCTTTAGAGGAAATGACCAAGATGACCAGAGGTAGGTCTGAAAACATGAAGGCCGTGTGGGTAAGAGAGAACAAGGGAGTCCATGCCTTCTGTTTTCAAATATTTAGGAGGCTACTGTCAGGAAGGAGGGATATTAGACTTCATGTATGGAACCATGGAGTGAGAACAAAGATTGCTGGGTGTAGGTTATACCAAAGATAAATTTTATGCCAATATAAGAAATAATTTTCTCATAGTGCTGTGATAAAATGAATTTCCCCAGGAGATAGTTTCCCAAGTAGGAAGGGATATGAACAACAGGAGCTGATATTTGAATCGTGAATATACGTGGCCTTATAGTAAAAGGACCACAGATACTCGAATGTCAGACCTTTAGGAACAAGTCATTTTCTACTGTAGGATTTTGGAGGGTTCATAATAGAAAGTAACACATCTCCTTGTGTCTAAAAATAGGAATAAATCCTAATATGAACCAAAAAATATATTAGGTACAGTTTTCTGAGTTGATATTGAAATGATGAAAAAGAAAGAGATCTGGGACTGGGGGTTCTTAACACACTGGGTTTAGGGACCTCAAGAATATTGTTTAAGAATGACGAGAGATTTGCAATTTCCAAGGAGTCATAAGCAGTTTCAAAAAGTTGAATGTTTTTGAGGAACTTAAAATTCTGTTGTTTTCAAAATACTATAGAAAAGTAATATTACAAAATTGTCTTGACATAAGTAATTTGGGTATGCTGTATAAAGGCTTCTAAGAATTAAGAAACATGGCCCGGGTTGCAAATTTTAATGCATGACTACCTTTTTTTCTATAGAATATAGCTTTTGTCAGATTCTCAGCAGTGGCTCTGATCCAGAAAACATTAAGAACCACTGGTCATGAGTGGTGATTTTCAGCTTTTTTGGTCTTAACCCACTTAGGTGGGACAGAAGCTCCTTATCTCACCTATACCATCCAGCATCAAGATAAGCACACGTTAATATGAACCATATACATATTTTGTTTTATAAAAGTATCCCATAAGCTTTAAAAATGTAATTTTGTCATACTTACCTTGGTATAGTAGATTGTAAGTTATTTAGAGACTATAAAGTCACAGATGAATGTTTACAAGTACTCTTTTTGGAGTTGGGCTTATTCTATCTATGTCTTCTTTAGCAGTGGGGATTTGGATTATTCTTAACCATAACACATACAAGTCTCATTATTGGAAAATTACAGGACAGAAACAAATGCTGTAAATATGCACCACTGCGCATCATGAGATTAAACAGACAATTTTCAAAAAGTCAAATTTCTAATGATAAAATTAAAGTAAGTAATTTATATTTAAAAAGCAGGAATAGCAGCAATGCAAACTGTGATTGACTTAAGACCACAGTGAGGTTACAGTGATAATAAATCATTCTTCTGGAGAATTGTGAGAATTTTCTAACTGTTGGTGTGTGTAAGTGCAAGGTAGGCACTTTGCATAATTGTATAGTAGCTGACATTCTTGATATGCCAGTTTCAAGTCCTTTATATACTTTGCTAACTTGCTGATATTAATTTATTAATACAGGTTTTTAGGACTCCCCTCTCTTATCTAAGGTAACTAGCTTATTAAAGCTCATATTAAAGAAAACAAGTATCTGTGGAAATGTTCTTGTGGGTACCAGTGATTCTAGAGCCTTACGTTAAGAAACACTAGTCTAATGGATCAATGTATAGGTAAATGATATTAGACATTTTGAGTAGGATTAAGATCCAGGAGACTATCTGAATAATGACCTTTCTCTCTCTTTCTTTTTAAAATATGGTCATCCTAACGCGTATGATAACCCAGATACTCTTTCTTTTTAAATACCCTTTTATTTACCAACCCTCTTAAACCTGGCCCTGAAGTTAAGATCAACAGCTATGTGTGAATAATTTTTTTCCTTCTCCTTTGCTTTGCTTTTCCTATCAAATTGAAATACCCTGCCACTTTCTTCCCTCTCTGAAAACACAAAAGAGGATTAAGCCATATAATGGACTATTTATGTGTCAAATTAAACGTTTTACTCTGAGGCTGTTTCTGAGTTATGCGAGCAGTAAAAATATGTATTAAGCTGCCAAGCCTTTTAAAAAATGCATGTTATTTAGCTGATAGCCTGTAACAGTCTGATGGACCCATAATGGTGTTTTGAGTAAATACGCATTTGAACAATTTATGAAACTTATGTTTACATGTGTATTAAACAGCCTGGGTAGGGAGTGACCAAAAGTTATTACCAGTTGACAGCTGTTGTCTGGTGACCAATTTGAAATGAATTGGTGGATTCCCTTCAGTGCGGAGTAAACAGGTTTCCCAGTCAGGGGAGCATGCTGAATAATTATCAGTGTGTGGGGCCTCAGCCCTGGAGGCCTGTGTGTTGGTTGAATGAGGTGCTGGAATAAAATGTCTCAACTCTACAGTGAAGTTGCACCTTAGATTCACATTTATGATCTAGTTTATTTTGTACTTGGAAATTTATAATTATGTTCACAGAGTACAGGCTGTGCATAACAATATATTCTGCCCTTGGGAAGAGGGTTCATGTTTGTTTATTTCCTTTTTTTCTTTTTTAACTGACATATAATCGTACATATTTATGGGGTACATAGTGATGTTCAATACATACAATGTATAGTGATCAGATCAGGGTAATTAGCATTCCATCATCTCAAACATTTATCATTTCTTTTTGTTGGGTGCATTTAGTATTTTCCTTCTAGCTATTTGACAATACGTAATATATTATTGTTAACTATAGTCATCTTCCAGTGCTATAGAACACTATAATAGAACTTACTCCTATTTAGCTGTAGTTTTGTATCCTTTAACAGAGCTCTCCCTATCTTCCCCACACCCCCTTGTTTATTTCTTTGACATTATCCATCTAGGGAAATGATCTTGAAATTTTTATGATGTGTCCATATCAACAATACATATTTTATATTTGTTCACTTCAAAATTATATGCATATTTACATGTGTAAATTTTATTCCAAAATTAGGAGTTTAAAGGATTGAGATAAAAATTAATTACATATAGATAATTTGATTTTCTTTTTGTACCTGAATGAATCCTCTTTGGCACTGTCTGGGATGTGCAGATTTTGCCTTGGAGATTAAGGCGAGTGTCTTGAAACCTTTGTGTAATGAAAAGGGCATTGTGGATTATAGTCATTCATAAACCTGGGCAAATCATTCAGCTACCTTGAGGTCTAGTTTCCTCATTTGTAGAATATGGATCCCTGCCTGGGGGGTTTCATAAAGACTACTGATAGTAAATGTCAGGTGTCTACCTTGACCACAAAATCACTTCCTCAGAGAGGCTTTCCCTGACCTCTTTTCTCCATGATAGCTCCTCTTTTCTTCCTGATCACTCTCTAACTCCTTACCTTTTAATTAATTAATTAATTAATTTTTTTTTTTTTTTTTTTTTTTTTGAGACGGAGTCTCTCTCTGTCGCCTAGGCTGGAGTGCAGTGGCGCGATCTTGGCTTAATGCAACTTCCACCTCCTGGGTTCAAGCGATTCTTCTGCCTCAGCTTTCCGAGTAGCTGGGACTACAGGTGCGTGCCACCATGCCCAGCTAATTTTTGTAGAGACAGGGTTTCACCGTATTGGCCAGGCTGGTCTTGAACTCCTGACCTCGTGATCTGCCTGCCTTGGCCTCCTGAAGTGCTGGGATTACAGGCGTGAGCCACCGCACCCGGCCTTTTATTTATTTATTTATTTATTTATTTATTTATTTATTTATTTATTTATTTATTTGAGACAGAGTCTCTCTCTGTCGGCCAGGCTGGAGTGTAGTGGCATGATCTTGACTCACTGCAACCTCTATCTCCCAGGCTCAAGTAATTCTCCTGCCTCAGCCTCCCGAGTAGCTAGGATTACAGGCATGTGCCACCATGCCCGGCTTAATTTTGTATTTTTTTTTTTTTTTCAGTAGAGATGGGGTTTCACCATGTCGGTCGGCCAGGCTGGTCTTGAACTCCTGACCTCAGGTAATCTGCCTGCCTTGGCCTCCCAAAGTGCTGGGATTATAGGCGTGAGCCACTGCGCCCGGCCAACTCCTTACTTCTATTTAAAACAACTTTTTACCATCTGAATGAATATTATTTAAGTTTCTACTGGATTGTAAGCTTTGTAAGGGGAGATATTTTTAAAATTTTACTTTTTTGGTCTGTTACTGCTGTATCCATAACTCCTAGAATAGCATGTGCATGGCACATAGTAGGTACTCAGTAAATATTAGTCATGATTTGAATATTTCATAACTTAGTAGTTGACTAATAAATAGAGGCTGTTACTGTTTTCATGGAGTATCCTACATATAATATAGTTGGTGTTCTAGGATAGAAGACATAATTCTCTATGTATGAATTGCTCTCACTGTCACAGGATCCTTAGGGTGTCACTTTTCCAGCTGGAAACCTCTGTGGCCTATGGTGCCTTTGCCCAAGTTTTGCTCCGGCCTGCTGGGCTTGTTCCACCCACTCAGCTGGGCAGGCTGTGCTCAGGTTTTGCTGCCGGCCTGAATCCCATGCCTGCCAAGTGTGAGCAGGCGCAGAGCGGCAAGGGGTGTGTGAGCAAGTGCAGGGTCCGGCCACTGGCACAGCCAGGCATGCTGGCTGTGGGGTGGGCAGCTCCATATGAGGCTGTGGCTGGACCAGGTGTACTGCAAGCAGCTTCCACTGTGGGCACTGGGGAATGCGGTGGCACCTGGAAGCTTGGAGACTCCAGGAACCACAGAACCCCAAACAGGGTGTCACAGTCCTGGCTTGTAGAGCCACTAGGTTTGGGCTTCCTGAAGGGCTGCAACTCTTCTCTCTTTCTCGTCACCTGCAATGTGGCTATTGGGGGTTGTGTTACACCCCTTTCAGTCCCGCAATTCAGCGGGTGCTGAGTTTTGTCCTGCATCCAGGAAGAATGAGATACGTGGACAACCAGAGGGTGAGCAAGGCGGAGAGGGGCTTCATTTAAGTGACAGAAGAGCTCTTAGGAGATCAGAAGTGGGTAGCTCCCTTCCACAGCAGGTCATCCTGACGAGTTTCCAGCTGTCAGCAGAGAGGAGACCCATAGTGGGTAAGTGCTTTCCATAGTCAGGTTGTCCTGACAAGTTGAGGAGACCCAAAGTGGGTATCTCCTTCCTGCAGCTGGTAGTCCTGACATCTGCCTGAGTCTACCTGAGTCCGAGGGTTTTTATGGGCTCGGAAGGGAGGAAGTATGTGCTGATTGGTCCATGGGTGGCCATGAGTGGGCCTGGAGAAAGCACCGTAAGTTCTTATTCCAAGCCACGGACTCCAGCTGGAACTGGCAGCCTGGCCCCTAGGCTTCAGGCCATCCCTGGCTTGAAGTTGGGGTTTCACAGGGGACCTACCCCTTTCCGCCCAGGAACCTGTCTGCCTCCCACCGTCAACAAGCTGTCCATTGTGTCTAGGCTGTTTGTGCAGAGAGGGGTGTCTGCAGACCCATGCCAAGCTACCCTCAGCACCCACCCCCATCCTCCACTTCCCTCCTGCACCTGTTTGCAGCCAAAGTCCAGAGGGGGCCGAGGTGGCAGAGGGCTGGTGTGTCAACATCACCTGAGCTACTGTACACCTGACTGGGTCGCGGCAGTGCCCAGTCTCAGCCACAACTTTGCTCTGCACCAGAGCAGGTGCCGGGAGTGGGGAGAGGCCAGGGAGTGGGAGCATGTACTTCCAAGCCTATGGGAGTTGGGCCCCCGAGAACACAGGGATGCCTGGGTCCAGAGCCACAGCTGGGCAGCTGCAGCTGTGCCCAGGAGTGCAGGGCTCCCACCCTGCTAACTCGGTATGGGGTGGGGCTCCTGTCTTTTCCTGGCTGTGCCTCCCCTGCTGCAGCATGGGCCGCTGCTGCCATCATCAGTGGGACCCAAGGCAGGAAGTGTTTTTTCCTGTAGGGAGGATAGATTTTTTTTTGTCTCTTACAGGTAGCATCTGGCAGGCATGTAGAAGTTAGACATGAAGCCTCCACCCATGGATCTGAGCCAAGTAGACTGACCTGTGTAAGCTTCAGATGCCTCAGTCTTGGTCTCCTTAGCTCCCTGTTTTTGTCAACTGTGCCATCCAGCTGAGCACCTTAGAGCTTGAAGCTGAGAGCTTCAGCGGGGCCAGTGCCTACAAGGGCTGTGTGTATATGCTTTAGAGGTGGGAGAATTGTGCTGCCAGTGGGCGTTTGGCCCACTAAGGAGAACACCTGTGACCTCTGCAATCTTCCCTACCCCTGGCATTCCAAGTGCCATTCCAAGTCTGTAGAGATAATAGAACAAACGTAATTTTTTGTGTGGTTGGCAACGAAGACTGGAGGAGAATAACCACACCTTTGGAAGACTTCGGTGGTCCTTTGAAATGAGGAGTTTTTATAGAAACACTTATCATTTTAAAGACCTACCATTTTTAAGGTCACTCTTCTGCTAGGGCTGTGAAATACAGACATATGAAATGTTTTCCAGTGTTGCTCTGGTACTTACGTGTGTGATGATTTTATTGGAGAAATGGATGAATATGAGGTTGGAGAGTCTTTACATGTATGAACTATCAAATATACAGTTCAGTAGCCTGAAAACATTAACAAATAGCTTTTATTTATTGTATCCTTATGTCTTTCAATTTGGTTCTTATCTGTTGTCTCTTCAGTTGATGCAAATTTGTGCTCAACTTTTCCTGAGGGGAAATGGAGAGATACTTTCTTGGATTAGCTTATGATCTTGAACTTGACTATTTTAAAGAGTCATGGTATATACCAATCTGGATTGTGTTTAGGATGGGGCTTGGGGGATGGTTTCTTTGTTCTCTTTTGGCCCACGTCTTCTAACAACCCATTTGTTTAGGGGGTTTTATGCTGCTTAGAGTGAGCTGAGAATGTGCTCAAGCACATAATTTTAGCCTGTTTTTCAGGTTTACATGAAAAATGTAACAGGCTTCTGAAACCCCTCTAGGTTCCAGCTTTCAAGAGGCTGGTCAGGAATGCACTGACCGAGAGACTTCCCTCAAAATTAATTTATAAACACGCTAGAACTTTCCTCACCTTAATTTTGAGAAAAAGATCTCTCTCATGGCATTTTCAAGTGTTATGGTAGATGGAAATAATGAGGAAACTGTGGCACCTTGAACAGAGTGAGAGGTTTAGAGTTGTATAGACCTTAGTACAAATTTTGACTCTGTCATTAATTACCTGTTCTGTCATGAGTGAGTTACTTAACATTCCCTGAGCCTCAGTTTCAGCATCTGTACAGTGAGGATTCTATTTATTTCATACTGTTGTGGAGACTTGAGCAACAGAGTGTGAAAACATCTGTCAGCGCCTGGTGTATTTTGGACATTCTGTAAATCTTAGCAGCCCATTTCCCCATTCTGGGGGTAAAGCCACAGGACTTTTTTGGCAAATAGTTGAGATACTTGGTGCCAAAAGGAAATTTAACTCATGCCATGACAAGTTTTTTTGTATAAGGATGGGATTCTGGAAACATGATAATTTTTTCTCTTGGCCATATGGATTAGCAAAGGCTTTAGAAAACTACAAAAAAGACTAATTTGTTGCCTCTGGATGTGTGTGTTATTTTGGGCTGTTAATATACTTGACTGCTTGTTTCAAGGACTGGAACCTTTTCTTTTACCTTTAAGATTCCTGCATTTTCATGTGCTCATTCAGCTGGGATTTGTGTTTCATAGAACTGGTAGTATTGGAGGTAGAGGAGATACTGTGATATCATATCTCTCTCTCTGTCTGTCTCTCTCTCTCTCTCCCACTGAAGAAGAGAAGACAAAATTTAGAGAATTTGAGACTTGCTCAAAGTTGTGTAGCTAGTTAGCGATAAAGCTGGAATTGCACCAGATTTGATTTCCATGACATTGCTTTAGCCTGGTGGTTCTCAAAGCATGGTTATTGGACCAGCAGCATCCCTTGGGAATTTGTTAGATATGCAAATTCATGAGATCCCCATTCCCTTATCAGAAATTTTAATACGCTGTGTAGGGTGATTCTAATGCCTGCTAAAACTTGGGAACCACTACTGTGGTCTTTACACTATTGGGCAGGGAGATGGGAGACTACAGGTAGATTTGCTGAATTTCATGGGCAACACTAGGTTTTCATTTTACCTTATTGTTCTGCCATTTAGATGTCTCCTCTTAAAACATTTTTACTTGCAGTGATGGCTTCCTTAGACTCGTGTGTGATTGTTGCTGGGGCAGTTAGGTGGAACTAATAGGTGTTGCTTGTTGATTCCCTGCTACCAAGTACTAGTTTTGAAATTTGAGTATTCATTAAAAACAAATAGGGATTTCTGTGTCTCACTCCTGGAAATTCTGACTCAGTGGGGGTAAGGATTAGGAATGTTTAATTTTTGAAAGCCCTGCAGGTAATTTTTTTTCTACTTTTTAAAAATTATAATTTTTATTTTCTTTACTGTTCTTTTAAGACATCCTGTTATAGCATCTGCAGGTGATTTTGATGCCCAGCCATGTTTGGGGAAAAAAGTTTGGGTTCTGAGTGAAAATAGAAAACGTAATGACATGGAAAGGAAGTCAGGGGATAAGAAAAGCTCTATGGCCAGCCATGGTGGCTCACACCTGTAATCCCAGCACTTTGGGAGGCTGAGATGGGCAGATGGCTTGGGCTCACGAGTTTGAGACCAGCCTAGGCAACATGGCAAAACCATGTTCCTATTCAGGAACAAAGAATAGATCACAAATTAAACTCTGTGGGTTTTCATAAGTGGAAAGTTGGCTTTCGTTGTTCTGTATTTGGGTGCTTAGTGGACAGGAGTTATCTAAAAGAAGTAATTATAGTTGTAATGCGGACCCTCAAAGTTGAAAGTAGATTGAAATCCATTATTTTACAAGGTGGCCTTACTATTTATAGTTTGACTGTAGGTATGGCAGTGAGAGATAAAATTACTTTTTCTAGCTTTGCAAAACGCCAAACGTCTTTGAAATTAAGAGTAAAAGGGGTTTAAAATATGTACTGCTTTATAAAGCAGGAAAACCCCACTGGAACATTTTGGGTGTTTACAGAAATGGGTATTCCATGGGAGAGAACGTGGTAACCTATGTTTTGTCATCATTTGTTTAATCACTGAAAATATATTAACAGGCCAGGCATGGTAGCTCATGCCTGTAATCCCAGCGCTTTGGCAGGCTGAGGTGGGAGGATTGCTTGAGCCCAGGAGTTTGAGATCAGCTTGGGAAACACAGTGAGACTCCATTTCTACAAAAAAAGAAAAAAGAAAAAAAAGTCACATGTGGTGGCACACCCCTGTGGTCCCAGCTACTTTGGAGGCTAAGGTGGGAGGATAGCTCGAGCCCCAGAGATCAAGGCCGCCGTGAACTGTGATCGCACCACTGCACTCCAGGCTGAGCAACAGATCAAGACTCTTGTATAAAAAAGAAAAAAAATTTTTTTAAAAATATAAATATAGATTAACAAAGTAACAGGGAATATAATATTTTCAGGTTGGTCATATAGAGGAAATACTATATTGTGTTATTCAGCTTAATAAAATATAAAACAAAAAAATTATTAACTGTTTGAAAAATTGTAGTCAGATATTTGATTAGGGGTAGGTCCTGATTTGGATGAATTTGAATCACATTCGACTAAATATTGTGCTTTTTAATACTCACTTTAAAAACAAAATTAATTGGGCAAATGTTCATATCCATTTTAAAAAACTATCCTCTTAAAACTAGATTGATAGTAGACATTAATAGGCTTGATGTTGTTTATAATATTTTGCTATATTTTAAGAGCATGCTTTTGTATATTTTCTGTTTTAGTGAAGCATTTTAAAAATGCCCCCCTCCCACAACTGCAGGAATAAATCTAACAGATTTTGACCAAAATTACTCTAATTTTGAATTTCTTGAAACTGGGTATGGAAACTAGACATTAAAAAAAATCTTTATTTTTAAGCACGGTTTCTTGGTCAGTAGCTTCTGTATTACGGGAGAACACAAGAAGGGGCCTTCTTGACACTCAAGAAATGCTCTTTTTCCATCTACAAATAGGAAGACACCCTTTGTGGTATTTTTGTTTTGTGGGCCCTGAATGAAAACGTATTATGATCAGTTTTAAAAATTGCTGCCCCTTTAATATCTGAATATATTCGTGGCTAGTGAAGCACATGCATCTGTCAGATCATGGGTGAGAATTCACTTTTCTTTTTGCGATTTCTCCAGCCACAAGGACAAATTTAGTTTTGCAGAGCAGTTTGACACCTCTAGAAGCCTGCGGTTAGCCTCGGTGCACCTCTAGCAGCTGCATAGGCTCAAGAGGACCTCTGTTCTTCCCTTTTTGGTTTGGTTACCTTACCCCTCCTCAGGGAAAGGCCAAGAGACTCAGCACTTCCTCCCCAAGTGAGTTTCCTTAGTAACGTCAGCCTTCTCTAATGCTGGCCAAGGGTGTCTTTGCTGGGCTGTTTTCCCTCCAAAATAGACTCACTGGGGTATAGAATTTTTTTTTTACGTGAAGGGTATAGAATTATTTTCAGAATAGCAGCAGGGTAATTAGGCTCATTGTTGACATGTCATTGAAGTCTCCATGTGACAAAATTGCTCCTCCCTCTTTGAGCACTCTGAATACTCTTACCCTCTTATCTCGATCTGCTCTTTAGAAATACCAGCAGATAATCTGGGAGAAGGCCACCATAGCCATGCACAGAGTGGGGAGAATGAGGAGATCTTTGCTGAATGTCTTTTAGTTGTTTGAGTTGGAGATAAATGCAGAATGACCTCCATTTTGCCCTAAGAACCTGACCTTCTTGTCACTTTGTGTAACATTAATTTTCTAATGTGTTCTGGTCAATTTGTAAAAAGATTTTTTTTCTAGTGTCTCAGCTGTTGGTTTGACTTTTGTATTTTCATTGGTAAAATATGTATGTCTTTGCTGTGAGCAGAGAGAAACAGATTAATAAAAACCACTGAACCAGCATTGCATATGTAATTAATTAACACCACCAGGAAAGCTGGTTCATGGTTGTGTGTAAACTTATTTCCAAACATCTAAAAAACGTTTAGAGTTATCTTATTCAGTTGTCTCACTTCTAAGGGATAGGTTAGGAAGCTGTAACGTATGTGTATGCACAGAAACTGTTGGACAATGATTCTCAAACTTTACTTTTCATTAAAATCGTCTGGAGGGCTTATTAAAATGTAGATTGCTAGACCTCATCCATAGTTTCTGATTCAGTATGCCTGGGTGGGGCCTTAAAATTTGCATTTCTCATGTGGCCCCAGGCATTGCTGATGCTACTAGTCCAAGGACCTTACTCTGAGAATCAGTTTTAGGATGTAGATCTTATGTTCCTCTTTGCCAAGGGCAAATGAACTGAATTGTATAGGCTTCCTTTTCTTTTACAAGAAGCATTGCCTCTTCTAAGTAGACATCCACCAAATATTTATGTACTGTATCCATGGTGCCATGCACTGAGCTAGGTGCACTGGGGATAAATAAAATGATCTCTGCCTTGGGGAACTCACAGTTGAGAGAGGATTAAATTAAGAAACCCACCAATCGTGATTCAATATGAGAAGTGCTGTGGTGATGTCAGGGGTAGGCTTTCTAGATTTGCTATGAGGTGCAGTCTGAGCTTTTTCTCAGACTGTCTTAGCTTTATACCTACAGAAATAAGTGAAAGAAAATGAATCTTCTGCAGCTTAGGATTTTGTTAGTGCTCAGATCAGTTTCCTCTCGTCCTTGACTTTGGGCATCCCAAGCTCTGTATTCAGACACTCCTGAACTGGCATTGTGAGCTCTCCACCCCAGCTTTTGTGGAAGAGTCCTTCCTCCATTTTTAAATTACAATTTCAGACACTGTCCACTGTGGCAGCAGGATTTGTAACAAGACCAAGTTAAGTGATCTTGGCTGAACTGATTTATGAGACAGCTTCAAAAATTCATGAGGTACCATGGGAACTTTCTGTAGTGGATCAGCATGCCGCTTTTCCTTCACTTCTTCAAGTAGATCAGACATTTTGTGATAACACGGCAGTTTATAGTGGAGCCTTCTAGATTATGGCTCTGCTGATTAAGACACTAAGACAGACCTGAAGACAAAGAGAAGGGAGAACAGGATGTTACTTTTAGAAACTCCTGTTATCCTAAGCTTGAGCAGGGACTTTGGGTAAAATACATCTATGTATAACTCAATTTATACATAGAACTCTCTAGGGCAAGTTTTTCTCCAGTGGTGATCTGATATGGAGTGTCTTGGCCATTAATAATGGTCCCATAATTTTAAGCACAATAAAATGTTAGGTGTGTATATGCGAAAAATTGAGTGACATAGTAGTTGTCTCTCCTCTCTTTGTGAAAACCGGTAGACAGGAACGAAGGATGTGGCCAAAACCAGTGACAGGTTATGGTGCTTTCCCTATTTTATTGATTGCTCATTTCTAGTCTCTAACCTTATTTGCTACTTATTGATCTAGTAGAAAAGCAAATAATTTTCCCTAGATAGTATTTTGTTGAGCTGGGCTTTGATGACTTGTCTACCAAAGGGTTTTTAAAAAGTACTTACCTGCTGAGTGGCAGCCTGTCTACCATTTAATGTTATTATCTGTGAGCCTGGGGGTTCCTTCTTAGTAGGATCACTGATGTCATAGGCTGCCTCTTTATTCTGCCTACTTTCCTGCAAGATACCACACATGCCCGTGGTCTGCTTTAATGGCCTCACAGTGCACACAGCCTTAGACTTAACACAAGAAACATATGAGTGATCCCATTGGAGATAATGTGTTGCCGAGTCAATTTGGGTCAGCATCTGCCAACATGTCAAATTTTCACACTAGGTTGTATTTTGAGATTTTTATTCATGCTTTTGGGTTCAAATTTACTCACAAATAAGTTTTGAACTTTTAAGTGCTAAAACTGCTGAGTTCTTGACTATCTGCACTTGGGGAGGGGAAGGTTAAAGATAAGGGGTGGGTATGTATGGGAAGGAAACAGTAGCACAGATCATCTAACATAGGAGGTAAGATAGATTTCCCAATGTCATATATAACTTTGACTATATATTTTTTCCTATGTTTACATTCTCCTGTTTATGATTATACTCTTTTGGTTCATATTAAATTGGTGTTTATCTCCTAGGAATATATATGGCGAGGTGTGTCATAGGAAGCAATAGAAAAAGAATTTGGAGACTGGTCACTTATAATTCTTGAATAATATAACTATGTAGAGTTAAAAGCAAAGATTGATCCTGTCATTCATGGGATTGATGGGCATTTTTGCTGGTATCTTATTATTGTTCATTTCTGAGTAGGTAATATATTAATATGATCCCAAAAGCAAAATTGTATTAAGAAGTATATAGAGGAATGTCTCACTCTCATCCCTGGACCTATGTGCCCCATTCTTCAGGCTTTTATAACTACTTTATTAGTCTCTATTACATCTTTTGTAATTTCTTAAATAGTGTGTGTACTCTCCTATTTGTGTATGCTCTCGCTTTTTCTGCCCTTTGTTATACCATATTTAGCATACTATAAGCACTGTTCTGCATCTTGCTGTTTTGTAGTTACCAATATATCTTGGAGATCATTCCATCTCACTACAGAGAGAGCTTCCGTATTCCTTTTTATAGCTGCTTAATATTTCATTGTATAGCTGTACCATAATTTACTTAACCTGTCTGACACTTTGGTTATTTACAATCTTTTGCTCTTACAAGTGATGCTGCAGTGATAATGTTTTTTTTTTTTTTTTTTTTTTCCCGAGACAGAATCTCACTCTTGCCCAGGCTGGGGTGCAGTGGCACAATCTCGGCTCACTGCAACCTCTGCCTCTCAGGTTCAAGCAATTCTTCTGCCTCAGCCTCCTGAATAGCTGGAATTACAGGTGCCCGCCGCCACACCTGGCTAATTTTTGTATATTTAGTAAAGACGGGGTTTCGCCATGTTGTCCAGGCTTGTCTCAGACTCCTGACCTCAAGTGATCTGCCCGCCTCGGCCTCCCAAAGTGCTGGGATTACAGGCATACAGTGAATAATCTTGATCATATGGCATTTCATCCTGGGTGTGTGTTCAGTTGTAGGATAAATTCCCAGAAGTGAAATTGTTACAGTGAATGTGCATTTGTAATTTTGATAGTCACTGCTAAATCCCTCTGTAGAGGTCGTACTAATTTATATTCCCATCTGTTTAAGAGTAGAGATTTCCCCGCAGTCTTGTCAACAGGGTGGTGGTGTTAAACTTTTGAATTTTTGCCAATCTGATAGGAGAAAATTGGTATCTCAAAGTGGTTTCAATTTGCATTTCTTATTATGAGTAATGTTGAGCATTATTTACTATGTCCAAGATCTGATAGTATTTCCTTTTGTGTCATCAACAGTCTGGTTATATTTCTTTCCTGTTTTTTCTATTTGATTATTGCTATTTTTTTTTAATTTTTAAAATAAGCTATTTTGGAATACTTATAGACTTACCAAAAAGTTGCAAAGATTACGGGGATTTTTTTTTTCTTTTCTTATGCCCTCATTAGCTCGTTAATTGGGTTAGATGGTTTGAGGAAGGACAGGTCTCCTGGAATTCTGTGGCTTGTCATAGGTTTGTCAGCCCAAATAAGGATGCACATCCAATTCACGACTCCTGGCTGCCTCTGGGGATTTTCCATATGGAGTGACAGACTTGGGAAATTCTGCTGAGCTTCTGACTAGCCTCCATTATGAGGCATATAATTCAGAGCCCATCTTCCATTATTCTTCTTTTACTAGTATCAATTATTAACTAGAAAGGTTATTGAAGTGAAAACCTTGCCTCAAGTTTGTATTTCTTGAGATTTACTTCCAATAATAAATGTGGTTTTCAAGTGACTGAATCTTTCATAGACCAAGTTTCGAGCACATTAAATATTTGGTGGTTTTGCGTCCTCTCTGCCTCACATGCTAATTGAGAGGATGAGTAGCTATAATTTTTCTGGAGCTTCAGGCTGTCATTCTGTCCTGTTAATTGGTTCTTGGAGTAAGGAGCTAAAATGTGGAGGCAGAAATGCTTTCCCAGATAGAAACATGCCTTGAAGCTTTGTGTCCTGTAAGGGTCCACATAGCCTGGAAGTTAAGAATACTGGCTCTGGAATAAAACCTTGTGGATTCAGATTCCTGCTTTGCCACTGCTAGATGTATCACCTCGGACAAGTTACCTAACCTCTTTGTACCTCACTCTCTCCCTGTTTATAAAATAGGGATTAGAACAGTACCTGCCTCATCTAGTAGTTGTGAAGATTAAATGTGATGAGACATGTAAAGTGCTTGGTACAGGCCTAGAACATTGTAAGTGCTCAATAAATACTGGCCGAAAAGTCGTACAGGGCAGTGGTTTCAGAGGCCATGCAATAAAATAGTGGGTTATGTTGCATTTGACTTTTGTTGATTAACCTTTCTTCTTCCTCTATTCTTTACCTTGTGAGGCACTTAACCTACTAACTGAAATGCCATTCATTCAGCCAGTATTTGAGTGCTCAGCAAGTGCCAGACTCTAAACAAGATGATGTGTAAGATGCTGCAAGGAGCCCTCGTGCCTTGCAGCCTGAGCACAAGTGCCTATAAACGCAAGGCTGGTTGTCGTCATTGCCATCCCCAGTATACTTTGAGAATACAAAAGAATGTGAGGTCACTCTCCTTTGACTGGGGTGACGAGGACATGCATTGTGAAAGGGGGAACTGTTAGAACTGGGAGCCATTCGTAAGTGAAATAAGGATAAGAGGGATATTATCAGCATTGATGCTAATTAGCATTTCTGTAGCATTTTGCAGTTTGGGAAACATTTTATGTATTTTATTTTATCTCAGTCTCATAAAAGAGCTTGAGGTATTATTATCTCCAGTTTACGACTGAAGAGATGGGGAGTCAAATAGGTTATCTGATTCTCCCAATGCCATACAGCTCCTTGGTGGTGGAGTTGGGGTTTGAGTCCAGGTCTCCTGACTCTGAATCTCCACGTGCTTCCCTCTGGTCTCTTGAGTGAAATAACCCGTACTAGCAAGAAAGAGAAGAGTATGTCGGCAAAAGAGAAACCTGGAATAGTTGCCAATTGTCCCTAGGTTCAGATCACATACTTCTAGGGCATCAGAGCTAGAAGGAACATGAGATCAGTGCATCCTCTTTATTTGACTAATGAAAACATTGATGTGCTTGTGAGGGACTTCGAGAGGTCAATGTGGTGCTGGAAGCAGCTCAATGGAGAGGGTAGACAGTTCCCCTTGGATGCTCATGTGTGGTCTTCTGGGGATTGATTAGTTGCTGGTAAGGAAGGAGCTCATTTTGGGGAAAGTAGGTACATAGATTCATAGAGGGAAAACCTTTATTCAGAAGCAGGCAGTTTTTCTGCAATATCTTCCTGGGAAACACAAATAAAAGGGCTGTAGTTTAGTATTCAGATGTGGTTCTGGTTGTGCAAGGATAAGGAGAAAAGGCAGAGGCAGGGTGAGAAGGAAGGAAAATGAATGACTGATTTGAAAGGTCAGTGAGAAGTCTGTGAAAGGTACATACTTAGGGTCTGTAGGGCAGTCATTTGAAATCCAGGATACTTAGTATATATATAGGAGGACTTCGTAGTAGTTCTCTGACTGGAAGAGGACTGGGCTGCCTTGTGTGTGTGAGCTTTCATCATGGGGGCAGTGGTTACTACATGCTATTTCTAAGAATTGCACTTGTGGGGTGATTTCTACTTTGGGTAGGAGGTTATTCTAGGTAGAGCTAGTGTGGATCAGCAACATCAGCACCACCTGGGATCTTGTTAGAAATGCAGATTTGGGGACTCCTACCCTAGACTTACTGAATCAGAATCTCCAGTGGGTGCAGTTCAAGAATGTGTATTTTAACAAGATCTCCAAGTCATTGGTCTGCATGTTCAATGTTTGGAAGCATTGCTCTAGTGCAGAGGCTCTCCAAGATCCTCCTTTGGGTTCTCGGCTTATGTGATTAATGTGCCATTCACCAAACATTTATTGAATTTCACTTATGTAGGCACAGCACAAAGCCAACTCTCACATGGATCCTGCTTGCATTCTAGTTGAGGAGACAGGATTGTTTACAAGTAACTATTAGGTTGGTGCAAAATAATTGAAGTTTTTGCCATTACTTTCAATGGCAATTTCAGTGGCAAAAACCATGGTTACTTTTGTACCAACAGTATAAAAACAGTGTTAAAGGCTAGTACAGGAGGCACAGAGAATGCCTGTGAAAGTGGAGGGTGGACGTTTTCATAGGTGTGTGCGGGAGCAGGTGGCATGCATGGTAGGGGGAATCATTACTTCTGTGCAGGACTCCTGAGTAATTTTAATCTGTGGTTTGCTGCTGTGCAAACCCAGAGGCCTGTCTACAACTTGTTTAACCTCCCCCAGCCCTTGACTGGGTTTACTTTATTGGCCTGATAAGTAGTATAAAAATTGGCAGAGCTATTAAGATGACTCATGGAAGGATATCCTCAGCATCTCCTTTTGGATCTCCTCACACCTGCACTGCTTCTTCTTAAATGCCTGAATATCCACCACTTTGTAAAAGAAAAAAATTGATTTGTCACTGAATTTCCATGCCTCAGCCTGAGAGAAATGTAAATGTTGTACTGGCCTTTAGTACTCTGCCTTCAAGCCTAGATTTAGAGCTGATCATTATACTTTTAGAGTAGGCTAGGTATGAAAATAGCAGCAGGTTGAAGAGTCAGAGGAAGCTGTTTGCTCTCATCTGCTGGTTTGGTCAGGGTGGAAGTACGAATATTAATACAGTCCACTTAAACAATAAAATAGCTCCCAGGGAAGAGGAACTATAAACTTCAGTAAATATCAGAGATGTTAAATGCTAAAAATAAAAGCTCTCTGCAGTTGTTTGGCTCTTTAAAGAGATTGTTTATTGGTCAAGAGTGCTAGTCTGTTTGGTCATGTTTTGCTAGCTTTTTAAAATGCATGTATGTAAATGAATTAGAATATAAGTTAATTAAGCAGGGCAGTGTTTCTAGAATGTGAAAATAGTAACCTGGCTAGTTAATTTAATTAAGTCCTTGGTAATTTTCTTTTAGAAACAAGTTTCATCTTGGGAGGTCACAACGTCCTGGCTGCTGTGCTTCTGAGCTTTACCTTGACTCCATCCTCTCCTCTCTGTCATCCTTTTCTCTGGCTCTGTCACTTGCATTTGCCCCCTGACTTGTCACCCTGACTTCATTTCCTCTCTCCCAGCTGTTTACAGTGCTATCACAGTGGTCTTTCAGAAATCCCAAACTCTGCTGTTGAACTGGGTTCTAAAAACCTTCAGAGACTTCATGTTGTCCATAGGATACACTGTTTTCTGAACTCCTTAGTGTGCCATATTAGGCTCTCTACAGTCTGGCTCTAAAATACAATTTTTTTTTTTTTTGAGACGGAGTCTCACTCTGTCGCCCAGGCTGGAGTGCGGTGGTGCGATCTCTGCTCACTGCAAGCTCCGCCTCCCAAGTTCACACCATTCTCCTGCCTCAGCCTCCCGAGTAGCTGGGATTACAGGCGCCTGCCACCACGCCCGGCTAATTTTTTTGTATTTTTAGTAGAGACGGGATTTCATCGTGCTAACCAGGATGGTCTTGATCTTCTGACCTCGTGATCTGCCCATCTCGGCCTCCCAAAGTACAGGCATGAGCCACGGCACCCGGCCTCTAAAATACCATTATAGCCTAATTTTCAGGCTTACTTTTTCTTGTGGTCCAGGCCACAGGACTATCTGCTATTCTCAATACAAATAAAATATAACCAGTAGCCACCCTGCAGTAGTAGGGACAATTCAGGTGCCTCGACAAGCATTGTCTGATTACACTATTCAATACAGGATCAAAGAGTTTTGTCATTTGCCCAAGGTCATGTACCTTGTGTTAGAGCTGAGATTCATATTCAGTATTTTGATATTCTGACTCAGTTTCCTGCTTTCATGTCTCTGTGCTTTCCTTGTATGTTTTCTTTCTTTTTTTCTTTTTGAGGCAGGGTCTTGTTCTGTCACCCAGGCTAGAGTGCAGTGGCACAATCACAACTCACTGCAGCCTCAACCTCCCAGGCTCAAGTGATCCTCTCACCTCAGCCTCCCCAGTAGCTGGGACTACAGGTGCACACCACCATGCCCGGCTAATTTTTGTACTTTTTGTAGAGACGGGGTTTCACCGTGTTGCCCATGCTAGTCTCAAACTCGTCAGCTCAAGCTCTCTGCCTGCCTCGGCCTCCCACAGTGTTGGGATTACAGGCGTGAGCCATTGTGCCTGGCCTCCTTATGTCTTCTATGCCTAGACTGTCTCCTACCCTTTTTCTTTGCAGACTTGGAAATGTATAGGTGTTAGGTATTCCTAACAATGTGCGTGCATAGGTCATCGGGCCTATCTCAATTTAGCCTGATAGTGTAAATACTAGTACTACTACTACCTAGTGCTAGTACTAAGAGCTGATCCCAGATCTTAATTTTTCTTCATTTCTCCTCCAAATAATAGGCGGTTTATAAGTATTATGGAATGAATGCATGGATGGATGAAAGGATGACTGGATAGATGGATGGTCAGTCCCAGTGGTTGGGTCCGTTTGTGATTTGACCAAGTTCAAGGCTGTAGAATTGCTATGTGGAAAGAATGCATATTATTTCAGCTATATCAAATAGCACCTAGGGACGGCCTGACTGACAGGGAACAAATTGTCAGCCCTCATTTGGATCCAAGTGGAAATTAATCTGAAGAATTTGGAATGGGCCTATTCGTGGGAAATTGCTTATTTTTATAAGAGTTTATTTTCTGATTTGTGGCTATATTCGTTGGCTAGGGCCACTGTAACAAAGACCAGGTGACTTAAACAATAGAAATGTATTTTCTCTCAGCTCTGGAGGCTAGAAGGCTGAGATCAAGGTGTTGAGAGGTTTGGTTTCTTCTGAGGCCAATCTCTTTGTCTTGCAGATGGCTACCTTGCTGTGTCCTTACATGGTCTTCCCTCTAGGTGCACATATCCGTGTTCAGATTTCCTCTTCCTTTAAAGACAGCCGCCATACTGGATTAGAGCCCACCATAAAGACCTCATTTTAATTAATTACCTCTTTAAAGACCTTCTCTCCAAATACGGTTTCATTCTGAGGTACTGGGGGTTAGGACTTCAACCTACAAATTTTGAGGATACCTCATTCACCTCTACCCAACCCATCCCCTCTGCCTTTTCCTCTTGTTGTCTTTCTTCTGGCAGTTTTGTTTCACTCAAGGGCAGTCAGGAAGAGAAGTAAAGATAGAGGAAAAGGAAATTTATTTTGGGTGCAGTTCAGGAGGTGTAGCTGGGGTTGGGGATGGGCAGTGGCTGAAGCTATTGGTGGAAATGAGATTTTGATATTGCCTATAGATTAGTATTGTCCTGGAACATTCTGTGCTGGTTTCCTGGACAGCCGATAGCTGGCTGTGTGTGTTGGAGGGCCCAGGGAATATCTGTTCTGTTAGTAAGTGAGGGGGAAATTGATAATCCTGCAGCCGGCCTGGAGAAGTAAGGACTCTATCTTTGTCTGTCAGCTCTTCCTCCCAGAAGTAGCTCAGAGACTTGCTGAGCACACCTAGGGTAGAGGCCAGGATAGTTGAGTTTTGGACGCTCTGCCTTGGCTAACACCTTGCCTGGCATCTAGCAGATGCTTATGAAATGTTTGTCAAATTGAATTACTTAATTTACTTGACTCAAATATTTTGTTCTTCTCCAAACCTTTTATGAGGAGTTTTTTCTCCACCTTTGTTTGTTAATTCCCAAACTTCTCTCCAGTTCTCAGTTGTGGCTTATGTCTTTTCTTTCCTTTCTCTTTGTAATTATCAGGTAATTTATTAAATGGAGACAAGCTTAACTAGACATTAAATAATTGCAGGTGTGCAGCTGAACTGAGCCGCTGTCCTTTAACTAGGAAATCACAGCTGCTTGTGTTGTATTGTGTGATGAGATTACACTTCACCTCATTTGGTTACACGATATCTTGCTTATTGTAAGGTAAAAGAATGTTGAAGCTTCTGCTCTAAGCAGTACACAAAGGCTGGTATGTTCCCAGGAAACCAACGTAAAAAGTACTTGGAGGTCAGGTCTGGAGCCTTTGCAACCTCTGATGCTTCTCTTTTCTTGGAATTTTTCATTTCCTTTGCCTTTTTCTGTATAGAGAACACCTGAATTACTCCTTAACTTGAGACCTGTTTCACATTTTAAAATTTTCTTTTGGTCACCTTAACTGTAAAAGCAAGATTTTTCTGTTTCCTTCTAAGAGATTAGCAGTGGGTCCATTGGTTAGCTCTTTTTTTGCTTTCATTATCAGACCTCATCTGCATACTTTTTATACAAATTTGCCCCATTGGTAAGAATTGTAGCTTTTATGAATGTTAATTTTAGTCATAGGTTAAATTGTGATGTCACCAGTCTGTTTTCTTTGGCTAGTTTCATAGTTTGTGACTATTGCTAGAGGTAGACACTAGTTATATAGCAAGTACCTAGCTTATTACAGAACTCAGAGTATGCTGCTAATAAAGGATTGCTTGATTGCTTGAAGGGTATGCAGGTGTAAGAAATATTCATCTTTCAATTGGTGTCAAAATTTTTATTTAAAAAAAAAGTCATGCTGCCACTTCCCAGCTTTGTAACTTTGGGCATGCCACTGAAATATCTTAATCATTAGATTTATCATCTAGGTAGTTGTGAGGGTTAAAGAAATTCAACAAATATTTGAATGAACTATCTTTTGTGCCTTTCTGGATGCTAGGGATATATTTGTGAACAAAGCAGAATAAATTCCTATCCTTGCGGGATTAACATATATGAATCTGGTTTTGACTGTCAACTGGATGGAGTCCAATTGGTGGGAGAACATGATACCTACCATTTATGAAAAACTCTTTAAACTGAAATATGTGCCTAATAACACTAACTTTCTTTATTAGGGACATTTTAACCCCATTTGGGCTTTGCAGAGTAGGTCTTAGAGAAAGCCCTTCTCCATACTTGTTCGTTCAGTCGTGTATCATGTACAGCCATCCATTTTATGGTTTTGGCTGTTGTAAATAAAATGGCTAGAGCCTGTGCATCTGGAGTTGTGGTGACTCTTAGTCTTGGGATGCGTGCCTCTTCCTCTCGGTCGTTGCTTTATAGGCTGTCTCTGAGGTTCCAGAAGGGGCTCAGAGAATGAGCTCCAACTGACATGTTTGAGCCTTTGAGTCTCTTCATGAAAGCTCAGTTTGTTCAAGTAAAATCTGAATGGCTCAGAGAGGACACTGTGGTGTTTAGCTTACCAAGCCCAGTGTGATATCACTGGTTTGTTAATATCTACAGAAACACACACAGGAAAAATATTCTAGAGCATCATATTGCTCACCTCCTCTAAATTCTTTTTTCATGGATGATCGAAAGAAAAACCTTTTTGAGTCTCTCTCTTCTTTTTTGTGAATGACTAATAGAAAGAAGACGACACTGGTAACTTTCAGAAGCATTGTGATAGCATTCTGATGGTGGGATTATGATGTTCAGACATGGGAGGGTATTAGCAACCAAACATCATTTCCTTTAGGGGACTGGAGGTAGTGGTCATCTGTGAGTCTAGAGCTGTCTTCGAGGGAAGTGAGCAGTGGCTCTTCCAAGGACACAGAGATGTCAGGCACCTCTCTCATGCATGCAAGTGCTACATATTATGTCCACAGTATCTGGAGTATTTAAACCAGGAATAACACGTAGTCTTTATTATTGGAAGAAATAAATTAGGTCAGAGTTAGTATGCCATCGTGTGATGCCAGTTTGTATTCTTTATTTTCTGTACTTGCTTCTAGAGAGGGAGTAAATACTATGAGATAATGAAGAAAGACATGTTTTTGTGACTTTTCTGATTTAGGACACTTTATGTTGTGGAGGTTTTTTGAAGGATTTGGAATTTGGTTGCTTATTGAGAACCTCTTGAGAAAATCAGATTATCTCTGATACACAACCAGTCCTACATTGAGTTTTTTCCATTTATTGCTGTAGAGACATGAACATTTATTTTTATTGAAGCTGAGAGAGGGGTGTTACATGGTTGTTTATCAGCTCTGCCAAAAGTAGCTCAGACATCCCTGATGACTCAGCTGATGCCCTTGCTGCCTGATTGGGTGCTTGTGTACTAAGTACTTGTTTCCTTGTTGAGGGCTAGGAATATGTCACAAAGCCCCATTGCTGTGGGGATTGTTGCAGTGAGCAGACTTAGCGGAACTGCACAAGGCTGGCTAGAGGCCAGGTTTAGACTACCTTGGAAGAATTGGCTTAAGGGCAGAGGAGAGGTTTAGAAAACTCCTTTCTTCCTCTTTGGTGGCATTAATCTTTGCGAAACCAGGCTCAGACTCCTTTTGCACCTTTCCCAGGAATGGGGTAGCATAGATCTTCTTCCTATGTGAATCACAGAAAGGGACTTTGTGTGGGTGCTGTGTGTTCATTGTAAACCACTGGTGCTGCTATCTAGGTGGAGTTAAAGTTGATACCAGCAGAGTAAGTTAGCCTGAGCAGGAGGATGGAGTTCTGCAGTACAGCCGGAAATTTTCACTTCATAGTGTTTCTACTGTAACTTCTCACCCTGTGTTGAAAAAGGCACACCTGGCCATTCGCATAGTTTGGATACGTTTTAACCCATAAGAGTGCTGTCCTTAAAGATGATGAAAAGAGACATTTTAGCTCCTTGGAAATAAGCACATTTCTGAAACCACCCGTCTGAGTGCACACTTGTGCAGATAAACAGGTACTTTTGTTTATGCTCTGACTCAAGTGGAAAGGGCAAAATAAGAGATTTTCCTTCTCCTGAGTCTTTTCACTGTGAGGATTTTGTCCTTTAAATAAAATAAACCGGAACTGTAACCTTTATTATGGGAGGAGTGTGGAGGAGTTAGGAATGAGGCAAAATGCCCTCCCTGTTTCTCAGATAACTCTTGCTACCGTCTGAGCAGTGTTTATTTAACAGATTTAATGCATTGCCTCAATAGCATCACACGAAACATGTCACCCCCCCTTTTTAGTTTCTTCCCTTCAAAAATTTTCTTAAAAATGCCAGAACCTTACCAAGTCACTTAAATAAATCAGTCCAAGTATGAAATGATCTCTGAAGTGACTTAACACAAATGATTCTGACTTTACTACTTGGGAGACTCTTTTTTGATGGCCAGCCCTCTAAATTGTAGGAAGATCATTTTCTAGCTCCCTATTGTCAAAAAACAAAGCAAAATCAAATTAAATAAGTCCCTTAATTCCCATAAGTAATTTTAAAATTATCTCTTGTATATACTTTACTTGTGTGCAGCTTGCAACTGAATATCATTGTGAGAGCTATAGTTTGTCAGGGTTTAGATCTTAATTAGCTCATGAGATTGCATCCTTTTGAAGCTGTATACCACAGGTTGTTGGCTAGTTTTCCAAAAGCAATTAAAATGCCCACTGTTATAATTAAGCCTGTTACTAGTTGTATGTTCTAGTTATAAAATATATTTGGCAATTAAGGAAACTGAGATTGAGGCTTTTGGCTTGGCTCTTTGAGATGCAGTAGACTGGCTTCCACCTTGATCTGTTAGGATGACTGGTGCGGATGCCTGGATGATGGGACATGTCTTAGTCCTTGAGTACCTATCTTTATGAGTAAGAGCAACCACAGGTTTTTACAAGAAAGCTAAAGTTAGAGAATGTGACTCGTGTCCTCACATATGCCGATTATGTCCTACTTGGTATACAGGAGTCAAAACCTAAACTTCTAAGTTGCAGTCTCTTAGCTGAGAAGTCCTTTTTAAAGAAGCATTCCCTTATCTTTAAGAAGATGGCTCGACTCTGACTGTGAACATTTAATCTGTTAAACTAACACCTCCATTGCGCTGTTTAAATTTCTGTCTGGTTGTTGAAAAGAAGGTGTGGGAGAAATGTTGCAGGTACATGTGGTTAATGTCTGTTTCTGAACTGTATTTCATTTAGGAGTTGTTAAGCTGTGTGCCCACCATCTCAGAGACAGATTTGTCTGAACTGGCCTGTGGAGGAAGATCTCATTGTCAGGGCTGGTCTCAATGGCAGATACAGTTCTCAGTGGTGTGCTTTGCGTGTCGTGTCTTTTATTCTTCCTTTCCTCCTGCTCACCCTTAGGAATGTTTCCTTTTTGTGCCTTAACACCAGAACGGTATGGTGGCTGAGACCATGGGACAAATGCGTCACTTAGTGGGCAGATAGAAATCAGTATTTAAAGTATGATTGAGGTTTTTGTGTTTATTTTGAAATTCATTTAGTACACAGGGAAGAAAACAGCACTTGGCTTATGTGGTTCTATCCCATTGCTTTGCCTGTTTGTGCCCCCGTGCAATTAACATGAAAATGATAGTTTAAGAATGAGCTCATTAACATTTAGAACTGGGTAGGAACAGGGCTTCATAGGATGTTAAAATCAGAGAAAAAGAGAAAAGAGCAGGTGCTTTGTAAATACTATGTGGTTTTGAGAAATAGTAGAAAGTTGGGTCTTATTTTAAATTTCCTTTTTTCCAGAGTCCCTTTAAAGTTGTGATTAATGATATACATTATTTTCTTTATTGGGCAAAATATTAGAATTATTAGAGATACATTTTTCTTGGGAAAACCACTGTGGTTCTCTGGACATTTCTATGTTAACTGTGTCATATATTAGTATAGAATAAATTCACAGGCTTGTGGGTCTGAGGACATTTGCTTGTTTCCTTTAAATCAATTTATACAAGCACTTCCTATGCTTCCTTCCTAACAAATTTTCCATAATTTATTTCTGGCCTCGTAAAAATAGAGGGAAAATAACCAATCAAATTATTAGCTCGATTCCTTACATGAGTTCTTCAATTTTTCCTAGGTACCAAACAAAATAAAACCAGTCTTTGTAACAAAGATTATTGGTTCTGAGGAAATGACTATCCACAAAGTGTACATTTGTGTGTAATATGTGGTATGCATTATGTGTGGTATTTTACAGTTAAAATACAACATAATTACCATAAAATAATGTATATGAAATGAGTTGTAACAATAAGATAAGATTGACTTTTAAAAATAAACAACCAAGAATAAACACAGCAGAATTCCTAATCAGCCTTACTCATAGGTCAAATTTAGCTTTGATGTCCTTTCCTCCATAAGCCATATTTAGGCATCAATTCAGTATAATACTCCTTCTTTGTGCTCCCATATCGCACTTCATCCTTCCCTCATCATGGCACTTACTGTGCTGTGTTGCTTGTTTGGCTAATTCCTTCATTTGGCTATAAACTATTAGGATATGAGCAGACATGGTGCCTTTTTCACTTTGTCCTCTGAATTCTTTTTTTAAAAATTGAAGTAAAATTGACATGTAATAAACCTTGGATATTTAGTATACAATGTGTTAAGTTTTAGCTTAGTGTTGTCCATGAAACCATCTCACAGTGAGGATCATGAACACATTTCCCAAAGTTTCTTCACGCTCCTTTGGAATACTTACTTCTACTTCTCTTCTTTCCTTGTCTTGAGACAACCATTGACCTGGTTTCTATCATTGTAGATTAATTGACACTTCCAACAATTACGTGTAAATGAATCTCATATAGTATGTACTGTTTTCTTTTCCTTGGCTTCTTTCACTTAGCATAATTAAGATTCATCTATGTTGTAGTGTATATTGATAATTTCCTTTTTATTGCTGAGTAGTATTCCATTGTATGGATACACCAAAGTTTGTTTATCTATTTTTAAATTGCTGAGCATTTGAGTAATACCAGCTTTTTGCAGTTATAAATAAAGCTGCTATGAATACTAGAATACAAGTCTTCGTATGGGTATCTACTTTTGTTTCTCTTGGGTGATTATGTAGGGTGGAATGGCTGGGTAAATGGGCAGGTGTATGTTTAACTTTACATGAAACTGCCACAGTTTTCTCAAGTGTTAGTACCATTTTACATTCCCACTAGCAGTGTATGACAGTTCTAGTTCCTTCACATTTGTGCCAACACTTGATATAGTTGATATTGGTAAGATTTTAGCCATTCTAATAGGCATGTAGTAAAATCTCGTTGTGGTTTACATTTTCCTTTCCCTACTGACTAGATGTTGAGCATCTTTTCATGCTTTTGCTGTCCATATATCTTCTTTTGAAAACCATCTGTTCAAATCTTTTGCCCATGAAAAAAACCTTAGTTGTTTGTTTTCTTATTGAGTTTCAAGAGCTTTTGTTTGTTTTTATTGACACATGATTATATGTATTTACAGGGGACAGTGTGATGTTTCAATATATGTGTACATTATGTAAAAATTAAATCAGGGTATTTAGCATATCTACCACCTCATACATTTATCGTTTCTTTGTGACAACATTGAAAATTCTCTGATTTTGAATACTACAATATACAACCCATCTTTGGTATCAAATTTTGAAATATACAATCCAATATCATTAACTATAGTTACCCTATAGTGCAAGAGAACACCAGAAATTATTCCTCCTATCTGTAATCTTGTACCTGTTGACCAATCTCTCTTATGTTCCCCTGCTTTCCCTTCCCAGCCTCAGTAACTACTATTCTGCTTTCAAGAGTTTTTTTTTTTTTTTTTGAGAGGGAGTGTCGCTCTTCTTGCCCAGGCTGGAGTGCAGTGGTGCAATCTCAGTTCACTGAAATCTCTGCCTCCCAGGTTAAAGAGATCCTCCTGTCTCAGCCTCCTGACTAGCTGGGATTACAGGTATGTGCCACCATGCCTGGCTCATTATTGTATTTTTAGTAGAGATGGGGTTTCATCACGTTGTGTAAGCTGGTCTCGAACTCCTGACCTCAGGTGATCCACATGCCTCGCCCTCCGAAAGTGCTGGGATTACAAGTGTGAACCACTGTGCCCGGCCTTAAGAGTTCTTTACGTGTTCTTAATTGAGGTGTTTTATTAAATGTATGATTTGCAGATAATATTCTTCCAGCCTGTGGTTTGTATTTTCATTGACTTAACGGTGTCTTTTGAATAATAGAGGTTTTAAATTTTGATGAAGTCCCAATACCAGTTTGTTCTTTTATGGAGTATGCTTTTGGTCTCATAACTAAGAAATCTTTGCCAATTTAGGGTTACAAAGTTTCTTCTAGAAGTTTTGTCATGTTAAGTTTTACATTTAGGTCTATGATTCATTTTGAATTAATTTTTGTATATGGATTGAATTTTTTTTTTTTGAGATGGGGTTTTGCTCTGTTACCAAGTCTGGAGTGTGCAGTGGTATGATCACAGCTCACTGCAGCCTTGACCTCCTGGGTTCAAGTGATCCTCCCACATCATCCCCTCAAGCTGTAGCTGGGACTACAGGCATGCACCAACACACCCAGCTAATTGTGCATGTGTGTGTATATGTGTGTGTGTGTGTGTGTGTGTGTGTGTGTGTGTGTGTGTAGAGACCAAGTCTCCCTATGTTGCCTGGGCTGGTCTCAAACTCCTAGGCTCAATCGATCCTCCTGCCTCAGCCTCCCGAAGTATTGAGATTACAGGTATGAGCCACTACACCCAGTGTAAATTTTTTTTCCATATAGGTATCTAATTATGTCAGCATCATTTGTTGAAAAGACTGTCCTTTTCCATTGAATTGCCTTTCTGCCTTTGTCAAAAATTAGTTGTCTATATATGTGTGATCTATGTAAAAATTCCTTATTCTGTTCCATTGGTCAGTGTGTCTGTCCCTTCCCAAATACCCCACAGTTTTGATTACTGAAGCTTTATATTAAATCCTAAAATTGAACAGTGTGAGACTTTCAACTTTGCTGTTTTTCATCCTTCTTTTAACTCTTCTACTGGTTCCTTTACCTTTCCATAGAAATTTTAGAATCAGCTTTTCTGTATCCACAAAAATGTCCTTCTGGGATCCTGATTGAAATTAAATTAAATTTGTATACCAGTTTGGGGAGAATTGTTTATTGTGTTGAGTCTTCTAATTCACAGTCATTCTCCATTTATTTTGGTCTTTCTGTAAATTTTTTAGCAGTATTCTTGTAGTCAGTATTCAGCATACTTTATATATATATATATTATGTTTACTCTTTTTATGTAACTTTAATTCAAAAGGTACAGAGACTCTCCCTTAGTGCTGTTCTTAAGACATGTTTATATGACATCTTTCCATTAGTATCTTTGGTCGTGTTCCTGCAGTATCCTCAGTTGTGCTCACCACTGCTTAACTCACCTTTGCAGCCAAGTTTCATTTTGAGTCAAATCTACCAGAGGAGGTCATTTACCACCTGAGAAATCCCTCACTTAGTTTTAACAGAAATAAATAACTTTAAAACAATTGATACAGCTCCTTCTTTGGCTTGTATAATTTTCTTCAGGCATAAGTAAAAAAAAAAAAAAAAAAAGGAAAAAGTGATTTCAAACATGTTCAGAGTAACTGTAATCCAGCTGTGGTTGAAAGAAGAATTTTGAGTGGTTAAAGAGCTGACTGACCATGTTGGTGGCTCTTGAAACACTATCAGCTTTTCTTAACCAGAAGGCAATCAAGGACATACTTGAGGTCGGGAACAGATATTTCATAGGCCACTGGAGTGCTGCAGTGGAAGGATTCCCTCCAGATCCTTGGTTCACAGACAGGGAAGGTGAAGCCTGAGGAGACTTGGTTACTTGGTTTCCTTGGAGGATCATATGCTCAGTGAGCTCTTCCTGAAAACCAGCCCTGTTCCCATCAGAAACTGCAGAGACATAGTACTTCCCATTCAGCAGGTTACATGGAGTCAGCGTAGGCAGTCAAAATGGAGAGATGAAGGATTGGTGTTGGGTAATGAGAGCAAGGGATGGTCATAGAACTCAGAGATGATAATGTGACCAACAGGATCATTATTCAAATTTCCCAAGAGGCACAAATGTAGATGATGATTGCTTTCATAAGCTAGTGGAGTTAATTTCTGTCAGACACTATTCTAAGTGATTTTGTATATGAACTCATTTAATTTTCTCAACAACCTTGTAAGGTATAGGTACCGTAATTATTTCATTTTGTGAATGAGCAGAAATTAAGCACAGAGGTGCCAGAGATCTTTTCTCATAGGTGATGAAGGTAGGAGAGGAACCCAGGCAGTCTGGCTATAGAGCACAGAGTCTTAACCACTACACTGTCTGGCTGATGGCAAAGAGCATGTCTATTAAGAAAGCCTATGGGGAAATGGTCGCCAAATCCTTCTCTAATTCTTGGGGACCCTGAGTTTCAGGGTTTTTTTTGGTTTTAGAAATAAGGGAAACTCCTGTCAAATGATAAGATTGACATTTTTCATTTTTGAAGTTCTAAATGTAAAGCTCTTTGAAATGTATAGGTTTTCAGATACTCTGTGTGTCTGTGTGTGTGTGTTTGTGTGTGTGTGTCTGTGTGTGTGTGTGTGTATAAGTTCAGCTCCTTTAAAAGCCCCATCTCTGTCACAATCACATTTTTTTTTCACACCGCATTCCACCCTACTAATACTCAGAGCTTAGATTAGGGAGGTGACTAGGATACTGTTAATTAAAACTATATGACCTGATTAGACAAATTAAGAGAAATTTTCGATAGGGAAAAGAAGCAGGACAAGGACTGAACTTCTGAGAGATAGTGAAAAATCAAGGTGTTTTTCTTATTCTCAGTCACTTCACATTTTACTTCTGACACTAGATGTGTGGTGGATTTTCCCCACACACCAAGCAGTTCTCCAGAAGACATCAATTAATTAGCTGAACTTATTCAATTTAATTTTGACCCTATATACCAGGCATTCTGATACTGTCTACCTGGAGATAGTATCAGATCTCACAATCTCAGGGCTCAGTCCCACACAACTGCCCCCGACTTCAGACACCAATTGCAAGTTCCAGGTGATGTGTACTTCTGACCAACCAGCTATTAATCGGGGTTCTCATGACCCCCTCCTCAGGTTTGATTAATTTGCTGGAGTGACTCAGAGAACCCGGGGGGGAAAAATTTGCTTATGTTTGCCCACTTATTATTAAGAATATTACAAAGGATACAGATATGAACAGCCAAATGGAAGAGATGCGTAGGGCAAGATAGGAGAGAAGGGGAGTGAGTGGACTTCTATGCCTTCCGTGGACTTGTCACCCTTCTGGAAACTGCACGTGTTTAGCTCTTGCGAAGCTCATTTAAACCCTGTCCTTTTGGGTTTTTATGGAAAATTTATTACATAGGCAGGATCGATTACATCCTTAGCCATTAGTGACTGATTCAACTTTTAGCCTCCTCTCTTATTTGTTTTAAACGTTTGTTTCCAAAGTTTTTTTCTCCCCTTTGAGGAGGACAGATTCAGGCTTACATCAAAATGGAATTAAATGTGCCTTTGATTTGGAATGGGGCAACAAGAGCCGCCTGCATGGCTGTGTATATTTATTTATATGGGGTCAGGTAAAAGCACTTTTAAAATAAGCAAGTATTAGAGATCAGAGGTTATGGAGCAGCTGCTGGCTCTGGCTGACAAAGCATTCCTGGTGGCATTTGCCACTAGCTCTCTGGGTGTGGGCATTAGAGAGTGTGAGAGTTGGCCTGATGGCCTTTGTGTTTGTGGCCCTGTGTGGAAACTTTATAGCATTTCAGCCGTTCTAATCTGTGCAGGCACAGAGCCACAGCTGACCATAACTCTTAGGGGAAATGAGGACAGAAAAGTTGAACAGCACTGTGTGCTGTGTAGAGTATGGAGACCAGAATGAAGGGTGCAGAATGAAAGGAAAAAAAATTTTTTTTGAAGTATCCTGCTTCAGGGTTTCTATTGTTTGGGAAACTATTCCTATAGAAATGACATTTGTGCTTTGTGAAGGGGGTGGAGGTAGATTTTCTGGAGTGTAATTTTCTGGAGTGTTTCCTTATTGAAGGGGGAAAACAAATGATTGGAAAGGCTCTTCCTCTGTTTCTCTCATGCATCCCTACACCCCCAATATATGCAGTGTCCTTGTTTTTGTTAAATACAGAAGCTATACAGAGGGCAGTTAGAGTTCATCCACCGTTTTACTCATTGGATGGGATTATTAAGAGATAAGACCATTTATTGCTTAGCATGAGAATCTTACTGTCCCGGCCAGCAAAGGAGGCCAAAGATTTCATCTGAACTTTACCTCTTCAATTCAAGCCACCAAAGATTTATTGGGAGTCTACTATGTACCAGGCATAACATATGGCATATAAAGGCTAATTTTAACAATTATATTGCCGTTTATGTTGTTGGTTTGGATAGAAACCCTGTCTTCCACTAATCCTTACTTTTCCTATAATACAAAGATTATCATTGATGAAACATATTACAGATTATTATTTTAAGCTATTTAGCAAATATTAGACATTTTCTTAGAGAATGTTTGAGCATATCAGAAATTGTGGTGGATATGTTAGTTTCCTATTTGCTGCAATAATAAATTACCACAAACATAGTGACTTAAAAACAACACAAACTTTTATCTTACATTTTTGTAGGCTAGAAGTCCAACATGGATCTCATTGGGCTAAAATCGAGGTGTCAGGGGGCTGTGTTCCTCGTGGAGGCTCTGGGACAAATTCTATGACCTCATCTTTTTCCAGCATCTAGAGGCTTCCCTGAACTCCTAGGTGTATGGCTCTTCCCTTCATCTTCAAAGCCAGCAACAGCAGATTGAGCCCTTCTTAAAATGCCATCTCTTTGTTTCTCTTTTCCATAGTTACATCTTCCTCTTCCACTTTTAAGAACCCTTGATTACATTGGGCCCACCCTGACAATCCAGGATAATCCCCTTATTTTAAGATCTGCTGGTTAGCATCCTTAATTCCATCTCCAACCTTAATTCCCCTTTGCTATGTGTAGTAACATATTCACAGGTTCCAGGAATTAAATGGACATGGACATCTTTGGGGAGCCATTATTTCTACCTGTTACAGTAGGGTGGACTTTCCCCAAACTTTGCTCTTTCCCCACTCAAATGAAATTGTATAGTGCCCTCTATTAATTCTTTGCAAAATAAATTGTTACCTATGAATGTGTCTTGTGCGAGTGGTGGGTGGTTTATCACTGCTTAAAGCCTCACTCTTCTTCATTGTGACAAAACCCCAGCCACTTAGTTTTGTACAATCCCAGTGTTCAAGGAAGCTAGAGATCCTCTTAGCCAGCCCGCCCGCAGGGGTTTTGCACACACATTGTTACATCTCTTCAAAATGGCTGTCCCACCTTTGCTTACATGAAATGGCCTGCCTTGGCAAATAAACCTCTTTGAACAGTTCTGTTTTTGTTAGATAGTTCCTGCTTTAATTTAGGGGAAAATATTTCTCTTTGTGGGTTTGTAGAACCTATTGGTTCTTGTTTTACTCTCTGGGGTCATATTGAATAAATCTAATTTCTTCTTTCACACTTGAAGCCCTTGAGATTTTTTTTAAAGACAGTTCTCATATCCCCCAAGTATCAGACTTAAAAATCTCAATTTCTTCAACTGGGTCTCACATAAAACTGTCTTGAGACTTCTCTCCATCCTGTTCCTTCTCCTGAGTATGATACAACATGAAGAAGGGGAGGCTGAAGGAAGATTTAATAGGAGGCTTTAAATGCTGGGGGGAATTGTCATACAGAAAAAGCTGGTAAGGTCTTTACATTTACCATGGAAACAAGAAATCACAGGCTCATATTGTGGCTAAGGAGATTTAATTAGCAGGAAACCTGTCTTAACCTTATGGATTTGGTGTCAGGAAACCTGTCTTAACCTTGTGGATCATGCAATGGACTGCCTGCTATGGGAAGTTGAGGGATCTTTTGCCTTAGTGTAAGACAAGTCTTCAAGCTCAGAATTCGTATATTTTGTGTAAGAGACGTTGCTTTTAGTTAAATGTTTTGCTTAAAGTATTCTTGTCATTGCTTGTCATCTATGCCTGATGCCTGAATTTCCCTCTTGTGTTGGTTCATTGGATGTAAGGCATCATCATGACTGCTGTTAATCATAGGGGGAAGGAATATGGTTCAGGGCTTTATGAAGGAAGGGAAACAGTGGCATAGCACAGGATAATTAATAGCAAGTGGAGTGACAGTTTGATTCCCTGGTAGGGACCCTGGCATTGTTGAAGGAAAAAAAAATCACTTTATTCTTTCATAGAGAGAGGCAGCTGTAATTCTGGTTGGATGGAATCCAATTAAAAGGAACTGACATGCAAATTGATGATGAGACAGTGTGAGCATAGAAGTAGTCCAAGAAGAGTTTTGTAAGAAATGGCAGAGAAGAGTGTAAGTAATTTGGCATGGTAATGTGTGTAAGAAAATGGAAAGCTGATGGGTTGGCTACCTGAACAATTATGTCTGGAATCTCAGCCAGCAGAGAACAGGAGACTGGTTGGTTTGGTAGAGTTGTTAACAAAACTTTCTGGTGTTTTGAGTTTTGGTCTACATTTTAGGAATTATAGCCTTTCATAATAGAATGAATATAAATCAACCCTTGAGGGTTATAGGCTTTCAAATTGGTGGTGGTTAAATATAATATTCTCAAGATTCTATGATGGGAGTCCCAGCCTGGCTCTTGGAAAGAAGATCTCATTGTACAGGTGTACTTCACCTGACCTAATGATGTGTTCTCAAAGATTTGTGTGAGAATTGGCTCCTAAATTTAGGATGAAATAGGAGAGCTTGCCATTTCTAGTAATGCTATTATGAATCATTTTCTAATGTAAAAAATCCTTTTATAACCACAGTCATGCCCAATTTATCTTTTAAGTAAATTCATAAGTCCACATATTAGATTTGTTTAAACCAAAGGTATTTTTCTTTGAAATGAAATAATTGTAGGGGCACATAACAGTTAAGCTTTAGAGTAACAGAGGAAAAATTGGGTAAGATTTTATAAGTCAGTATATTGCTTTTTAGGGAGGAAATTCTGCCTAAGAAGTCAGACAGCTTCTGCTGTTATTACGGGAAAAGGAGAAGGCTGCCCAACGTATTTCAGGGAGATTTACTAGGATCTCTTGGGAACTGCAGTAGAAATCACTACGAAATATTTTGAGGATAGAGGAAACAGGACAACAGCGTTTACTAGGTTTTATTCTGAAGAAAGCCAAAGAAGGTGGAATGGAGTTCATCTTGAGAAAGCGGTAGAAGATTGAGAAGCTAAGAAAAGACTTACACAGCAGCAAAAAGAAGAAGAGACTGGAGTAGTGGGCAGAGTTTTCAGTTAGCAAGAGAGCACCATCCAATTGTTATGCTGGTCAGCAGCAAGGAACATTAATGAAGGAGATGAAGAATGACCAGGGTCAGTTTTTGTTCATCCAGGTTTGAGCAGGGTGTTGCTTATGATGCTCCATGCAGTTTTGCCTCCCACAATCTCTCTCTGATCTTTGCCTCCTGATCTGCTCAAGTACTGCAGCAGCAATGCATTCTCTACTGAAGGCTGTCACGTTTACTTTTCACTGTGCCTAGAATGCTCTTACCCTCAAGCCTCCCTCCTTCACTTGATTCAGGTTGCTGCTAGAAGCTCCCTTATCAGAGAGACCTTTAGTGACCATTCTGTCTGAAGGAGGCAGACACTCTTCCCTTATTCCGCTTTTCTTCATAGCACTCATTATCACCTCACACATGGTTGTTTAATGTTTCCCCAATTTTCTCTGCTAGAAGTAAGTTCTTTGAGAGTTCAGCTTCAGTTTCTTTTGCCCATCAGTGTATTCCCAGTACCTAATTTATATAAAAATTTGTGGAATGGATTTTTAGGGTATCTCTTGCCTATCACAGTGAGAAGAGCTGAGAATGAAGAATACAGGACTCAGTCCTTGTCCTGTGTTATGCAATGTATTACATAGTTATAGTAAGTATAACAGCCTGAGCACAGAGTGCTGTGAGCTTTGAGAAATAAGCTAGAGATGGTCATCACAGAACTGGATCTTGAATGATAAAGAGGAGTTTTGTTCTGTGGTGGAGACAAGGAATGATCTTCTAGGCTATCAAAGCAGGGTGAGTGAAGTTGGAGAGATGTAGAAATGAGTTTTGTGTTTGGATGTCATTGAGTGATTTTGATTTGGCTGCTAGAGCACAGGTACATGGGAAAGCATGACAAAGGGGCCTGAGAGGTAGGGTTGGGGAGGACATGTGAAACATATGTTGAGATCTGATTGGTAAAGTTATTGATAGGCGTTTGGACCTTGTCTTTTGGGAAGCAGGGAAGTAGCAATATCCAAAAGAGAGTGCTTAAGGATGGATTGGAAGAGGGAAGATTATAGAGGGGATAGAGAGCAAAGCAGGATGTGACTTTCCCAGCCTTGAAATGCATGAGAAAGTTTGGGATCCTCACAATGAAGGGCAAAAAAAAAAAAAATAAAAAGCAATTCTGTTTATGGATGTATAGCAATATATTGTGTATAGGTGGTGGCTATTAGAAGACTAGTAGTTCTTGGAACTGTTCCTTTTTTTCTCACAATAGTAGTTAAGCTGTGTCATTGGGATACAAAGGGAAGGAGAAGGCTATTTCCATTCTTAGAATAGAAAAATTGGAAAATGCCTTGGCAAATGGAGGTATTCTTATTCTACATTTTTTTTTTTTTTTTGAGACCAAGTCTCGCTTTGTCACCCAGGCTGGAGTGTAGTGGAGCCATGTGAGCTCACTGCAACCTCCGCCTTCTGGGCTCAAACGCTACCACACCCAGCTAATTTTTTTATTTTTGTTTTTTAAGAGCTGGAAATTTGCTATGTTGCCCAGGCTGGTCTTGAACTCCTGGGCTCGAGTGATCCGCCTGCCTTGTCCCCGCAAAGTGCTGGGATTACAGGTGTGCACCACTGTGCCTGGCCATACCTTACAGGTTAAGCAGCTATGTGGCCTTGTGCATTTCATTTAACTGTGTTTCATTTGTCCTTTCATGGAGATAGACTTTGTTGATATCCTTTCATCGTTGATGTGCAGAACAAAGTATGCTGCTTGGGAAATTATAAACATACTTTCATTTGAAATATTGGGTAATATCAGGAGTCCTTTGCTTTAATAGAAGTAGATCTGGAATTGCTTTTTTTTTTTTCTTGGAATATGGTAACACCAAAGCATCTGAGCTACTCACACCCATTTCCAGAGGAAAACATGATCATTTCCAGGAGATGGCCTGCAGTTTTAAAGCTTTTTGCTGCTTGTTTTCTACATGTCAAAACACATCCCATTTCAGCAGTTGGTGAGCGCTACCATAGAACTGTTCAGAAGCAAGAGGGAGGATTGAGTCATGTTGTACGTGCAGCTGCATATTAACCTGCAGGTCATAGCAGTCCCTGATCCAAAGGACTGTCTGACACTTTATCCCCGTTCTTACTGCCTTCATCATTCACAGCAGCCAGTGTAGGACTCTCCCACTTTAGCCTTGATCATTTGGAGTAGCAGAATCGTGGTCTTGTGTATATATAGAGTGTTATATAGGCCATGTGATTCTCGGAGACCTTTTTAGGAAGTTTGAGCAACCTTACATATTGGAATTCTTTCCTCTTTTTGAGAAGGAGGAAAGAAATGTATGTTTTATAAGGATTGCTTTGAAATAGATCCATTTTGCAGGGTTTAACTCAAGCAAAGAACAGACTAGCTTAATGGTTAATATTAAGTTACTGGAGTTTGAATGCCTAGGTCCCAATTCAAGCTTCACCATTATTAGCTATATGACCATTAGCCAGTTTTCTCATTTGTTAGATGATGATAATTACAGGAAGATACTGTATCTTCCCACAGAGTGGTCCAGAGGAATGAATGAGTAAATACATGTAAATCACTTAGACTAAGGACTGGTATTATGGATTCTCTGACTGTTAGCTGTTTTATTCCTGATTTTCTCATAGCCACTGGCATTTCTAAGACCTTGCAAGAACCACTGGTCAACTTTTCTGCCTGCTATGTTTAACTAGTAGAAGTCAGAAAGTGACTTGGTGGCAGAGTGCTAGAAATGATTCATTGGGTGGACTATTGAGCTTCACACCCCAGTCCACTGGCATCATGTAAGAAACAACTCATTACACTCTAACGGTAGTTTAGTGAAATGGATGAGTAGTCTTAGTCTGCCTCCTCAGGCTGCAACAGAAAGTCAAGCCAAGCAGCCAGGAATGTCTGGGAATCACCTGGAGAGAGGACAGACATCTGCAGCACAGTGGAAGGTGATAGATGAGTGGGACCCAGGAATAAACTACAGAAGCAGTGTGGATTGTGTTGATTCTAGCAAGCAGGAGGGGGTCTCCATGGTATTTCTGAGTATAAGCCAAGGAAATGTGTTAATGTGGGGGGAAAAAAATCACCGAACTGGGAGAGAGTCAGACTACCTCGGGTGTGACCTTTGCCCTGTCACCAACATATTGTATGTCACATCCCCATGGGGCGAGTCACATTTTCTTTCTAACTCTGTTTCTTTGTCTGTAAAATGATTAAATGATTTCTTGACTCTTTCTTTTCTAGATTCTTTTTAACGATTTCATTAGCTTTTAATAACTATGTGAGGAAAGGAGAGCAACCTGCTATAGACCTTGGCCTGTGTGAGTCTTTAATTTTGTTTTTTGTTATTTCAAAGAAGTTCTTGTTCAAAAGACCATGAGACATTTCATCATTGGACTTTTTAGGGAGTTGTCTCTTTAATCTCTCATATTTCCTTTTTTCCCTACAAATGATATCCACAGTACTGCTGTTGTCTTGTGCTCTCTGGATCAGCACTTTTCCAGAGAAATGAAAACACTGCACTTTTAACGGCACAGAAAGCAAAATTACTGTAGCATCAGGATTCAAGGTTACAGAATTGGTTAACTTTCTGGTTTGTTTTGCTGAGCTGAATGAAAAAGATTTGATCGAATGTTACTGCTTAGGGATAAATATTAATAACCACAAACTCTCTTAGTGATCATTGTCCCCCCTTTTGCAGAAAATTTCAAATTATGGTCTAGGACTTAGATTGTGATTGTCAGCTGAATATGGGCGTGAAAAATGTGGAATAACCAGATAAAGGACCCTTAATTGGTTGTAGAGGAACAACTTTTTGGGGATCCATGTCCAGAGAGGGAATTGGTTCTGGATTATTGATTTGTATCATTACTTTGATTAAGTGTCTAGCAGTTGCTGTAGACCTTTATAACATTATATAATAGAAATGGTATTAGAAAAAAGTCATCAAAGGTAGGATTTTTTTAAAGATATAAGAACCGAAGTTTTTAATCTTCAGTCCTTCATAGAGAAGAATTTATTAGGTTTGAGAGTTCTCAGTACCAAGTAAATTCTAACTGCAGACTTAAAACATATGAATACACTCACATATAGTCACCCCATCCTCTGGCCTGGTTTTGTTCTCTATTATAGTTGACTTTGCTTTAGGGGAAAGGAGGGAGAGTATTGGTATTAATTTATTTGAAAAATTAGCAGGAGTATATCAAACACTTACTGTATGCCAGGACTTACCATGATAAATAAGAGGTGGACCCCTGTCCTTATGGAGCCCACTTGAATCAAAAAGTAAACATATGAGCATGCAAATAGATGGCTGTAAGAATGTGATGGGCATGCCATTTTTTCTAGCAGGTTGCCTACCACATAGTCTATATGTGTTAGAGATACACATTAGGTACACAGAAGAGGGTCCATTTGTGGCATAGAGAGAGATTAGAGGAATCTTCATGAAGGAAGTGACATGATGATGATGTTTTGAATGACAGGAAGGAGTATGCAAAAAAAGGCAGGGTTGACATTCCAGACAGAAAGACTAGTATGGACCAAGACATGTGGACATGGAAATGGTTTGCTCCTTTTGGGGTCCTGAAGGTAATAAGTGCAATGAGGCTGGAGAACTGGGTTTGTCTTAAGGGGCTATGGGAAATGAGGGTCAGAGTGTAGGCTCTTATGAAGGCTGTCTGGTCAGACTTGAGGGGAAGGTATGCTGGTAAATTGCACTGAGAATAGTTCCTAGCTGTCCCATATTTCAGCATCTCCTGAAATAGATGTGTACTGTGATGTACAAGTTCCAGGATACAATCAGTTCATGAGTATCCAGTTAATGTACCTGCAGGATTTGGGCAGCAATATATGTAGGGTGTTGTGTGAAAATATTGGATATGAACAATTACAATCTTGGCTTGCACAAGAAATCATTGTGATGCAGGAGGGAAGGGTAGAAAAGTTAGATTATTTTTTTTCCCCTCTAATGCAGTGCCTCTCAACTTTGTTACAAATTAGAATTACCTGGGGATCTTTTTTTTAGGATATTGTTTACATGCAGTGAAATGCACAGATCTTAAGTGTACACATCAATGAATTTTGGCAAATATACATACCCATGTAGCACACTTACCCATCAAGTTATAGACCATAGTCAGAACCTGAAAAAGTTTTTTAGTTTCCGGTTTGAATCAATTCCTGCCCACCCCTCCCATATGTAACCACTGTTCTGATTCGTGTTAACATAGTTTAGTTTTGCCTGTTCTTGAATTTCATGTGAATGGAATTATACAAGTATGTGCTCTATTGTGTTTGCCTTCTTCTGTTAACATAATGTTTTTGAGATTGTTCTATATTGTTACATGTCAGTTTTTTTTAATTGCTGAATAGTACCCTGTTGTACAGATATACCACAATTTGTTTAATCATTTTCCTGTTGGTAGACATTTAAATTGTTTCAGATTTTTGGCTATTATGAATAAAGCTGTAATGATCAGTCTTGTACAAGTTTTTTTTTTTTTTGGCAGACATAGGTCATGATTTTTTTTTAACGTAAGTGCCTAATTGTGGAATTTTGTTATAGGTATGTCAGTGTATGTTTAACTTTATAAGAAACTGCCAAACAGTTTTCCAAAGTGGTTGTACCATTTTACATTCCCTCCTGCATTGTATGAGAGTTCTTGTTGTTCCATACTGTCAAACATTTGGTATGATAAGTCTTTTTAATTCTAGCCATTCTAATGGGCATAATATGGTATTTCAGTATGGTTTTAATTTACATTTCTCTGATGATTTATGATGTTGAGCACTGTTTTCTTTTGTGAAGTGTGTGGTCAAGTTTTTTTTGACCATTTTCAATTTGGTTATCTTTATGTTATTGATTTATAGGGCTCTTTATATACTTTGGATACAAGTCCCTTGCCAGATATACATAATGTGAGTACTTCTTTCAGTCTGTTACTTGCCTTTTTAGTTCCTAATGACATCTTTGGATAAGCAGAATTTTTTAATTTTGATGAAGTATAGTTTATCTTATTTTTCCATTATATATTTTGTGTCTTTTGTATCCTCACTAAGAAATCTTTTCTTACCCTAGGTTATAGAAATATTCATCTTTGTTTTCTTCTAGAAGCTTTATTTATCTTTTGGTGTATGTTCCATCACAAATTTTTGAGTGTGATATGAGGTAAGGGTAGAGGTTCATTTTCTCCATATGTTTATCTAGTCGTTCCAGCACTATTTGTTGAAAGACCTTACTTTCTCCATTGAATGTCCCTGGCACCTCCGTTGAAAATCAGTTGCTTGAGGGCCAGGTGCAGTAGCTCACACCTGTAATCCCAGCACTTTGGGGGGATGAGGCGGGTGGATCACGAGGTCAGGAGTTCAAGACCAGCCTGGCCAATATGGTGAAACCCCGTCTCTACTAAAAATACAAAAAGTAGCCAGGTATGGTGGTGGGCACCTGTAATCCCAGCTACATGGGAGGCCGAGGCAGGAGAATAGCTTGAACCTGGGAGGCGGAGGTTGCAGTGAGCTGAGATCGCGCCACTGCACTCCAGCCTGGGAGACAGAGTGAGACTCCACCTCAAAAATAAAAATAAAAAAAATAAAAAATCAGTTGCTTGTTTATGTCTATTTCTGTTTAGGTCTATTTCTGGACTCTGTGTTCTGCTTCACTGATTTATTTGTCTGTCATCCCAGTATCACACTGTCTTGTTTATCTAGCTTTATAGTAAGTCTTGAAATGCAGTAGTGTGAATCCTCCCACTTTGTTTTCTTTTCAAGGTTGTTTTTACTATTGTAGGCCCTTTTCTTTTTTATATAAGGTTTAGAATCAAATTGTCCAGTTCTTAAAAAGAAAGGTAGCTAGGGTACTTTACCTTACAAAATCCCTTGATACCCAGACCATACTTCATCCCAGTTAAATCAGAATCATTTAGAAATGAACAGAATCTCGTTCATTCCCTAGATTCTTCTGAGTGCAGCCAAAATTGAGAACCTATGTACTAATGGGATTTTAGTGTGGTACACTAAAGAAGATACTGTCATGGATTGCTGGGATGGAAGCCATTCCAGTGGAATGTATGCATAGGAGCTGATGTGGGCCCCTACACGAAAGAAATTGTTGATGTTTATGGAACCAGGAGAGCTGAATGAGGAAGAGAAGGAGCAGGAGTGAGAAGCCCTGTGGTCAAGGTAGTAGAGTTCCCTCTCCCTGGGGCACATGGAGCCCCATTGCTGAGGCGCTGCCTTGTGTGGCTCCTATTCCTGATTATTCAGGGTATTCCCACCCTAAACCTGCTGCAGTGCAGCCAACAAACCACCAACTTGAAATCTAGGGAATACTCTTAGTAGAGCGTGTAAATGTACTATTTTAAAGAATAGCTTTCCCCTGGATTAGGGAAATGCTTGTGAAATCTGCATAGTGATGAACAGGGTAGGCACATTCTAGAAGTGCCTGTGTGGGTTTTTTGCTTTTTGAGTTTTTTCTGTCTTTTTAATGTAATGTCTTTAGACAAACATTGAGTCATCCATTCTTCCCAAGGGTAGGTAGTTCAGTCAGAAGTGATGTTTTCCCAAAAGGCTTTAAAGAAAAACGGGACAAAAAGTTACGCTCAAGTAATATGTTCTTTGGGAGCACTCAAAGTATGCAGGCTGGTAGGTTGCTTGCTTGTGGCTTTTTTTTTTTTTTTTTTAATTTAAACACACATTTTCCTCTTTGAAAAGAGAGGTTGGAACTAGTCAGCTGAGTCCCTCTTTCTGAAATACACGTTCCCTAAACAGCTGTAGAGAATTAATTTCAGTCAAAGATAGCAGAGCTTTAATCTCAGCTTTCTGCTCAGTGTTATGGAAAATCCTTTCTAGAAAATAGCCAGTGTCTACCTGCTATGGGATGTTAAAAAATTCAAACGAACATTGGATTTTTTAGTGTTTTCCTAGTAGAAACAGCATGGAAAATCCTTTAGTGAGCTAGATTTTACAGTGCACACAGAAAGCAAGTATCTATGATACATTTATAATTTTGTGTGTGTCACATGTTGGTTGTACTATTTTCTTATTCCTAATAGAATTGAAATATACCATGTCCAATTCCAAACCTTATTTTTTTTGTGTGTGAAGGGTTGAAGCATTTTAGACAAGAAAGAGCTTTGATACTAGCAACTTTAAACTCATTTATAGGATATATATACATATATAATACATACATATGTATGCTCTTTCAAGGCAGAGGAAGAAGGTAGGCAGAGTATGAGAGGAGAGTTGCTTTTCTTTCTCAACTTATGATTGTATTTAACACATACTCGCATGCACACACACATTCTTTTAATAGCATTTTTTTTTTGTAGTGAGAGAAAACTTATCTTTAAGAAGTCTCTAATCTATTATGGGATTAAGAGTTTTAAATGTCCCCCAACACCCCCCCCCCCATTTTTATACTTTTATTTCTACGATTTATATGTCACGTGAACATCACTTTTTGGTGGTGTGATTATATCGGAATACTTTTGTATTTTGCTTAACATTAAAAAAGCCATTTCTTACATTGCTATATCATGATAGTAATTTAATGGCAGCATAATAGTACCTCAAATTGTGCCATACTTTATATTCTTCTGTTGTAAGTTTTCTATTTTGTGCTGTTAAACCTCAAAGAACTTATTTGTGCATAGAATCCCTCTTAATTTCTTCAGTACATCCTCTGTGTAGAATAGTCACAAGGTGCATTTTGTTTTTTCCTTATCTGTGTACAGTTTACACTGTATATGATCCTCAGTGATATAGGGTGTATTTACCTTAAGAATGATCATTATTTACATTTCTAGGGATAAAAAGCTACTGGATTTCTTTCATAACTGTATTATTTAAAAAGTTGTTCTTCCCCTTTATTTTTGTGCACAAATTTGAGCCACATTTATGTTTGTCTTTTAATGGGTTATGGGTTCAAATTTTTTTCTTAACTGGTATGTTTTTTTTTGTTGTTGTTGTTTTAATTTTTTTTTTTTTTTTTTTTTTTTTAGAAACTAGGTCTTCCTAAGTAAGTTGTCTGGTTTGGTCTCGAACTCCTAGGCTCAAAGTGATACTCCCACCTCAGCCGCCTGTGTAGCTGGGAGTCCAGGTGTGTGCCACTGCACTTGGCAATATGTAACTCTTTGTGATATTTGTCATGAGTATTTTTTCCAAGTTTTTTCTTTTTTTATTTTAGTGCCATTGTGCCTGGCAATATGTAACCCTTTGTAATATTTGTCGTACCTTTTCCAAGTTTGTTCTTTTTTATTTTAGTTTTTCATTACAAAGCAGTTTATGAAGTTTTTTATATTTTCTTCTGTTGCCTTAAGATGAACAAACTTGTCATCCCTTCTGAGATCTAACATCAATTCTGTCCCCACCTGCCCCCCAATATTTCCTGTGGTTTAATTAAAAGCAATTTTTAAAATCCATCTGAGTTTCTGTCGATACATATGCCCTCTCCTTACCTGCTGTGCTATGAGGAAAGGTGGGCTAAATCAGGAGCTCGTGTTATTCATATCTTGGGAGAGGAATAGAAACAGCCAGTACTCCAATCTCAGCTTCCTGTAATGTCTACAAGTCAGTGTTTGCTCATCTATAAAGCTGGGATGAGAATAACAAATGTACAGAGAATTTTTTTAATGCACTTAAGCCTTCTCTTAAGCACTGTTAAGAACTTCAGTTGAAAGTGTTTAAAATACCAAATAGCTGTAACCTTTGATTGTTAATATGTGTGCACCATCATTTCTTGGATTTTTCTCAATAGCTAGAGACCACATGGGATCTTTGGTGTTTTCCAAAATGAACCACCATGCTATTACCTGCAGACATTAAGGGTCTGATTATACAAAGAAACTGAGAGTTGAGGATGTCCATCAGAAATACACTGTTTCAAAGTCAGATCTGAGTACTTGGTGAAGACTTTGGGGACTACTTAATAGTAATGATTACTAGAAAAATAAACACTGGCAATATAGATAGTGGTTAAAAAACATGGGCTTTGGGCTGGGCATAGTTGCTCATGCCTGTAATCCTGGCACTTTGGGAGGCCAAGGTGGGAGGATCACTTGAACCCGTTTGAGACCAGCCTGGGCAACATGCCGAAACCCTGTCTGTATAAAAAATACAAAAATTAGCCAGGTGTGGTGGTATGCACCTTAAGTTCTAGCTATCTGGGGAACTGAGGTAGAAGGATCGCTTGAGCCTGGGAGGTCGAGGCTGCAGTGAGCCATGATCATGACACTGCACTCTAGCCTGGAAGACATAGCCCAACCCTGTCTCAAAAACAAAACAAAACAAATAAACAAAAAACGTGGGCTTTGACAGAGAGACTTGTTTAACTTAATTAAACAAGTGCCACTTAAGTGATTTGGGGTGAGTAATTTTAGCTCTCTAAACTCAGTTTCCTCCACTGTAAAATGGGGATAATATTGATGAGTGGTTTAATTAAGAAAATGTATGTGAAATATTGAGCATGGTGCCTGACCCATAGCAAATGCTAAGTAAGTAGTAGCTGTTATTACTTTTATTAACAAGTAACATTTGTATAACATTTATGACCTACAGAGCCCTTTCACATGCTGTTTCTTATTTGTGAACTGAGTGTTTTATACAGAATGGGTTTTTAAATGTTCCATAGGCTTTTTATTCATGGCTTCAAGAGGTTGTTCCCTTTTTGGGACCTGTACAGCTTGTGTATACTCAGTTGGCATTTGTCACGTATCTTCATGCCAGTGTCTTTGTATCTGAATTCTAAAACTGCGTGAACACAAAGGTTATGTCTTTTGTCTTATTCATCTGGGTTGTCACTGGAACAGAGTCAGGAGACATTCCTATTTATTATGTGCGTAATCGTAGGCAAGTCAATCTCTGGCTTGCCAAAGCTGTCCTTTCCTCATCTGTAAAATGGGTAACAAGTTTCTTGTGAAGATTACGTTAAATAATGCATTAGGAAGCACTTTGTATAGAAAATTACAAATAGTTTTTTGTTTTTTGTTTTTTTTTTCCGCCATGCCTCACTAGCCTAGTATCACAGTAGATGCTGTAAGGTTGGAGGTTGTTAGGAAGGCTATAGAGCCAAGTCTTAACTTTAGTGTCACAATACCTTTGTTAAACAATGAAATTCAGTCTTTGGGGGCTAGTTGTCATGCTGGGTGCTGTGCCAGGCTAATTAATACTTTGGTACCTTGCCTTTAAAGTACTTACTGCTGCTGTCTCCCTCCCTCCCCTTTGGTATTCATTATTTATAGTATAAAACATTTGCTGCTTGCTGTTGTAAAGGTGGGGGATGGGGTGTAGTTACACATAGGTGCTCAGAGCAGGTTCAATGATTTAACCCTACATGAGGAAGTAAACTTAATCTACATAAAATATGGATTTGGGGGTGTGTGATCTCTGTGGTCAGTCTGGAGGAGTGTGCGTGAGGTGTGTCAGCCACTAAGCAAACAATGGAGTGCTGGCTCTGTGGACTCTTGGCTGAGTCAGCATTGTTTCCCATGGAATTTCTTTTTCTCTTAGCCCACAGGTGTATTTATGTGTCCTGGTATTTCTTCGTTTTTATTTTCCCCCAATTTGATTTCATAAATGATAGTGCAAAGTGTTGGCTATGGTTAATTTCAGTAAATAAGGCCCAAATATGAGGTATCTGTTTCTCTCTTGAGTAAAAAATAAAGTCATGTTATGGGGAATAAAAGCAAAAGCATTTAATAAAAAAATCCCTTTGTTCATTTTAGAAAATGGTACCTTTGTTAATTCCTTAAGAGACAATTTATTATATTCTGACACTATCTTTGAATAGTCAAAGAAGGCATGATGTCTCAATTTAAATTTCTTCTTCCTGGCACAGCTTTTATTCTGCAAGGTTTGTGCTTTTAGGAAGAGGGTATTGTTTCTCATAGGAGAGTAGAGTGCCTAGTGGACAGAAAAAGGTAAAGATTGTCATTTCCTTGAACATAGATTGGTGTTTAATTTCTACTTAAGGGTGTCTTTTGAGAAGAACAGAGCCCACTCTGTTTAGCAGCTTGCTTTTTGCTAATCATGTGGTGCATGGTGTGTTTTCATCTAGTCCGTTCCATTAAGTCTTATTTATGCTTTGGGGATATGGATAATTGGCTACGGCTCAGGTGAGGTGCATAGGTGATGTGTCATTTCTCTCCTGAGGGGATAGAGATGACAGGCTTCTTTTAGATAATCACTGTCAGTGGCTGGGACCCAGGAACCTTTGGTATTCACCTGTTTAGTCAGTGGGGGGCAAATTTGATGCAAGAGCAGAGAGGGAACTGTTTTTAAACTATGTATATAGTCACTATGTGATTAACTCTTTGGTGGCCCTTTAAGTACAGGATAAATTTGCATTAGAACTTAGTGTCTCAGAGTCTTCGATTACATGAAGTCTGAAAAAGTGATGACCAATTGTCAATATTTTGGACATATTCCATGAGTGCCCCCTCAGACCATTGGTAGAGATAGGTTTGCAGGTGGTGACCCTGGTGAAATCCTCCTCTGAGAAGGGAGTGTTCAAGGGCATACGTTGGCATCATTTAAGTAGCAGAAGAGAGCACCCCATTGAGATGGTTTAAAAATGAGATGCTAACTTTCAAAGTTTTTTAAATTTTATTTTTTACAATGCCTGTGATGCTACTACATTGTATAAACAGTATGTAGTGTTAAGGATGTGCCTCGCATGTAAGCCACCACTAGCATCCTTAGTGTGGGGGTACTGTTCCTTTTCTACCCAAATCCCTGCAAGATGTTCTGAGATTTTGGTGCCAAGGAGTCTCCCAACATTCAACATTGTTAAAACACACTTCCTTATCTTCTTTGAGGTTTTTTAATAGCAAATCCCAAGCCACTCACCTTTTTCTCATAGTATTAATGTTCTAAGAGTGGCTATACATTATGTTAAAGTCAGCGTAGTTCTCCACGGGAAGGCTGTTTTTTAAATGAGACTTATTCAACCTCTTTTTAGCTGGTGTTTCATTACCACCGAGGATTTATAATGCAATAGCTCTGAGGCAAAGCTGGTAAGAATGCCAGCTTCGCTAATATTTAGAGTCATAAAATTCTGGATATTGGACAAGCTCTTAATTACTCTGAATCCGTCTTTGTCTTAATAAAAGTTGGATTGTACCCACTAAAACAAGATGGCTGTGTTTGCATTAATCTCCAAATGTAGGTTAATACCTTTTTAAAAGCTGTCTCCTAGACAAGAGACTTGAAAATTAATTTCCCATTTTCAGCTTAAAACGAAGAGCTCTTCCACGTGTGGAGATTGAAGGGCTGCCATTTTTCTGATGCTGTAGATTCAAGTGCCAATAATAACTCTTTGTTCCTCTTTAGTTTTTTTTTTTTTTTTTAATGTCTTAGGTAAAGAAGTCTTTCTTTTCTGGTGCTTGGGGACTTGTATTTTTTAAAAATCTGCTTCAAAGTAAATAGATGAAATTTCATTTTCTCAGTGGAGTTTGGATCACTGGGATTGAGGGGGATGAGGAAGGGCTAGATAGATAGTATGAAACCTATTGGATTCATACTATGGCTGCAGAAGTCTGGGCTTTACACATTAGGTTGCTACCAAGCTGGATATTTTGAAATATATATATGTATATGCCTGTAATGTTTTAGCATTTGCTTGTTGGGTTTTTTTTTTCCCCATAATGGTAGGTTCTTAACTGACTTTTTCAAATGCAAGGTAAAACTTTCTTTTCCTTTTCTTGTCTCCAGAGTACTGATGTGTAACCACTTAGTACCACTAATGCCAGGATTCATTTCTGTGCTACAGATGGTCAGTGAGATTATAAAAGCTCTGAAAAGGTTTTTATATAATTTGAGGTCTTCTCAGTTGAGAGTTTGTGTCTGACATATTAATTCCTTCCCATCCACCCCCTGCCCCATTCTCAATGTAAACCATATGGGACATGTATTAAAAAACAAATTTCAGACATTTTCTGGAGATTTTAATTCAGTAGTTCTGGAATAGGTTGCAGGAATCTGACTCTTAACGATCAAGCACATTTGATATTCAGACAACTCTATTGCATCCTCCAGAAGCTCCAGGATTCTGTATATAATTTGTAGGATATACTTGCCTCTTCTATGTCAAGTCTCTTACCCAGTCTGATTATGTGAGATGTCTTAAACAGAGCGTTTTTTCATAAACCTTTATGTAGGATAATACTACTCCTAAAACACTTTATTACATAGTTTTTGGATTGGTAATGGCAAAAGAATGAGAAAGCACCTGAGGAGGCACCATTGTGAGTGATGAAACTGGGGTATCAGACCTGGTTATGAAAGGAGATGATAACCCTTGTACTGTTTTCAGACAGTTGCAGAGTTATCCTATGAAGGAGGAACCATAATTCTGGTGGCCCTGCAGAGCAGACCGGGGACTGATGAATGGATGCTGTGGGGGCTGAACATAAAGAGAACAGGTTTAACAGAAGGGACCAACATCCTTTGAGAGATACTACTTTTTACCTTCTAATTATTTAACCCATGAAACTATTATTTTCTCCCAAAGACACCTGTTTTTAGACTATCAGTTAATAAAAAGAATGGGGCTACTTAGGTGGAAGCTGGCTGAGGGGCACAAACAGATTAAGCCCCTTTTCTCCCCAGAGCTAGCAAGCAGTACCCTTAGCCAGAAGCCTTGGGCTCCATAGAAGTGGCCACAAACACAACTAGAGTATGGTGAGTTCTGTTCAGTGGAGGTGGCCGCACAGCCCCCTGACAAGGAGTCTTGTGAGCTCCGTAAGGGCTGGCCCTTATCTGATTTGCTGCTGTAGACAGCCAGTGCAGGGGACTAGCACAGAGGGCAGAGCTTAGTGAAATGTCTGTCAATGAAAGCTGTGGAGGACATTTGTATCTCACATTCAGTGCTGAATGAGATTTAAAAGTCCTTTCTAACATAAAAAGTCTGTGATCTCTGCTTCCAAGATTAATTCTTAGGTCTCAGTATGGATGGCCCAAGGATATAAGCTTTGTGTCTGCAGGGACTTTGTTTCCTATAGTGCTGGATTTCCAGTACGTAGACTAGCACCTGACATTAGTGGGCACTCAGTGAATATTTGTTGAATACATGCATTTGTTGAAAAAAGTGAAAATTGTTTAAAGTGGTACTTTGTGAACCTTTTTTTCTCTTTTTTCTGTCATCCTGGAGACTTCTCATTTAACCCCCAGTCTGTCTCGTGATCCATGCCCCATCCTTCCTTCATGCCTCACACCACCTCCTTCTCAATCTATACTTGGCAAAGAGGAATAAAGACGCTAAGGATATTGTGGTAAACCAAAGTCATCTCAGAAACACAGTGAAATTCCCTAGGCATCTGAATTGGGAAACCTATTGGCTGATTTGCTTTGACTTGGGTATTTCCTGTGATTTTCAGCCGGGATGTGCTCCTGTGCTCAGAAGTGAGGATCTGTTGTAGGTTTATGGCCTAGATTAATTGGGATATTTTGTGAAGTCTCTGAAGTGTTATCACTTCATCTTTATCCTTGCCTGCTATTCCTCATGAAAAGCATTTGAATTATTTTAGAGAAGATATAAATTTGCTTGTGTTATCCAGTGTCAGCTTAAAGCTGATTAGCATTTTGCATCACCTTTGCAACTCATAAATCATCCACTTACCCTCTCAGTAAGCAGGCTGTAAGTCAGCATGGAAGCACCTGCTGCAGCTTCTTGTCCTGTGATTTAGAGGACACTCCAGATTCTCTGCAGACCCTTCTGTGGTGTTATTCTCTGGTAAGGCTTCACCTATATGGGAAATGAGTAAAGACTTTTGGTGACTTTTTTTTCCCTAGGGAGTTCTTAAGGGTTACCCTGGACGAGAGACTTCTCAGAAATATAGTCTTTAATAAACCTGGTCCAGGCACAGGTTTGGTTCATTTGGCATATTTGTTGTTTTAAAAATTTTGGAGGTACTTTTCAACATTTAAAGTCCAGGACATTTCACATTTAAAAAAATCCAGATTTAGGGTTATTCCGGGAAAATCAGAACACCTGGCAGTGTCAGGCCATGCTGCATGCCTGGCTTCATTTGTTATTGAGAGCAGGAGTGCTCTAGGAAAGGGGTACAGATTTTCCATTTTGCTGTAGACTCTACCCCTCTCAGTTTTTCCATGGGAGTCAACTTTACTCAAAGTCCTGCACTGTAGATGCTTGAATTGGTGACATCCTTCTATGTTGTGCGAGTGTATAGATTGTTTTTTTTGTTTCTTTTTTGAGTAATATCAACCATTTAACTCAATTGAATAATAACAAGAGGCTAACATTTATCAAATGCTATTAATGTACCAAGTACTGTGCTAAGTGCTTGTAATATGTTTGTTTATATATTCTTTACAATTATCCTAATTGTATAGATGAGGAAGAAATTGAGGCAAAGAGAGGTTAGATAACTTGCTCAAGGCCACCTAGCTAGTAAAAGTCGGGCAGAGTCACTGTGGTGTCCTCAGAAGCAAGTCCCTGCTTGGGCTAGCATTTTTGCCTAGTCCGGGTTATCTCCAGAACCTGGTCTGCTCCTCATTCCCATATCCCATTAGGAACAGTGGGCATCAGTTGCAAAAGTAGATGACAGTAACACACTCCCTAAGTCCCCAGTCTGCTCCTGGGAGGAGCAGCCTGCCTTGTTCATGGCAGTCATAGCCACAGGGGGATGTTTGAAAGACAGCCCCTTATACAGTGTCTATTGATTTTCTTCACCCTCTTGTTTTGCTCATCCATCCTGTTGTTCTAGGATGCTTATTTGTCATGCATAAAAGCCTTGTTACAGTGAACCCAAACAAGTCATTGACATTTAAAATTAAATTGCAACAGGTATTGTCAATAGCTAAACTGCTCATTGACAGTGCATTGCTAATTGCATTGAGAGAACATCCTAACTGGGTATATTCTGCCAAATCAAATCGGAAACATTGGCTGTCTACCAGCAAATTCATTTTGACTTGCACAGAGTTTGGGGATCCACAGATCCCTCACCAATCTCAAAATACTGTGTTTATGGAAACGCTAATTATTATTTTTTTTTTTGCTGAGGTTCTTTGCAGAGAAGGGGAATTCTGATCATCTTCACTGACTGCTAAGCCAGGAGTCAGAAACTGTGCCTTTGGAAGGGAGAGAACTACAGATTTGGGGTGGAGTAAAGTTCAATGCAAGGGGGTCATTTGGGGAGGTGGGCCATCAGGTTCTTTATCTGTAAATCTAAGCCATATCCTTGGATCCATTTTTTTTTTCCTTCTCTCCTTTTTCATCCCCTTCTCTCTCTTCTATAGGTACATGGGAGGGGGACAAGGGTGGAGACACTTAATTTTTATTAAGCACTGTTCGTGGTATTTTATGTGAATTAATTTGTTTACTTCCCACAATGACCCTGGGGAGCAGATATGCTATCAGGTAAAAAAACTAAGGCACAGAGAGGGTAAAACTCTTCGAAAGAGTCTTGTGGTTAGTCAGCTTCTGTGAGAGTGAGAGTGGGCTGCCCTGAGGCCATCTGTTCCCTCTCCCCAGCTGATATTTTTGTGCTCTCAGGGTAAACATTTAAGCCTGTGAGTTAAACTCAGCCTTGGACTAGCTGAGTTCCTCTGGAGGCCTTGCAAGTAGCAGTTTGGTTGGCAGGGCAATTAAGTATGCTAGGTGCACTGTGCTGAACCCCAGGAGGGAGGGAAGGAATGGAATCTAGTCTTTGCTTGCGTTATACATGCTTATTGGTTTGTGGCAGGCGTGATTGATGCCAGAATCAAAATGACTTAAAGCAGCTTCCCTTGAGAAGCACTACTCTAACGGTTTTTTTTCCTCTTTGTTGCCCTAGGTCCCTTGTGAATAGGATTTAGCTCTGATTCAGCTGCTGCTGTTCTTTTGGTAATCAGTGTGGAGGAAGGAGATGAGGGCTGCTATTAATGGCTTCTTATTTTGCATTCTCCTAATCAGATATCCTGCAGTTATTAGTGTGAATGCAAGATGTTCGGTGGTGTCCCTGGGTGGTTTTCTTAGGTGTACTGGACTGTTAGCTTTCTAAGATGGAATGTTTTATTAGGTTCTGGCCTAGGGGGTTGGTTAGATGGGTGGAGGTTGTTAAAAAGCACTAAAGAAAAGGAATAGGATATAAAACCAATCTTCAGGGGGTGGGAATAACAACCCACCACCTTCACTTCCCTCCCCTCCTGCCCTGAAAACCTTATCTTGCTAATACCCTTCAGATATTAAAAGTGAAATAACAGAGCTATTTACTAGGCAGCTAAATGCAAATTCTCTCCCCCATTAGTTTTAATTAGGATGAAATCATACATTTAAATAACCACTTCTATTACTAATAACTGAACTTCTGATTCACTCTGAACCCAGGCAAATGCCTCTTCTGGTATGAATGGCCCACCTCTGAGTCATTCCGCACCTGCATATTGACACAGCCAGGCTCCTGATGTGGGTACACACATCTGGGATTTAAGGGCATGACTGGCATGTTGAATCTTGGGTATAAAGCTTTCTGCACTATACCCTGGGGACAAACAGGATAGCTCAACTGGAGAATAAAGAGCTTGCAAGCTCAAAAGAAAACAACAACCAAAAATACCTCAACCAAATTCTGCTCTTGCTTCTATCCTACTGTTTCTTTAGGTGTTTAAAGGGCTGTAGTTTTAAAAATCTCCCACCCACCTCATCTTTTTAAGTAAATGTCACAACAGTACTATGTCAATACAGTTGAAAATAAGTATTTGAGTTGAAAGAATTGGCTCTTTGAGGCTTTAACTATCAGATTTGTGCTAATTCTTTACTGTTTCCTTGACATAGTATATGCAGTCTGTGCTAAGAGAGTATGGATGTTGTCGTCGGTGTATAGAATGGTGGCTGTTGTAAACTTCTGTATGTTGGGGAAGGATTGAACCTGCTGTCTGGAGAATTAGAAACCAGCAGCTTGACTTAAATCCCTCAGTGTCACAACCAGCTAATGAAGGAGAGGACTGCTAAACTCCCAGTGGTCTTTGTGGCTACGAGGACTTACTCAAGTTTGAGACTATCTTTAGTGGGCCAATGACGTAGGAACACAATCAGCAGAGGACATGTAGTTTACAGCAGCCTGTAATGTGCCAGAGACATGACTAGCTGCCTCTTTGGCCCTGGGGAAGTGTGTCTGGCCCTGCTTGCATCCTCTGTGAGTGGGAATTGTGCCAGACACCAGCTAGACATGACCAGCTGCTTCTTCGATGTTCTGTGGACATGATTGGCTGTAGCTTTTGATCAGGACAGTGTTCCTAATGAAGTGTGACCAGCGTCATTTAGACAGGAAAGAATGACAGCTGATGTGCAAGAATTTTTCTTGATTGGCAGCATTTGGAACTAGTAACCAGAGAAGGTAGGTGGGGGGAGGAGAAGCCAGCTCTGATTGACAAGAGCTTATCTTTATTTAATCTACTTCTGAGGCACTGAAGTTGAAATCTTAGGCAAGTGAAAGAAAGGAAGACACAATTGTGAAACATAATTAAAGATTCTTGACAAAAACATACTTAAATCAGAAATGTCTTTTTTTTTTCTTTTTTGAGATGGAGGTTTGCTCTTGTTGCCCAGGCTGGAGTGCAATGGTGTGATCTTGGCTCACTGCAACCTCCACCTCCCGGGTTCAAGGAATTCTCCTGCCTCAGCCTCCCAAGGAGCTGGGATTACAGGCGCCTGCCACCATGCCTGGCTAATTTTTTTGTATTTTTAATAGAGACGGACTTTCACCATGTTAGGCTGGTCTCAAACCCCTGACCTTAGGTAATCTGCCCGCCTCGGCCTCCCAAGGTGCTGGGATTATAGGCATGAGCCACTGCGCCCGGCCAGAAATGTCTTTCAATAGGAGAGCAATGCAGAGTTTAGGTGTGAGGTTATCACTGCTCCTTCGGCTATGAGAAAGAGCTTTTGCCCAGGGATTGTTAATTTTTAGGCAAAATTTAAAGTGGCGATGGGCTTGGATAGTTCTAGCAATAAAAAAAGTTCTGCTTCTAGTTACCATCTTGTTGACTTTCCAACCTACTTGGAAAGATTTCCTTTGGAGAGGCCAAAAACAAGTGCTGTGTATGGAGTGTGGCCTGTGGTGGTAATTTCTCATCAACTCTTGATCCACTGAGGATTTAAATCTTAAGTCTTCATGTGCTTTGAGAAAAGATGACAAGCGGAAATAGTATGTTTGTTTCCTAAGGACACACATGTGATTTCTGAGAGCTGATTGTATGCAATGTGGTGGTATTCTTTTGCAAATAGGCTTGGGAACTTGGCATCCTGGATTCGAATCTGGGCACCACCATTTTCCAGCTCATTCCTTCTTATTCAACTCCACCCCACCTCGAACCCCGATTTGGTTTTAAAGATTCACATACTATTGTTTTAGTAATTACCCTTGAAATAAAGTCACATATACTTTTAAGTCTAAAGTTAATCCAGGACAGGTGCGGTGGCTCACACCCATAATCCCAGTACTTTGGGAGGCCAAGTTGGGCGGATTGCTTGAGCCCAGGAGTTCGAGACCAGCCTGGGCAATGTGGCGAAACCCTGCCTCTACTAAAAATAAAAAAATTAGCTGGGTGTGGTGGCATGCACCTGTATTCCTAGCTACTTGGGAGGCTGAGGCAGGAGGATGGATTGAGCCTGGAAGGCAGAGGTTGCAGTGAGCCATGATGGCACCACTGTACTCCAGCCTGAGCAGCAGAGCAAAACCCTGTCTTAAAAAAAAAAAAAAATCCATAGCCTAACCACCTTGGATAATACAAGTGACTACCCTATATCTGATCATACTGCCACCCCAACCTAAATCCAGTATTTGTTTTGCCTTTTTTTTTTTTGAGACAGGGCCTCCCTCTGTCACTCAGGTTGAAGTTCAGTGGTGCGATATTGGCTCACTGCAGCCTCAACTTCACAGGCTTAAGTGATCCTCCCCACTTAGCCTCCTAAGTATTAGGCATGAAGCACCACGCTTGGCTAATTTAAAAAATTTCTATTTTTGTAGAGACAGGGTCTCCCTATGTTGCCCAGGCTGGTGTTGAATTCCTGGGCTAAAGTGATCCTTTCCACCTCAGCCTCTGAAAGTGCTGGGATTATAGGCATAAGCCACTGGTGCCCAGCCTATTTTACCTTTTTTTTTTTTTTTTTTTGAGGGGGGAGGGCAGATGGTCTTTTAGATTTACCTATGTATTTGACAATTTGTTTGTTCATATTTCTTTCTTGTGTCTCAGACCTTCCTTCAGGTTTGACTTTTCTTTAGAATTTCCTTGAGCGAGTGCCTATTGGTAGTAAATGCTCTTTTTTGTTTATCATAGATGTCTTTCTTTTGCCCTTCATCTCAAAAGGTAGTTAGCTGGATACACAGTTCTAGGGGGAAAGATTTTCTTCTCTTTGAGTCTTGTAGGTTTGTTGTGAAGATTACCTGGGTTCATATCTAAAGCCCTTAGCACTATGCTTGGCATGTTTGCTCTGTAAATAACAGTGGCTGTTACATTCTCAGAAAAATACTGGAACAGTTGGAGGCAATGCAGGCTTGGTTGGGATGTCCATACTTTGACTAACTTTTTACATTATTTTCTTAAAACTTTGATTTCATTGAGATTGGGGTGGGAGTACATTTAAGCATCAAAACTAACTTTGAAGATAGATTTGATTGAACTGTGAGTTCTATCACTCGCTAGTTGTATATACCTTTGGTAGATTATCTTACCTGTCCTAAGAATCAGTTTCTTCATCTATACAGTGATCATTGTAATACTTCCTATTTCTCTGAGTTGCTGGGAAGGTTGCATGAGAACACATTTAAAGCTCTTCTCCAAGCCTCACATAGTAGGTGGCTAGTTGTGGTAATTATTTGTTGCCTGTAAACCACTTTTATGACTTTTATGTAGAGATGTTACCAACTTGTCTTTTTTATTGTTGTTGTTCTAGCTATTCTGTTTTTATTTGCTCTTCCCCAGATCCACAGAAAAGATGGGGTATCTCCTGCACAATTAACTTTCTACTCTACTGATGGGGAAGGCCTTCTGCAGAGTTGGTGGCTCTTGCTTGGAGGCAACACTTTGATGCTTGTCTTTAGGTGGGAAAGTAGCTTTCCAGGCCCAGTACTTTGCTACTTGTAAGACTCTCACTTACCTGAAAATTGTTTGCTCTGGTTTTTCTTGTGACTTTGGGCAAGTTACCTAACCTCTCAGTGCCTCAGTTTCCTCATCTGTAATATGGGAATAATAATAGTTCCTTCCTCACAGGGTTGTTGTAAAGACTAGATGGGTTGACACACATGAAGACCTGAGAGCATGCATGACACAGAGGATGTGCTTAGTACTTTAGCGTTCATCAGTGTTGTCAGTAGCCAGGGCTTCCTTCTGTACCATATTGTTGACTTTCAGAATAAAAAATACATTGTTTGCTATGACTTTGTCCCAGGGCGTGTGTATTAAGCTTCCACATATAATTTATATCACTTATTCCTTAATAACATTGTCATGGGTTAGATGGGACATGTATTTTTTTCAACTTTATTTTTTACATACAATAAAGTGCATCGATTTTTAAGTGTACAGTTTTATGACTTTGAGCTACAGTCACCACTGCTATCAAGATATAGGATATTTCTGTCACCGTAAAAATTCCCTTATCTCTTTCCCAGTCAGTCTGTCATTCTTACATTTGGCCCCAGGCAACCACTGATCTGCTTCCTGTCATTATAGAGTTTTCTTATTTAGAGTTTTATATAAATGGAATTACATTTTACACACTCTCTTATGTCTGGCCTATTCACTCAGCATAATTATTTTAAATTTTATCTACCTACCTGCATAGTACCTATATTTTGAGATAGGATCTTGCTCTGTCACCCAAGCTGGAGTACAGTAGAACGATCATAGCTCACTATAACTTGGAACTCCTGGGCTCAAGCAACTTCTCCCATCTCAGCCTCCTGAGTAGCTGGGACTGTAGGCATGTGCCACCTTGCTAGGCTAATTAACATTTTTTTTTTTGGTAGAGACTGGGTGTAGCTGTGTTTCTCAGGCTGGTTTTGAACTCCTAGTGTTAATTGAGGCCTCAGCCTCTCAAAGTACTGGGATTATAGGCATGAACCACCACGCCTGGCCAGCGTAATTATTCTGAGGTTCATTCATGTTGGCATGTATCAGGAGGCTGGTCATTTTTCTTGCTCTGTGGTATTCCACTGTTGAATGTACTACAGTGTGTTTAGCCGTTCTGCTGGCGATGGCTTTTGGGTTGTTTCCAATTTGGGGCTGCTATAAGTGAGCTGCTATGAACATTTATGTACAAATCTTTGTGCAGCTATGTTTTCATCTATTTTGAGTAAATATCTAGGAGTAGAACTTCTGCATCTTAAGGAATATGTATTTTTAACCCCCTTTTACTGATCAGGAGGAACTTAGAGGGTTGGAACTGACCAAGGTCTCACAGCCAGAAAGGTGTCAAGCATGGACCAACATTTGATACTCCTTTTCTGTTTCCTCTTCAGGAGTCATTCTATTAGACCAGTGATTTCACACTTTTAGAGCACCAAGACTCTTTTTAAAATAAAATACTGTAGGTCCAGGTGTGATGGCTCATGCCTGTAATCTTAGCACTTTGGGAGGCTGAGGTAGGAGTATTGCTTGAGCTCAGGACTTGGATACCAGTCTGGACTACAAATCAAGACTCCCCACACTACAAAAAAAAAAAAAAAAATTAGCCGATGTGGTGGCATATGCCTGTAGTCCCTGTTATCTGGGGATGCTGAGGATCACTTGAGCCCAGGAGGTGAAGGCTGCAGTGAGCTATAATCACACCGCTGCACTCCAGCCTAGGTGACAGAGTGAGACCTTATCTCTAAAAAATAAAAGATAAAATATTGCTTAGAATTTCTATAAACAAGCTACACAAAAGCACTGTAAACAGGCTCCTTAGAAAGTTCAGTCACTTTTTTGCTGTTATCCTGTTGTGCACCCAAGTGCTTCTCAAGGAATGTCTTTTTTGCAAAGTGCTGCAGTCCATTTGGCTGCTTCTTGAGAGGAGAGTCGTGGACCCCCTGAGGCCTAGTTCTTAAACATCTCTTCTTAGTCCCCATTGCATTAGTTGTTTCAGAACAGGTCATTGAGCATTTCGCCTTTGCATTTTGGTGGTTCAGAGAGTAAGAAACTCTTTCTCCGGCTGACCAAAAAACCACCTCTCCCTACGCCTCGTGTATAGATTGGGCTGTACAACTGGTGAGAATAGTAACATCACCATCCCTGTTGCTATAAATCACTGCTGGTGATATAGCTCCTTGATCCAAAGGGTACTTCGGGGGATGTAGGGCCAGATAGGTACATTCAAACTCAGACTATTTACCTTTGTCACCTGGTAATATTTACAGATGGAGCAGATGCCAGTATGTTCCATTGCCCTATTCTGGAGTAGTGATTCTCATTTTATGTTATCAGAGCCTAGCTTATGAAATTTGAAATGCACTTTTGCCTCCTTTGCACTGTTACCACTGCATCAGAGCATTTTAATCAGCTTGCTTTCGTTGAAGTGTACAATTTTTCTTCTCATTACGTCTGCAAGCTCTCAAGTTTACAGACATGATCTCCTTGGCTAGACTAATATTACTTGGCCATTCTTGCATGCAAATTTAAAATTTAATATCTTGCTGCAGGTCTGTTGAGTTTTATGCAAATTCCAATATAGATTATATTTTGGAGCTGTAAATTAGAAATTACATTTGGGGGAAGTAATATTTGTGTGGGTTTAAAAAAAGTAATCTTGCAGTTTGTATGGTACATGGCATTTCTTCTGAAGAAACGGGATTTTGAGTATTCTGTGTGGGTTTAGTAGATGTCTTGCCAATTGTGTTACTGATAATGAAAATACAAAAACAATGCCAGTATGTACATTAAATTTTTTTCCTTAGGAGACAAAGTCTCACTCTTTTGCCCAGGCTGAAATGCAGGAGCACGATCATAGCTCACTGCAGCCTTGAGCTCCTGGGCTCAAGTGATCCTCCTGCCTCAACTTCTTGAGTGGCTGAAACTACAGGCGTGCCTCGCTAATTAAAAGAATTTTTTTTTTTTTAATTTAGAGACACGGTCTCCCTATGTTACCAAGGCTGATCTTGAAATCCTGGCCTCAAGCAATCCTCCTGCCCTAGCCTCCCAAAGTACTGGGATTATAGGGCATGAATCACTGTGCCTGGCCTACATCAACATTTTTTATGACATTTGGCTGCTTTTTCTAAGTTATTTGGGATTAACTGTGTTCTCTCATTTATTAATTCATTGAGTATATGGTTATGGATGCTTGATAGGCTCTCCTCTTGGCTTTGATGATACAGCAACAAACAAAACAGGCTCTGTGCTCATGAAACTTACCTTCTACTTGGGAGAAACAGACTTCAAGCAAATAAACACCAAGTAAATATTTGGTATCTCTGATGGTGATACATTCTGTGGAGGGAAATAATTCAGGGTGTAGGAATAAAGGTGTGCTGAGATGGAGGTGCTAGTCATCAGGAAAGACCTCTCTAAGGTTACCTTTATGCAAAGACTTGAAGAGGGAATGGAATGAGCTGCGCAACTCTTCTTAGGAGAACATTAGTCTGGGTGGAGACACTGCAAGGTACAAGTGTCCTAAGTGGGTGCTCTTGCCGTGTTTGAGGAGTAGCAAGGACGTCAGCCTGACTAGAGCAGAGAGGGAGGTAGAAATAGGGCAGAGGAGGGGTAGCAGATGATGGAGAGGTGTCACAGGTCATATAGGACCTTGTAGGTACTATAAGGACTTTGGCCTGTGCTCTGAATGAGGTGGGGCACTGTGGGCGAGGGCTGTATTAGGTAAGAAGACTCTGACCATTGTGTTGAGAATGGAGTTTGTGGGGGGAAACTCAGATCTTTGGATGATGGGCATGGGACACCATCATCAGCCATTGCAGGTGTGGACCTTGGATGCTGCCTGCCTAAGGCTGGTGACCAAAAAGAAGGTAGAGTTGGATACAAGAGCCTGGCATTGTTGGCATTTTTGTGTTTGAGTGTCGGAAAGATCGTGGCAGAAGCCTAAGTATCTGTGTTGCTTGGGCCTAGCATCTGTGTTTTCACAAATCCCCCAGGTGATTTGATGCCTCTTTAAAACACAGAATGTTGGGCCCTACCCAAAGGGTTTCTGATTCAGGAGGTTTAGGGCAGGGCCCAAGAATTTGCATTATTTACAAATGTCAAGGCGATGCCAGCCAGTGCTGCTGGTCAGGGACCACGCTTTGAGAACCACTGCTCTGGTGAATGGGTATTGCTGTGTTGTTATCTGCAAAGTTACCTTTGTGTACTTCTGCTTTACAAAATAGGATGTAGCTTGAACTCTGAGTCAAACTGCCATTTACTGTGGTATGACCTTGGATATGGCATATACAGTGATTCCTCACACATGGTGTTAATAAGTTCTTAGTAAATGCTGGCTATTTGAATATGGTATGTAGGTATAAAATGATGTGGTGGAGGTAAAATATGAATAATTTGCTGAATATAAGCTCTGGACTGTGGACATTATAAACAAGATCTTGTTTTGTTTTCAGCATGACATGAAAGGTTCATTAGCTTTGTTTTACACATAGGGAAGTGGCTTATTCATGATCACGCAACTAGAAGTAGCAACGGTAGATTTCAAATTCAGTTCTTTCTGGCTTCAAAGCCTGAGATTTGCCACCACCGCATGAGCTGCTTGGAGTACTGGATTGGCTCTCCCACAGTTTTTGTCATTGTGTGTGTGTATGTGTGTGTGTGTATATGTATGTGTGTGACAGACAGAGAGAAGGAGAGGGGTGTGTGTGTGTGTGTGTGTGTGTGTGTGTGTATGAGAGAGAGAGAGAAAGTGTGCCAGAAATTATTTGCGTACGTTTTAAAATCTCTGTTAGGCCATTTTTTAAATCTGTAAAATGGGCATGAAGCATGCAGAGTTCATAGGGTTTCTTTGCTGAGTAGAATATGGGATGGCTTAGCATTGTATTTTTTTTCCTTTTCTAATTAAAAAAATTTCAAAGCCAAATCGAATCTAGATAGAATAAATTTATGGATTTTTTCTTTAGGGTTCCTTATTAGAATGGATTCTTCCTAATATGAAACTTGAGTTATTGAATTTTGTGTGGAGAGGATGCTTCTCATTAGGGTCTCAGTTTGGGAAGAAGAGATTATGTTCCCTTTAAAAACAGCTTACTGTGTTTGCAATTTTAGATTTCTTATCTCAGGAAGTTCACATACTGTTAGGATAAAACTTTCCTAGATAAGGCATCTGTACAAAGGAATGAAGTATATGGGAAACTGCGTGTGTGGGGAGACCATATCTTTAATTTTTGAAAGGGCTAGGGTAGCCTGGTGGTTTGGAAAAATTAAAAGTATTGCATAAAAGTCAAATGTAATAGCAATTATTGTTAGTGTTGTAAACTTCCACTTATCCACAAATCAGATGGGTGGCAGTCTCTTTATCTTAAGTTCTGGTTATAAAATTGAAAAAGCCATTGATTAACAAATAGCTGTCACAAAGCTGGAACTTTCATAGTAACAGTTTCTGGTGAAGCTTCCCTTGATCCCTGACTCAATCAGCTAGGTAGAGATAAAAGAGAAATTTTGTATTCTGAAGATGTACAGACAATTATAAGGAACTCTGGTTGACTGCAGGGGGAAGAGACACAATAGCTATTAAAATAAAAGTATGACAGTTGGGCTAAACAGGCAGCCTCAAACATCCTAGGAGTCCCTGAGGGCAACACTGTATGTAGTGACTCAGGTTCTTAGAGGAAAGTGGGTCATCAACAAGAAGCATACAGGCTTGTTTTTGGTATCTTTATAAGAATAGAGGGAAATAATGAGTGTGTCAGAGAGCTCTTGTCAAGTTTAGTTTCAATAAAACAATTTGCTTAGGGGTAAGTTTATTTGGGAAAATAAATCACTGATAACAGCATAAATACTGTGTTCCTCAGTGATGAGATTAGATGAGTAGGGAGGTAGTGGGGTGAGGTAGAAGGAGCATGGACTTGGACACAGATACTTGATTAGAAGCAGAATCACCTTAGATATCTCTGCGCCCCAGCTTCTCTGTCTATAAATTGGGAATAATACCTGAAGAGGTCATTGTCAGGATTGAATGAGATGATGTAAGCAGTGCACCTTGCCCAGGGCTTAATAAATAGTGATGAGACTGGTAGATTTCTCTGTGAGGGGGCTTCAGGATATACCTCCCTTATACAGACTTCTATTCCTTTGAGTCCACCGCCCCCCACAACATCTTTATGAACTGTAATGTATCTCATACTGTACAAGTCACCCATTTAAAGTGTACACTTCAGTGGCTTTTAGATTTACAGAGTTGTGCAACCACTACCACAGTCAGTTTTAGAAAATGTTCATCTCCTCGAAAAGAAATCTGTACCCTTTAGTTATCATTACTTTATTCCCTCATCCTCTTCCTCATCAGATGTTGTAGGCACCACCTTTCTTCCCTTCCTTCCCTTATCTTCTTTTCAGCTGTGGACTGTGCTGATTTGCCTGTTGCTGGATCATGTGATTGAAATTCTTTGAATTTTTCTGTAAATAGCCAATTTAGCTTTTTCCCTTCCAGAGTATTTGTTTCTTTGGGTGTGGAAGCAGCTGCTGCAGCCAGTGCAAGGGCTCACCATTTTGCGCTTTGCGGCTGTTCATATGGCAACTTTATTCAAAACCGCTCCTGCACTGCTTAAGTTATTTGTTTTATACAAAAACAGTTCTCGCTGGCTTGCGGCTTCTCTGCTGCCATGTTGACAAATGTTGCTTCTAGTGAAATACACAAAAATAAATAACAGCAAGGGAGAGGGGAGCACAGAGCTAAGTGAATTCATTTTGCCTCTTGAGTGCCATTCTCATTTGTTTTAAAAACCACCCTGGCACAGACAGAAAAGGAGAAGGCAGAGAACCGCAGGAAAAGAAAAGGCCACATTTGATTCTTTGAATTGGGCTGTAGGGGCTGGCTGAACAGACAACTTGAGAAGTATCTGGAATGTAGGCCCTGGGGATGAGGAAAAGTTTACAAGGAATCTGAATAACCTGCAGATATTCATATTGCAACAGCCCCCATTTACATAGTCTTCAGAGTTCATTTGGTATGTTCTCTTGTTTTCTCGTTCTGTTGATGACGAGACTCAAATTTAAGCACTGCTGGTGTAGTAGTACATGACCATGGTTGGTTTCTGTCAGTGTGGTAGGTTGTGTATTAGGAACTGGAAAAAGGCAAAAGCGTAAGGGTGTGTGGGTTCTCAAGTTTCGATTTGAAGGTCTGACCCACATGAGAAGGTGGAGGGAATGCTGACAAATATTGATTGCCTTTCTGAGCCAAGTATTTCCACAAATACTATGTTATTAGTATTATTATTATATTAAGATATATTAGTATTATACTATTATATTAGTATATATTAGTATTATTAGTAGTATTATATTAGTATATTAGTATTATTATTTGTATATAACAAATACTATGTTAGTAGTAGTAGTAGTAGTAGTAGTAGTAGCAGTAGTAGTAGTAGTTTTCAGAGAGAGGGTCTCCCAGGCTGGAGTGCAGTGGTGAGATCATAACTCACTGTAGCCTCAAACTCTTGGGCTTAAGTGATCCTCCTCACTTAGCCTCCCAAGTAGCTAGACCCACAGGCATGAGCCACCATACTCAGCTAATTTTTAGATTTTTTGTAAAGATCTGGGCCTTACAAAGTGCTGGGTTTATAGGCATGAGCCACCAGGCCTGACTTCAGAAACATTGTTTCATTGGTTAGCATGACAAAGGTTGGTGGTCTTAGCTTCATTTCACAGACTAGGGAGGACAGAGTTTTGAGGAATTGTGGTACTTACTTGCCAAAGGTCTTACTGAAATTAGGGGAGTGGAATGAAATGGAAACCCCGTGCTTCCAGACCTAGAACTTGTTCCTTTTCTATATTAGTAGTAAGCCATCAGAGGTATGGAAGAAGAAAAGGAGAAGGGCATTGGAAAATAAGGAGGGATAACAGCAAGCAGTAGAGGCCAAAAACATTTTGTTTAGAAAAATTGTACATCTTCTTTGAAGGTTTTTGTTCATTAAAAATCACCAGGAAAACGAAAGTGACTTGCAAGTCCACAAGAAACTTTGTTTTGGGTGTGTGAGTTAAGAATGATCACCTGACCAATTATTATTGACTAGAAAAACATTTCCCTGAGCCTTTCATAAATTATCTTAATGTGCATATTGTTGAGGCAGTGTCTGATAAATAACAGCCTAATTGGCCACCCAGGGTCTGAGAGGTTTGCTTAGCCACAACTAGCCTTTCATTCTGGGTCTGGCAGATTGATTTCTTTCCATTTGTTGCATGATTTTCAATGCTATTTATGACCTAAATATTCTGTTCAAAATATTTTTTTTTTGGTCTATTGCTAATAGTAGATGCCTCTAGGGAGAAGAGGAGAGAAGCAAGAGTGAGGTGACAGGGACTTACTTTTCCTTATATTCTCCTTGGTACTTTTTGAATTTTGTTCCGTGTACTATTCCATATGATGGAAAGGAGGTAAGTGTATTTAGGCAGGTGGAAGGTAAGAAGGGTAGATGAAAGGATGAATTATTGACCTGAACTTCAGGCCTTTATTCATCAGTGGTTTAGCCTGTGGGATTGTTTCTCAGCATATAAACTTCTTCAGTTATGTAGACATATAATAGTTACTTGTTCGATTTATTGCATCTGCAAAGGTATGGCCAGGTGTCATCATGAGGAAGTATAGTAGTATAGTGTTTAGGCTTAAAAGATTCTGAAACCTAGACTTCCTGGGTTGTAATCCTTTCTCTACCACTTAGTGGCTGAACGTGACCTTGGATCTTACTTTATCTAGCATTTTTGTGTCTCGGATAGCTTGTAGTTAAAATAGTAGTTATAACAAAACTTGTGGAATTGGAAGGATTACATATATTACTTAATCCACATGAAGTTCTTATAATAGTGCCCAATACACAGTACTCACTAAAAGTTAAATTTTTTTTTGATGACTATTATCACAGATGGTGATTTGCCTCATCCATCTCTCTGTCCCTTAATGTGGTCCAAAATCCACCCCCCGCCCCACACCCGGCCTTAATGCCCAGACAGTGCCCCTGTACTGACTAAGGAGCCTTTCTTTTGAGTTCACTGGTCTGGCACTGGCTCCTAGAAGTGCTGTTTTCCAGTGACAGCAGGATATTTGGACCACTGGGAGAGTCAGTGGGCTGGGGTGGGCCCTTGCTCTCTGCAGAGGTGTTCTTTCTCCCAGTGGGAGGAAACACCACTTGTCAGAACACAGCTTTGGCTTGCCCAGGTTCCTGTTGTGCAGATGGGGCCTAGAGTCTCTCTGGGCCCCTTGTCATGGATCCAAGCCAAGGCTGTCGCTTGCTGAGCCAGGAATAATATAGGAATTAGTCTTTTTCTTCTTTATACTAAGCACTAATCAATCTACAGTTAACTCTGTATCTAATTTCTGAACCAGATGCCGTGAATAACTGCCCCTGAATGTGTTTTTGCCAATAAAAGGATAAGTTTAAGGCTTTTAATCAATGCCGCTTGCACTCAGTATTTAAGGTCAGAATCTTGTGTGCGACTTATTTTGATCAGGATAATTGTTGGGTTAAAAAATGAACGGTTTTTGAAATTGTGACACTCGCGGTTGACTCGTGGGTGAATTAATCTTTGAGAGGATGGAAAATTGTCGAGTTCATAAGAGTTCTCTTGCTCTCTAGTTGTCTTTCAGGTCACTTATGGAAAAATATGACTTTTAGGAGGAAGGCATTCTTTTTCAATGGGAAAGGAGATAAGAGACTAATAGAAATTTCTAAGGAGTCAGTGATGGAGGCTCAGGGGAAATTGGAAATGAAGCTGGGTGTTTTGGATCTGCGGTGAGCTGAGGGACTGGAACAGCAGCTGTGTATGTTCTAGGTAATATTAACTTGTTGTAATTTTATGTCTCCAGCATACCTTTTTCAAAGGAACTCATGTTTCCTGACCAACGACTGTGTACTGTCTAGAATGAAGCATAGTGTTTAGAAACATCTGGGGTTTAGATATTGGCTTCACTGAATGGCCTAGGGCAAGTCACTGAGCCTCTGTGCCCTCAGTTTTTATAATTATAAAATGGGATGGTAATAGCTACCTCGCAGTTGGAAAACTTAAATGTGATCATGTATGTGAGAATGTGAAGTGCAGTGCCTGGCACACAAGAGGTGCTGAAAGGAGCATCTCCTTTTACTTCTTTGTGGAGTTTGTTTGGCTGGTCTGCTGGTCTGTCATACATTTGTCTGGTGTGCCTCTAGATACACGTAATGTGGAAATTTCCCTACCTTGTAACAGTGAGTTGGAAATTGTTCCTGTTGATCTGTTTTTTTTTTTCTTTTGTGCTTAGGGAAAGGCATGAGAAAAATGAGTCAGGATGCCCTCCATTTCTGGAGAAGCTTGGTGGTAATTCTGTTCCCCAGTGGCTCACAAGCCTGGGCAGTTCAGAGAATATGAGAATTGGTAGATCATGGAGAACTAGGCTCTGCCCCTTTGGCTATGCGGGAGTTACTTAGTCTTCCTGAAGTTTCCTGTCCATGAAAAGGGGATGTGTGAGGGTGCAATATGGGTAATGTTTGTGAACAACCTTTGTTAGTGTCAGGAAAGTCCAAAACTATGTGGTGTGGTATTTTCATCATCTTGAGTTGACAACAGTGCTTATCCAAAAGTCAATTTTGGTATTTTGTCAAATGTTAAAGGCTCAGGAAATAACTTCCAACTCAAGGAAGATTTGTATCCACTCTGGAGCTGGAGGAGCTTATATTAAGAATGTAAGATACTTGGGCTCCCAGGATTTCTGGAAGAGCTGGCAGTCTCCCTGAGGTTCAGGTTCTCAGACCAGCAGGCCATGCATGGGGGCTTGTGATTAAGCTGGTGCCGAACATTGCTGAATTATATAGGTCTTTCTGTGCTACAGGTTGGTTTTCTGCTGTTCACATGTAGTCTAACAGTGGCCTGTTTTCCTTTGCCTCAACTGTGACATCCCCTCGAAGTGACCTTTATGAAGGCAGAGCTTGGATCTGCCTTGCTTCTTGCTGCCTACTGTGTGGTTTTGTGCAGAGTGCTCCTTTCCCTCCTCTGGTGTCTTCACAGGTGACTCAACTGGAAGAGGAGGTTAAAGAAGGTCGGGTTACCAAGCACCTCTCTTCATGCCTCAGCCAATCCAGGCCCCAACACTGTGTGGGAAGAGGTGTTCATCTGTTGAGAAGGGGTGGGGACAACATATGTTACATACAGAGGCTCCAAGGTGGTTTTGATGAGCATAGAGTATAGTGGGAGAAGGAGCAAAGGATGGTTTGGGAGGTAGGAAGTAAAAGTTTCAGCTAGAGCTGACTGTCAAAGGCCTTTTCTGTCTTTAGACTTTTACTCTGTAAGATACAGGGATTTGTATGTGAGGCTTTTGACTTTAACTCTGTTGGAATAGGGATTTGTTGCAGGCTGTTAAGTAGGGAGGATGGTATGAGAGATGCATTTTCAGGGGTTTCATTTGCTCATGGCATGGTAGAAGATGAAGGGTGGATGGTGAGTAGAGTAGAAATAGGAACACAGAAGACTGCTGCAGTATTTCAGATGGGGATTGTGTGGGGCCTATTTAGGTCATCTCCAGTGCAGGTGCCCAGGAGAAGTTACAGTAGATACTGTTGTACTTGTAAAGGAAAATGACATTCGAGTTCCTGTTTTGTGCCAGGAACTTTAAGTAATCTGCATATCTTAGCTCATCTCATTCTCAAAACAGCAACAAGCGGAAGGTGTTATTTCTCACCGTTTTTCAAATAAAGAAACTTAGGTTTAGAGCATAAGTAATTTGTTTGCCATCCCTGGACAGCTCCTAAATTGCAGGGTTGAGGTTAATACCTGATTACATCCAACTCCAAGTCCTTTCTGTTCGCATTACACCACACTGTGGCCCTCAGGACACAGCCTCATGTAGTGATTTTGCATTAGCAAATAACTTTGTAAGGACTAGTCTGTTAATAGTGATCTCTTTCAACATTCCCATGAGATGAGGGAGCACAATTAATTGTTCAGCTGAGGGATTAGAGATATAAGGAGGTTAAGTGACTTGACGAGGTCACCCATCAAGTGGTTTGGGGCGGACAGGCAGAGGTGAGTGAGGCTTGGAGCTGGCCATTTTGAGACAGTGGCCTTATCGAGAACAAGAATTTTCCAGCCTCATTTTATAAATCCAGGCTTCTAGTTCTATAGACTAGGGAAACTATCATGGAAATGGTATGCAAGGCAAGTGCCTGAGGCTGAGATGGCACAAAGCACCGTGGTATCTTGGGGTTACTTTATAATCAAACTCTCTCTTCTAGCATAGTCTTTAATTAAAACAACAATCATCTCCACCAAAAACTAATCATCTTTATTAAGCATACAGATTGGAGGAAGAGTGGGGAGTCTTGTGTCTGAGAAAGATCTCACCAATAAATTGTTTCCTTTGCCATAATAATTGTGTTGCTGAGTTTAATAATTAGAATTCTCACTCTACGCTTCCTTTTTCTGTTTGATTTTACGGGTCTGACATCGCTGTTGTTTTTCCTGGGAATACTTGAGGTGTCACAAAGAGCAACATTATGATGAGAGCCATGGGAAACACTTGCTAATTACAGTATATTGTGCCCCTGTTCCTTATCTATCAGTCTCTATTGGTTATTATTACTCATTTAATTTTTATTTTTGAGAGATGAATGCACAGGGCAGAATAGGTCCTGAGAATGAATCTAGAGCTTTGCCTTTGACTTGGATGGACACTTTGGGCATGTACGGGTCAAGAAATAGATGATTGGGTATCTTGTGGTAGGAGCTAGAGGAACTATTAATACATTTGGGAGTGGGGAGTGAAGGCCATGGACTGAAAAGATGCCGAACTACAAACCTGAATGATTTTATAGTTTGCTAATGGTTATCCCTGGATGCCATGCACCATCATGATTTAACTGAGCCTTGCAAACAGGGACGATACTTTTCCTAACCCCCTGCCATCTACTGCTTTCTCACCAGAGGTCACAGGGCAAAGACAAGTAACACTGGCATTGTGCATGTGTGACAGGTAACTGTAGGTAGTAAAGTGGCCACCTGTACCATTGCAACCCTGTGTAATAGTCTAGTGAAGTGATCTGCTTTCTGCAGTCAGGATGCCAAATACGGTGGAGAAGGAAGTGACAGTCATTTACAGTGTCATGTTTAGTCTTTTGCAGATGTGCTTACAGTTTTAACAAAGGCGGAGAAGAAATTATAGGGTGGGAAAGAAATGCCTACAGACAGGCTGCTAAAGCCTAAGAAGGAGGAAACTAGTATTTGTGTGTTTTAGGAATGCTAAGCCCTTGCTTACATATCAGCAAGCAAAATATTGGCATTCACTTCTGACTTGAGGAAGGCATCTCTGAAGTCAATAGAAGGAAATGCCTAAACACAGGCCTCACTCAGAAAGAAAGGAGAGCTGTGGAAATACTCAGGATTATCTCATAAAAGCTCTTTGTGTATTTGAAGCCTCTAATGAAATCAGCCTTGTTCTCCAGGCCAGACAACTCCAGTTGTTCTTACCTTTCTTTATTGTATCTTTTTTTTTTCATTTCTTTTATGCTTTTGTCATCTCTTGAAATTTCTTTTCTTTGAATAATACCAATAAAAATTGAACTTTTTGCCTGAATGCAGGGATGACTTGCTAGTAACTACCAGTTTTTATCAGAAAGCAGAGTGGGATGCTCAGTGATGTTGTTGATGGTGAGGATGTCCAAATCTTCTTTTTATATGCTAGCTCCATTGTCTGCTGCATTTACCTGTTTGTAGCGTTGGTGCGTGGAACATTGGGGCATATAAATGTTTATTGAATTAGTGAATGAAGATATACTGAATTTTTTCCTTAAAAAGTCAGTATTTGCTTTGGGTCAATAAAGAAACCCTTTATTTTGCTTTTTCTTCATAAACACCAAAATCCTAGGAAATATTGGTTTTACTTTGCCACAGCACTCTGCAGCTTGTACAGACTTTTCCAGAGATGAAAAATTCTTTCTCACTTCTGTATTAGTCCTTCGCTTTATCCTCTGATTCCTCCTTCCTTCCTTCCCTTTTCTGCCTTCCTCTCACCCATTCATGTATTCATTAATTCAGTAAATGCTTCTTCAACCTCTGCTATAAGCACTATTTTAAGTTCTAGGGATATTGTTATAAGCCAAATAATGTCTCTGCTTTCATGAAGCTTATATTTGGGTGGTGGGTCAAGGAACATGATTGATCAGAAGAAGTTAGATTTCCCTGTTGGGACAAGGCTTTCAGAGAAGTAAGTGGTTGTATAGGTAGTAGAGATAAAAGGATTGCTCCCTGTGAGGGACTTGCTGGCAGGATAGGCTGTGATTTCACTTTATTTTCTATTTACATAACAATCTGAATCCCAATATAGTGTTTAACCTGATATGTAAGATTCTGTTTGGGCAGGGTTTTGTCAGTTATCATTTATATCTCCTTTCTTGAAATTAGATCAGATTCCTTTGATTTATTTGGAGAGAAAAATGGGCAATACACAATGTGTTTCTGCTGAATATTTTGCTATGATGTTGACACAGTAATGTACACTTTATTTTGATTTTAGTGTGTTTTATTTAAACATTCCATTATTCAGAAATTGTTACCCCCTCCTTGTTATTACTGTTTGCCTGCAGTTATTTAGAAAGCAGTTTAATTAATGTTCTTTTACCGCCCCCTGCTTCAGTATGAGTTTCAACACTTTTAATACAAAGTGTTCATATCACTGTATGAACTTACTAAAACCCAGGACAGTGATATTCATTCATTCATTGCTTTATCCAGCAAATGTGCAATACAAAAAAAGATACATGCTTCCTCTCTACACATTTCAGTCTAATATGAACTGTTTGGTTGAAATACAGAAACATAACATGCAATTCTCTGGGATAAACGTTTCACTAAATAAACAGCAGTGAGAATTCTGAAGATACACTTAACTAGGTCAGCCTAGGCTTATCAGAGAAGGCTTCACAGCATAGGCGATCTTTGATCTGGTTCTTGAAGGGTAAGGATGTGTTTTCCCCCCAGGGACCAGTTGAGAAATAGCTAGAATTAATTAGTTCTGCTGTAATCATTGAGGTGCTGATCCTAGAGTGTGGCTTCCACTGCAGTACTGGATGTGGGGATGATGATCTCATTGCAAACACAGCCTGGGTGGGTGTTTTTGGTTTTGTTTTAAGGATTCTGAAGCAGCATATACACAAGGTTGACCTCAGGACCTCTTTAGTTGGTTGCTGCTGCTGTTCACAATAGATTTAGATTGGATAGGGCTTCAGTTTTCTTACTGTTGCATTCCAGCATTTTGGATCAGTCACTTTATTACATCATTTACTTTCTGGCTTAGGCTTAGTTGTTATTAAGTGAATCAGGGATAAACCTTAGGCTACTCTCCTGCTTCCTTTTTCAAATGATCCGGAGTAAATAAAACAACTACATCTCTTTCGTCACTGTGTTTCGTTCCCATCTCAGAACGGGTAAAATGGCCAATATTTTCAGTGAAAATGTATTGAAATGCATTTCACTGAAAGAAATGTTCACATTCAGTGAAATGTATCTAAACTCTAAAAAGAGTCTAGAAAAGCTCATTGACACATTTGTTACTTGCTGAAAGCCCCAGTGAATTTTCCAACCTCCGTATTGTCCTTAAAAATTGCCTTTTAGTTCTTAAGGTGGTGGAGGTGTGTTTTTTTCTTCCCCCTTAAACCCTCTTCTGAGCAATCTTTGCAGAGACACCTGGTGAGAGAGTAGGCCCTTCTGCTTTGTGTGCCCTCTAGTAAGAGATGATCATCAGCAGCTTTATATCCTAATGTAGAAAATGTGCTGTGCTAGATCATTTCAACCCAGCAACTCACCTCTTCATGCCTAATGCCTGGAGCTAGGGCCTTGTTTCTCTCTACATTAGACAAAAAATAAATAAATAAATGTGGGTGAGGATAATAATAATTATGATGGCAGGAACACTTATTGAGTAAGCAAGTGTTTGCTTATTTAATCTACCTGACAACCCTACCAGATGTAGGTACTGTTATTTTCTCCATTTGGTGGATAAGAAAACTGAGTCACAGAGAGACTCGGTAATTTGCCCAAGGTCAGACAGCTGTCTGCCCGGGGAACCTATACACTTAATTGCTCTGCTGTACTGTGGTTGAGTATCTCTTATCCGAATTGCTTGGGACCAGAAGTGGTTCAGGTTTTTGATTTTTTTTTTCCGAGTTTGAAACATCTGTATCTACATAATGGGATATCTTGGTGGTGGGACTTAAGTCTAAACACAAAATTCATTTATGCCTCATACACGTAGCTGGAAGGTAATTTTATAAAATACCTTTAATGATTTTGTGTGTGAAACAAAGTTTTGACTGTGTTTTGACTGCAGCTGCTCATGTGAGTCCAGTGTAGAATTTTTCACTTGTGGTATCATAAAAGTTTCAGATTTTGGAGCATTTCAGACTTCAGATTTTCGGATTAGGGTTGTGCAACCTGTACTTCATGAGCCAATTGAGAAAAATGCCTTCATAATTTCTTTCTAGGGCCTCAAACGCCTGGACGTCACCCCTGACTATTGCATGTTGTGCATTGGACAGTTAGATCTCCTCAGTGCCTGTGAACAAGTGTTCTTTTGAGTGATACTCTTCTTTTTGTGACTGTATTATATAATATAGCTTTCATAGCCCCCACTTTATTTGCTGTTATTTTATTCCCCTCTCATCCCCGCCCCCCCCCCCCCCCCCCCATATAAAGGACTCATTTCAAAGATGGGCGAACCTGGAAGCTGAACCTGACTCTACTCTTCATGTCTTCAATTTACTGGCCATAAAGGTTCAGTTTTGTATGGGATCTTCTGTCCTCTAGAAGATCCCGTACAAATAGAGGCTTTAATTTATGCTTGCATTCTTGCATTTTGTGTGATTTATTGCCTAATAAATGAAAGAAAAAAGTTTATTTAGATAGTAAACTGAAAATGAAAAACCATTTTTTTCCACGAACTTGCTAATTTTCTTCCATTGTATAGTATGAACTCAATCTACAAAGATCTGGCAAAAAAAACAAGTATCATGTTCTGTAACAAACTCAGTTACACTAACACCAGAACTTACTGAGTTTAATTGGAGATAATTAAAAAAAAAAAGTTCTTTTTTTCTTTTTTTTTTTTTTTTTAAATAGAGATAGGGTTTTCCATGTTGACCTGGCCGATCTCAAACTCCTGGCCTCAAGCGATCCTCCCATCTCAGCCTCCCAATGTGCTAGGATTGCAGGTGTGAGTCATCGCACCTGGCCTCTTAATGTAGATGATTTTTTAAAATGAAGATTTTTTTCATAGTAAGAAAAGGGAAACCATAATTCCAGACCACAGAGAAGGACTTCTTTAATATATTTAACCTCTTTATTTACAGATCACTTCTTTCTAGAGAGACTAAAATTAGGGCAGAGAAACCTAAATCCTACATACAAAGAGCTGCTGCCCATTCAAAATAATTACAAGTGTGTCGGGCGCGGTGGCTCACGCCTGTAATCCTAGCACTTTGGGAGGCCAAGGCAGTGGATCATGAGGTCAGGAGTTTGAGACCAGCCTGACCAACATGGTGAAACCCCGTCTCTACTAAAAATACAAAAATTAGCTGGGCGTGGTGGCACAAGTCTGTAATCCCAGCTACTCAGGAGGCTGAGGCAGGAGAATGCTTGAACTTGGGAGGTGGAGGTTGCAGTGAGCCGAGATCGTGCCACTGCACTCCAGCCTGGGCAAGAGAGCAAGACTCCGTCTCAAAAAATAATAATAATAATTATAAGTGACAGTAAAGCATCTCCCCACATAATCCTGTATATCAGTAAGAAAATATGTTTTGAGATTCACAAAACTCAATTTACGAATCTCTGGTTGTAGTTATTTGACTTAATATATAAGACACTTACCAGAGGAGATGGTTGCAAACAGATTTGATGACAGGTAAATTTTTCTAAAGGTCTGCTAACTTCTTATTCAGTCATGGCCAACCACTGATACAATGCTGAGAGTTGCTTTCTCCTTTCCCCTCTACTAGCTTGGGGTCCACAGACCAAAAAAATCTATAACTTGCAAGGCTAATAAATGCATGCTTCAGCTGCCTGGAAATGCTGTTGGACTGGCAATTTGCTGCCCCGCTCTAATAGAGACTGCCTCAGATCTGGTCTTTAACCTGGATTAGCTGGATAAAGAGAATCCTCTGGGATCCTGTGTGCCATCACCTGTTAGTGTGTTTGCTGTATAAATGTAACATCCACTAACTTTGTCAGATGATGTCTGGCCTGGCTGCTGTGGCTGTGATTGGAATTGAAACATACAGCTTGTTATTAAGGTAGTGACTGGCTGTGGGGGACACCGACGTCTGTTGTTTTTCATTGTTGATCTAGTGAGTTAGAATGCCTTTCCTGGGCTGTTAATGTTAAATAGTTCAGTCCTGTTAGTCGTTTTGTGAGATCATCTTTCTGTGTGATTTGTGTGTATTTCCTTGATCTAGTGGGGTGCAGGGTCAGGGACTGAGGGGAAGGTATAATTGTTTACAGAAAATGTGACAGGACATGGATTTGAAATCAGATAGGAAGTTAAGGAATGCCGGGCTCCTCTGAATATTAAGGAAAATCTTTAAGCCCCTAATTAACTTCAGAAAATCCCCTTGCTCTCACAGATGGGAATTTGGCTGGGTAAGCTAATAACTGGAATGAAGGCTAGGAGTTGTGGGTTAAGTTTCTCCCTGGCAAATACCAATATTTCAGGATTACTTCGACTCTTGTCCTGCTGCCTCCCACTGGATCTTTACAAACTCTGTGCAGTAGAGATTATCTTGATAAAGATTTTGGATGCATGTTGGGCCTTTATTGAATGATGAATGCTGTTTTTTATTCATTTGCACATTTATTGGGTACCTACTATATGTCAGCCTCTGTTCTTGGTCTTGTATGGTGGTATACAAGAGAAACAAAATTCTTAGCCTTATGGAATTTATATCCTAGTGGACTATAAATTACAATGTTCACTATTTGAGAGGACCCAAGCTTCAGATGTTGTGGCTGTTTGGCACACTGGTCCGGGTTGAAAGAAGAGACTGGGATTCAAGTTGTAGTTCCTGTCCTGATTTCTCTGGGCCTGAGTTTAACTACCGGTAACATAATGACATTGGGCTGTATCTAATTATTTATAGGGTTCTTTCCAGTTCTTTCACTTATGATCCTGATTTTCCCAAACATTTTAGCCAAGTTGTCTTTTTTTTTTTTTTTTTTTTTTTTTTTTTTTGAGATGGGGTATCACCCAGTCACCCAGGTTGGAGTGCAATGGCACTATCTCGGTTCACTGCAGCCTCTGCCTCCCTGGCTCCAGTGATCCTTCCACCTCAGCCTCCCAGGTAGCTGGGACCACAGGTATGTGCCACCACGCCTGGCTAATTTTTTTGTGTTTTTGATAGAGATGGGGTTTTGCCATGTTGCCCAAGCTGGTCTCAAACTTCTAAGCTCAAGCCATCTGCCCGCTTCGGCCTCCCAAAGTGCTGGGATTTCAGGTGCGAGCCATTATGCCTAAACAGCCCAGTTGTCTTTAATCTAGTTGGGCTTCTGGCTAATTCGTGTTGGTGACCAATGTTTGCATATTAAATCAAACAATCAGTTATTGTACTGGAGAAGAAAATAATTGTTTCTAAAAAGTTCATATTTCGACTACATGGTCATGCCATTTAAAAAAAAGTAGTAAAGCAACAATAAGGAAATACTCTTTTATTCTGGAATGACATACCTACCTGAAATCTTTGAGTTTCCCTTGTGTCATGTGAGCTGGTTGATTACAGGTGAGGAGAATTGCATGTTCTTACATGCTCCTCAGAAACACTCATCACTGTGTAAAAAATGCTTTTTTGTTTGTGTGAAATCATAATATAGAGCCCATTCCACCATACACCTTCATCATCAAGCTCGGGGATACAAGCCTGTTAATCAAGTGGGAATACAGGAAGTGAGACATGAAACACTGGTTTTATTTTCACACCTCTAAATGAGTGACTGCAGAGGATGAACTTAAAAATAATAATGCCACCTCATACTTGCATCACACCTTTTAATAAGGCGGTTTAAAAATATTTAGGGTGAACCTTCATCAGGATGCTTTAATTGCCTCAGCATAGTTGAATAGTACATTAGGGTAATGCCTCTGCTGTGCTGAAAAGCCTGGAGGGAGATACTGTCACTCAATGATGCGTTGAGGATGATTAGGTAGAACCCCTTCAGATCTTGGGATCTCAGTTTCCTCTCAAATGCATGCTGTGGGTAGAGAAGCCTGGGCTGGTGTGTGTATAATTTACATCTGTTATAAGTGACTAAACTTGTAAGAACGGGTACACAAGGCATCTTTAGTAAGAAGTAATAATATCTGCCTTAGTAATAATATCTTCTCATTCTTGTAGGTCCATTTGAAATGGCTCCATCTCTAGTACATCTTTCCTGACTACTCCCACCTGGCCATCATATCATCTTTCTCCATTAGATTTCAGGCAGACTAGACCGAGACTGTGGGTTTTTATCCTGTTAGCCACTTAGAGGCTGTTTGATCTTGGGAAGATTACTTGCTTTTCTGTACAAAGTATCTTTATTTCTGCATCTGTAAAGTGAAGATAAGAATCCCTACTTCATAGGGTGTTAGTGATATGAGTTAGTAAACATGATGCCCTTAGAACAGTGCTTGGCATGTGCTGCTGTGGTTTTGTCATCATTATTACTCCACTTCTTCCTTGGTACATAGCTCATGTTCTCCTTAACTATACGGATGTATTTAGCGATCTGCCTTAAATTGTGATGTGTTCCTTCTGGTCTGAGAGCCCTTGTCACACATAACATGATAACTTTGACTTGGTAGGTACCTAGTGAGCATCTTGGATTGAGCTCCTACAGGATTTAGTTAAGAATTCAAAGCAGGGTGTATTCTCATTCTGACTTTTAAAGCCTTTGAGGTCAGTTGGGGGCAGGTCTTATTTGTTTCTTAACTGGTGAAGCTGCCATACCAAGGCCACTTGCCCATGATCGTCTACTGGGTAGCCTGATAAGAAGGTCAGTTACTCAAGGCTGTGGACTCGATTCCATTCTTGCTGATATTACTAGCGTAAATGAGATGCTTTTGGATAATTCTCTGAGCAATTTAGGCCAGGTGAATACTGGACAGTAATTTCCTGAAGTGCCATGAAGTGGCAGGAACATGATTTATGTAACATGGGCTCTTGCTAGCTGGGATGAACACTGGAGCCCCTGCCGTGCTCTGGAATTATGAGTGCCTGCCAGAGTGCCTGCCTGCTTTTGTTCTAGAGAGTTTTTTTTTTTTTCTTTTTCCTTTAAGTTAAATTCTCAAGTTGCGGGCAGGGGCGCAGGTCTCTATGGTGATGAATGGAGAGATGTTGAACTGGCTGGTTGCAAACCTTACCCTAGCAGTTCTTAGAGACAACTGGGATAAGGACATTTTAGCTGGTTGACACTTGGGTTGAAAGTACTGATGTAAAAAAAAAAAGTGATGTGTGTATGGGGAGGGACATATACAAAGAAGTAGTACCTTGGCATTCTAGCCAGATAAAGGAGATCTGTGTTTTTTAAGGTAGGAGCTTTGAGAAAAATGCAAAACTTGTATATTTCAGCATGCAGAAAATTGCACTTCACTATCAGGCAAACCTCATTCATATTAGCAAGAGAAGTATATGAGAAGCATGTGGTTGTGGGATGCCATTATCAGGAAGTTGCTGTGTTCTTGACCTTGGGCTCTGGAAGAACAATTAGCCCCTTGCATGCAAACTTGCTCAGTAAAGAAAAAGTTTTGGCCCTAAGGCCTGTGGAACCAGGCTTAGGATGGATGATGGGTTTATTGTCCTTCACAGCCAAAACACAACAGTCTTTCTCCCTTTCTTTCCAGGCTACCCACGTGAGTACGTTGATAATATTTCTGAGAGTTTTAAAGAATTTTCCAGCAGAATGAGAGAAGATAGAAGGACCATCTTGATAATTTAAGGACATGCTCTTATCTCTTGATCTGCTGCATTTTGTTTTTGCTTCTGTTTAGGCCAGTGTTGGTAGTTATATTGTCTTCTCTCCACTGGGCGGATTACATGTAGCAATCCAAAATTGTCAACATAATTATTCCACTTCTTCTTTGGCACATAGCTCATGTTCTACTTAACTGTACTAAATTGTGATGGGTTCCTTCTGGTCAAGAGCCCTTATCACACCTAACAGGACACATTGGACATGGTAGGTACCTAGTGAGCATCTTGGATTGAGTTCCTCCAGAATGTTGTTAAGAATTCAAAGCGGGTGTATTCTCATTCTGACTTTTAAAGCCTTTGAGGTCAGATGGGGGCAGGTCTCATTTGTTTTGGATTACATGTATGCAATCCAAAAGAGTTAGGTTTTTTAAAAAAATTAATTACCCCCACCCCTTTTGTTAAAGAGTCAGGGTCTCACTGTGTTGCCCAGGTTGGTCTTAAACTCCTGGCCTCAAGTGGTCCTCCTGCCTTGACCTCCCAAAATGTTGGGATCACAGGCGTGAGCCACTGCGTTCAGTCTAATTTTTATTTAAAATTTAAAATTTAAAATTTGTGGTATAGTCCGGGCACGGTGGCTCATGCCTGTAATCCTAGCATTTTGGGAGTCCGAAGCGGGAGGATTGCTTGAGCTCAGGAGTTTGAGACCAGCCTGGGCAACATGGCAAAACCCCATGTCTACAAAAAATACAAAGAAAAAAAATTATCTGGGCATGGTGGCACGTGCCTGTAGTCCCAGGTACTTTCGGGGCTGAGGCAGGAGGATCGCTTGAGCCCAGGAGGACAAGGCTGCAGTGAGGTGAGATCATGCCACTGCATTCCAGCCTGGCTGGCAAAGTGAGACCCTGTCTCAAAAAAAGAATTAAAATTTGTGGTACAATATAAATAACATAAAATTTACCATGTACAGTTCAACAGTGTTAACTATATTTACATCATTGTGCAACCAATCTCCAGAACTCTCCGTCTTGCAAAACTGAAACTGTCTACCATTAAATAACAACCGCCCATTCTCTGTTCTTCTTAGCTTCCTGGAAACCACCATTCTGGTTTTTATCTCTATGAATTTGATTACTCTAAGTATCTCATATAACTGGAATCATATAGTGTTTGTCTTTTTGTGACTAGTTTATTTTACTTAACATACCCTCAAGGTTCATTCATGTTGTAGTATGTATGTATCAGTATGTTCTTCCTTTTTAAGGCTAATATTCCATTGTATGTGTATACCACATTTTGCTTATTCATTCATTCCTCAGTCTACATTTGGGTTGCTTCCACTCTTGGCTGTTACAAATAATGCTGCCATAAACATGGGTGTGCAAATATGTTCTTGAGAACCCCCTTTAAATTATTTTGAATATATACCCAAAGTGGAATTACTGGATCATATGGTAATTCTATTTTTATTTTTTTGAGAAACTACCGTACTGTTTTCCATAAGCAGCTAGATTTTTAAGAAGTACATTTAAATTCATCGTTTTGGGCCTTGGTCTCCACGCTGCCTTGAGTTGTCCCTAGGTAAGTGAAGTTCTCAGTCAGTCACCTGCTCTGGCATACCTCTGAGCTTTGACACACCTCAGCCACTTTCCATGGCTCACTTTGGCCCTTTGTAGGTTGGTGCCTCTCATTAGATTCAACGAACAATTTCTCAGGATCTGGGCCTAACCAGTGGTGTTGAATCTTAGAAAGACTGAGCTGAAATGCTCATCAGCTGGTGCCATGCTTCTCACTTTAGGTTATACCTCCAGTTGTGTTTGGATAAGAGTTGGAGTGGCATGACAGTCTCCCACAGAATCTGAAAATATAGTTCCAGATGTGCTTCTCCCAAACTTCTTCTCTGCCATTGGGGTTGCACCACTGGAAAAGTGTGTGAAGCAATACTTCACTCTGACACCCTGCTACTATATGCTTGAGGAAGAACTGAAGACTGTATCATGGAATGAGCTGCCCATAGGTCGCGCATGTGCGCACGTTTGTACGTGTGTGTGTTGAGATGGGAGAGGGAATCTAGGGATCCTTCTATACTCCATTGATTATGCTAACATGGATCTTATTTAATATTACAAGGACATTTCTTTGTCATCGTCTTTTTTTTTTTTTGAGACAGAGTCTTGCTCTGTCACCCAGGCTGGAGTGCAGTGGCGTGATCATGGCTCACTGCAGCCTCGACCTGCTAGGCTCAAGTGATCCTCCCACCTCAGCCTCTCAAGTAGGGACTATAGGCACACACAACCATGCCTGGCTAATTTTTCTATTTTTTGTAGGGACAAGGTTTCACCATGTTGCCCAGGCTGGACTCAAACTACTGAGCTCAAGTGATCCACCTGCCTTGGCCCCATCAAAGTGCTAAGATTATAGAGACGTGAGCCACCAGCCTAAAAAGACATTTCTAATTAGAAAGTGTAGTGTGAACTTTTGCCGTAGTTGGACTTCTCTCCATGTGGGCCCTTAAACACTGATATCTCAGTCATATGAAGCTATCAAGGACCAAAATAAGGGGGCATTTGCCTTTTCTGTCAGTGCAGAACCAATAGGGGCCAGGCCAGGTATGACCAACCCATTGTATGTGCAGTGGCTTGCTCCATCTTTCTGTCTCTGGTTTATGTATGTGATCATTTGCGGATTCCAGCAGGTACATCCTCTCCAATACCTTACCTGGTAAGCTGTCTAGTAAGGTTTATATTTCAGACCATTGGGGGATCCCCCTCTTCATGGCACACACTGTGCCTGTTGCCTAATATTCCTTTATTGTCTGCAGCATCCAGGACCAATTTAAATGTCACTTTGTGAAACTTCCTCAGACCCTCCTCTAGAGCAAGTTAGTCACTGCCTCTTCTGTGCCTTGCTTTGAGGTTATTGTCATCACTGAACCTGACCCAGTGTATTGTAATTACTTCAGACGGTCTCTCCCACCAGAGTTTATCCTCCTCTGTGCAAGTGCTATTTTTTAGTCCTATCTGTCTACCTTAGAACCTTCTGCAGTATTTGGTGTATTGTTCTGTCTGTGGCAATTGTCTGGTAAATGTTTTATCAGACAAGTCTCTGATGCAATGGGATGGAGTGGAATTAATAGTTTTAATCATGACCATGGCCCGAAATAGCCGTTTGACAACATCCAAGCCACTCACTCTCTCAGACTCTCACGCTGGGTTGTGTAAATTGAATTCTTTCAAATGAGCATAAGTTAAAAAATACTTAGCACTTACCATGTGCTAGGTACTTTGTAATTAAGCATTTTACTTACATAAACTCATTTAATTTTACAATAACCTAGTGGAGTACATTTCAGTTTCATAGATAGTGAAAAAGACACACAGAACGGAGGTTACCTGCTCAGTTCAAACCCTGGAGTGTAGCCTGTGAGTGTATATTTCTTTTTGCATGTGGTTAATAAATTAATGTTGTATTTACAGCTTTGCAGAGCTGGGATGCCCTTAACACATGCAGCTCTGGACCTATATAAGCTGTCAGGTGTAGAAGAGTGAGCAGGAAAACCTTGTGGGGGTAACTGATTCCTTGTACAAAAGAACCAGATTTCAGTTAGTGATGAAAATGGAGGAAGTGAAGAATCCAAGTCGAATGATAGAAAAGGTTATGTGTCGTTGGGCAAGGGTTCAAAAGACCTAGTTGTCTTGATTAGAGAGGAGGGGAGCTGAGGGAAAATGAGTCACAGAGGAGGAAATAATGAAGATGAAGTGGCCAGAGAAGACGGGCTCCTGCAAGGAGGGGCCTGGGTTTTAGATAGCCTCCAAGAAGGACAGGAAGTGTGGCCTGATGGGATTAGCTAGTCTCAAGACACCAGGTAGAATGCAGGCCATCTTTGTAGACTGGGCCTTGGGGTGTCCAAACCATGAAATGCATGGCAGAGTGTGGACACACTTGTTTGTTTATACTCTTTCTCCCATCCTGTACAATGAGGCAGAACATGAAGGAAAAATTAACAAACACCCCAAGTCTCCTGACACAGGGATCAAAACATATTGATGATGTCTTGCAAATCTGATAATTTCATTGAACCATGTGAAGCTTAAAATTGATACATAGGCATACCCTTAACATTAAGTGCTGCTGTCAGTCTGACATAGCTGGATAAACCAATGTTGAATAATCTATTAAATATGTCAGACTTGAACAAAGAACGTAAATCATATTATATTATTTCAGCTGTAATTAGGTGGGAGATAAAATCACAAATAGATGAGTTTAGTGAATATTTCTTAGTGTGTACACAGTGTCACTGGAATTTCTTTCCTTGCTCTATGGGAAGAAAGAAATTGACTGCCTTCCAAGTATTGACTGCTGTCCAGGAAGTGGGAGGTTGAAGGGTGACTTATGTAATGTTCACAGAGTGGGTTTCATTTATAAATTCAATGAGATTAGCTACAATCTTCCTGAAGTTAATGGTGATGGAAATGCACCATTCTGCATTTAGCTGGAAATAGCTAGCTATCCAACTTGGAGACTTAATTGTTCCTCAGATTATGATATGTTTGCATTTATATCTCCCTCCCCTCCTTTCCTGGGAGCTGGCTGCTGCCTTTATTGTCTAGAAATTAATAATGCAGACCAGAGCTTGTGGGTGAACAGGGCGATGTATTGCCAGTCTTTTGATGTTCCTGTTTCCCAACCCACGGAGTAAACTTGATTATTGAGAATAAACAAGGGACATAAACTAAGGTGGAAAAGATAAAGAAATTGCATTAGGAGGGTCCAGTGAACTGAGCTGTAGCTAAGAAATGGAGATAATTCTAGTCATTACTTCACGGGGTTGTTGTGAAGGGTGAAATATATGTTAAACCTTCAGAACAGTGCCTGCCATGTAGCAAGTGTTTCAGTATATATCAGGTTGCTTTCATTGTTATAAGAAAACTAATTGGCATTTGTGGTGGATGGTCAGGGTGGTGTGAATGTGAAATTCAAGAGCATAAACATGGTTGTTTCCTCCCAGATGGTTGGTATAGTGAAACAGACAGTTAAGGGTAAGGAAGTGTAGGCCCTCATTGGGGCTACACATCACAGCATGCTATTAATATAAGCAGTGTATACTGGTCATCTTTTATTGAGAGGCTATGGCTTTTTTGTGTGTGTGCTGGTGGTTTTTAAAATATTAGTTTGATTCATTTCAGGTGATTTTGTTAATCTAGCAAAACATCTTCTTGCACTTTTTACATTATAAATGAGGACCATAGAACTTTGTGTGGACATTGCAGTCATTCAGCAGACATTTAGCAAATGCGTATAATGTGTGTGAATATTTTTTTGTATGAAAGGTTTTCGACACCTGAGACTCACTACCCTCAGCCCTGAGTTCACATGATGGGTCGGTGGATTTCCAGAGAGGCAGGTGGAGGCGCCGCAGTGGGAGCATCCTGGCTACCTGAGATGTGTTTTGAGGTGCCAGCCTCTTGGCTCCAGCTGGAGCCAATTGGCCTGTTGGGCATGAGCTACATGGCATGTAGAGTGAGCTACATGACATGTAGAGTGAGCTACATGGAGTTAGAGGTGGTTATCCTACTTCTTCTACATCACAACTTTGCAGAGCGCTTCATATAAGACTTTTGTAAATTTCGGAGATAGTGTGCTTTATATAGCAAGGATTTCCAGGGACCTACTAGAGGACAACAGAAGGCTGACATTTCCCCCTCCAGGCCAGTAGCTTGTCTTTCATTACTTTGCATAATAACTACTTCCGCTTGCTTTTTTTCCCCCCTCACCTCAGCTGCACTTAGGAGGACTTAATGACATCATTTAACGTTAAGGATAAATATAAAACCGATCTGTTCATGAACACCAGTAAATTGCACTTAAAAAAAAATGGTTTCACATAAGGCAGAACAGGTTGCTACTTAAAAGAGTTAATGGCCAGTTGGTTTTAGAGTAGATCACAAAAAGAAATGTGACTTCACCCGCCAACTCCTTAGTTAAAGAAACTGTGTGTTTGCAGTGTTGGAGAACCATGGAGGAGGATTCAGAACTTTAGGCAGGAAGAACTGTGAATGAGTAGCCCTGTTATTCCCCTGGCCACTGTGCACTCATGGCTTCTGCACATTACTGTGTAAACTCCTTTCTCACCACCTAAAACCTACCAAAGCACCCAGCGATCTTCCTGTATGTGAACTCACAGGTTTTTCTTGGATAATTTGCCTTTCCATTGACCTACTTTCAAGAGCAATTTTCCCTATAGCTTTAGCAGGTAACTAAAAAGGGGAGTGGTGAGAAAGTAAATTTGGAGTTCCAAAGGGAAATTACTTGGCTTTGAGCTACTTAGTCAAAAACATGTATTGCATGCAGGTAGGTCCCAGGCACAGTGTTGAACACGGGGGTACAGAAGTGAATAAACATTGCTTCTGCTGTCAAGGAGTTCACAGTCTAGTGTGGAAGATCTGTGTGCAAGTAGATGGTTTCAGTGCAGCGTGGAAACCTGCAGCAGTAGAAGTGACAAAAGGTATGTTGGTAGCACGGAAGATGCAGTGCTAGTTCCGTGTGGCAAAGGGTGAAGGTGTCTTAGAGGACTCCTTGGTCAAGAAGAGTTTGGAGGACAACAGGGAGTTTGCCTAGTAGACAATAAGGCAGATTACTGGGGCAGAGGAACAGTGGTCTCTTGGGGAGATTAGGAGCTGGGAATCAAATTTCAAGATCAGGTTTTTTTATTTCGGTTCAGTCTCATACCTGCTGCCTGTCATGTGACCTTTTTTTTTTTTTTGAGATAGAGTTTTTGGTCTTGTTGCACAGGCTGGAGTGCAATGGCGCGATCTCGGCTCACTGCAACCTCCACCTCCTGGGTTCAAGCAATTCTCCTGTCTCAGCCTCCCGAGTAGCTGGGATTACAGGCATGCACCACCACGCCCAGGTAATTTTTGTGTTTTTAGTAGAGATGGAGTTTCTCCATGTTGATCAGGCTGGTCTCGAACTCTTGACCTCAGGTGATCTGCCTGCCTCGCCCTCCCAAAGTGCTGGGAGTATAGGCATGAGCCACCCCACCCGGCCCGTGACCTGACTTTTTTTACTGAGAAGAAACAGAAATGGGGATCCTTATGTCTTCATTCCTTTTGTTTGGCATAGGAAGCTGGACTGCATCCAAAATTGTTACCTTGTGCAATTTCTGGATAACTGAAGCTTACACAGCCTGAAGTGTACACAACTGGTTAATGACAGATCCGGTTCAACTCAGAAATTCACATTTGTCCAGATTCATTCAGTTGCCCTATAATCTTAAGTGTTTTTTCTGATGTTGGATTCATTCCTTCTCTTACTTGTTCAATAAATGTTTGCCAAGTATGTTATAAACAACTGTGCAGTCTGATAGAGGTATAAGGTCCTTTCTGTCAGGGAACTTAAAGTCTTTTTGTTTGTTTGTTTTGGAGATAGGGTCTCGCTGTATTGCCCAGACTGGAGTGCAGTGGCACGAACATTGCAACCTTCATCTCTCAGACTTAAGCCATCCTCCCACTTCAGCCTCCTGAGTGACTTGGACTACAGGCACATACCACCATGCCCAGCTAATTTTTAAGTCTTTTTTGGAGATGGGGCTTCCCTGTGTTGCCCAGGCTGGTCTCAAACTCTTGGTTTCAAGTGATCCTCATGCCTTGGCCTCCCAAAGTGCTGAGATTATAGGCATGAGTCACTGTACCTGGCTGGAATTTAAGGTCTTAAAGTGGAAATAACTTTGAAAGTATAGACTTGTATCAGATTATGAGGAGCCAGACTAAGAAGTTAAGACTTAATGATTTATACCTCTCAGCCCAGAGAGGATGCCAGTGAGTTTCTGAATTTACAGCCTAAGGCAAATTCTTTTTGATTTCTGTGTTCCTTGACTTTATTTATTACTGTAGGATAATGCCTTAGTGTATTTGAATAAGTTTAAAAAATTTATGCCTAAAGGTAGGTTTATGAGCTTTGCATTGTATAAAAGAGTACGGTATGTAAGAATGAGGACTCCAAGAGCCAAACAGCCAGCTTTTGAATCCCAGACCTACTATTTATTTATTTGAATTTTTTGGAAGGTTAGTGCGCAGCCGACCTAGTATTTATGAGCTATGTGACCTTGGGAAGTTCATGTAAATGCAGTGTCTCTTGCCTTACATGGAAAATGTCCATGAAAATCATACCCACGTGAAAGTTATTACAAGGATTAAGTGAGGCTGGGTGCGGTAGCTCACACCTATAATCCCAGCACTGTGGGAGGCCAAGGCAGGCAGATCACTCAAGGCCGTTCATTCAAGACCAGCCTGGCCAACGTGGCGAAACACAATACATGTATCTGCAAAGCTCAATAAGGCAAAGCATAGTAAAACAGCTTGCCTGTGTCTCATACACGGTGCTACAAAACCTTTAAACTGGAAATGCCAAGAGGCACAGACCAAAAAAAAAAAAAAAAAAGCTTTAAGAAAAACCTTTTTCCCCAAGCCTTTGGCTTGGGGAAAGGGTGGGCTACAACAGAAAGGCTTTTTGACAGTATCCTCCCTATTGCTGCCAAACACCCAGGGAAAAACCACACCCCATATCACCAACCCCTGCCAGTGCAGCTGGGCTGTGCAGAGTTGATCTTCCACACTGGTCCTTGGAAGCAGGCGGTGCTTCAGTTCCTCTGCCAGGTGGTGTCAGGAGAACGGAGAAGGGTGCTGATCTTTCATTCCCCTTGCTGGGCAGAACTAGTTAGTACTCCATGGCAGAGCCAGGAGTATCAGCGGGGTCCAGCCTTATGCTGAGCTTCCGTCTCTACCGTGTAGCAAAAAAATAATGTGAGTCAGCTCTCCTCCCTGGTGGCAGTGGGGCTAAGGGGAATCCCGTCGAACACCCTAACTTGGAGGAAATAAACCAGTGCCAGTCAGTGCCTCATATTCAGTGGAAAGTTGTCTGCAGGGCCAAGTTGGGAGGCGAACTTCTACCTCATTGTCTGCAGCAGGCAATGTGACCCAGTGCCCTGCTTTTTCCACTCTAGTGATGATAGCGCCCTGGAGGAAGCAGAGTCCACACCCACCACCCCATGCTACATGTCAACAGGGGTACTGCCTGCTAAGCAAAGATGTCCAGGGCTGGGAGCAGTGGCTCAAGCCTATAATCCCAGCACTTTGGGAGGCCAGGCAGGAGGATTGCTTGAGGCCAGAAGTTTGAGACCAGCCTGGGCAACGTAGACCTCCGTCTCTTAAAAAAAATTTAGCTGGCGGTGGTATGTGCCTGTAGTCCCAGCTACTCAGGAGGCTGAGGTAGGAGGATCGCTTGAACCCAGGAAATTGGGGCTGCTATGAACCATGATTGTGCCACTGTACTCCAGCCTGGGCAACAGAGTGAGACTGTCTCAAAAATAAAATAAGTAAATATCTTTTGATGTCCGGGATACAGTCAAAAATCTCAAGAACCAGGAAGATCACCGCATGAATGCGAATAGCCAGTAATGGATACAAGCACTGAGATGAATCGGATGTTGGAATTCTGACAAGAATTTTAAAGCAGACATCATGAAAATGCTTCAATAAGCAAGTATTTATTTATTTTAAACAACAAAAATAGGAAATCTCAGCAAGAATTTATGGGCCTACCATGAGGGAAATTTTTGAGGTGATAGAAATATATATCTTGGCATTGTGGCTTATGCATTTGTCAGACTCAACAAATAGTGTACTTAGAGCAGGTACTTTTAATTTTCTGAGTAAAGTATACTTCAGTAAAGTTGATTTACAAATCAGGGATTTTCATCCCTGAAGATTCTGGTTCAGTAGGTCTAGGATAGAGTCCAATAATTTTTTTTTTAATTAATGCCCCAGGTGGTTCTTGGGAACTCCTGATATCTCCAGAGGAACCTAGGCTAGTTGAGAATTCTTCAGAATATTAATCTGTTAGCAATCTGTGTAAATAGAAACTAGGTCTGGTAAATTATGAATTAACCAGATAACTACTTGCAGAATAAACAGAATACATAATTAGAAATCATTAAGTGTGTTATCACCACATGGAAATAATTTTTTGTATTTTTTTTATTGGGTAGTGTTGTGAAGAATATTACATGGTATCCTTAGAAGCTGTAAATTGTGATGCTGGGTTATAAAAAAACTGTATTGTGGTATGTTTTTGCCTCTCTCACTTAACCCCACCCTTCACTCCATTCCTTCTCAGGACACTTATCTTCTTGGTGGCTAATGGCAGGGTGGATTCCACATTTGGGAACTGCTGTTGCCTGGGCAGTCATGGTTTTCATCAGTGTGTCCCAGGGCGTGGTGCTTTCTGTCAACATCCTGCTCTCCATAGAGGCTGAGAATGATCCCTGATGCAGTCATCACGGCTTTTAGGCCTCTCCCATTGGCCTCACTTTAACCTGATGACTATCATATTTCCATCTAGGCTGCATTTTTAAATCTTGTCAAGGAAGCCCAGGGACTCTCCTCACTGATAAGCCATTTCCAATCCAGGCCTGGGGTTGAGTCAGGTCACCTTATGTTCTTACTCTTTCCCTTGACTTAGATTGGTCTGGCTGGTCCACCCAGATAAAGTGTAGCAGTGTCTGAAGCTGGATGTGAGGGGTCGGGAAGTTGTTGATGGGGATGCCTTCATTCCGCAGCACACATTTCAAGGCAAGCAGATCATTTTCCTATAGCAGTACTGGTCAGAGCTGGATTCAGGGGAAGGCTGTCTGTGTTTCCCACGTGGGCCGGGTGAGCTGCTAGCATTTCTGTCAGTGCTAGAAGGAAAGTCATTCTTTCAATGTGGTCCCAGATTCAAAATCAGTTTTGAGTGGGTGTCAGAATGTCATTCCTGATAGCTTCTCTGTTTTGACAGTGCAAATACCCCGGTCTCATTTCTCTGCTTTTAAATAATAGATCCTTGAGATTGGCCCTGGGTAGGAGACCTCCCCCACCCCACTTCTTTCTCTGAGTTCACCATGGGATTCTCCTAATCTAGCCAGAGCTGGATTTGATCCTTGGGTCACTCCTGTGGTCTCTAGCCCTCCTCAGTGCTTACTTAGTTGGTCTTTGTTTCTATTGGTTGTTTTTGCATGTGTCGTGGTTATCGTCATCATATGACTAATGTCAGGGGGTCAGGCACAGTTATAGCTTCTAATTGTGTTGCGCTTTTGGCAAGGGAACTATGTGTGGGGGAAAAATACTTATTAGGAATCGTCAGCCTGCATTAAAGGGTCGTAATACTTGAACAATTTGCACATGATATCTATCTCTACATCCTATATGGACTGTGCTTTCTAGGAGGGATTAGTTAGGTTTTTCCTTTCCTAGTATAGAACCAGGACTAGTAGGGGAAGGCATAGAGGAAAATACTATGGTTCTGTTTCAGAGAGAGCATTCTTGCAGGGGTTTCCCAAATGTAAATTTTTTTGTTTTTTAGAGATAGTGTCTCAGTCTGATACTCAGGTTAGAGTACAGTGGTTTGATTACAGCTCACTGCAACCTTGAACTCCTGGGCTCCGGTGAGCCCCTCGCCTCAGCTTCCCAAGTTAGTGAGACTACAGGTGCACGCCACCACACCCAGCTAATTAAATAAAAATATTTTGTAGAAATGGGGTCTTGCTATGTTTCCCAGGCTGGTCTTGAACTCCTGGCCTCAAGTAGTCCTTCTGCCTCAGCCTCCCAAAGTGCTGGGATTACAGGCATGACCCACCATGCCTAGTCAAAAATGTAAATATTAGGTCTTATGTTACTGAAGGTATTCCAGGAATGTTTGGATGTGGTACAGAAGATGTGGGTATTGGGAAACCTCTAAGAATATTTCCAAATTTTATCTTCTGTTGTTCTTTAAAAAAAATATAAGCTGTGAATACAACCGTGGAACCACAAGTAATATAAGAGGAGCTGATTTCTTGGTGCCTGCACTGCTGACTAAAGATCCAGTCTGGTTGCTTATTCAGTAAACCTTTGAGTTAGTGCAGGGAGTCACTCTCTGTTTTCTCAGGGAGCCCTTATTTGAGTAACTGTCATTACCTCTTTCCCTAACCCACTACCTTTAATTGTCCTTCTGTGGTTAGAAAAACTTAGTGTTTGAAAGGCATAGTATCTCAAGGGAACTTTAGAAGTATATCTTACCTTTGCTCTTGGGCATTTCCAGATGACCCTGGCAGTGTGGCCACAAGCAAACTGGAGAAGGCTGCCAGTATGTGCACGTTTTAATAAATGGAGGATATCTAGCACCTCCTAACCCTTACCTTCTCCTCCATCTCATCCCATTTTCTGATTGAACAGTCACGTTATTTCTAGTCTTAAATACTTAGCTTTTCTAGTTGTGTTAATGGAATTGTTGTATGTATTTCAGTTGTATTACTTAAGTGTCTTCTAAAAGACATTTGTATACTTTATAATTCAGAGAAAATTCTTTGGTTGATTGAAGATCTTGCTACCAGGTCCTGGTGGAAGCAGCTAGAATTTCTTAAGCAGTTCCTGTGAATGTTTCCTTTTTATGTAGATCATTTCTTGGAAAGCTGTGTTTTAAAATAAAGCTCTACAGGCACTACTGTTTTACTCTAAGGCCTTTGAGCTCTGATATCTAAGACATATTTATTTCTTCAACTATGCCCAGGACAGTGCTTTGCATTCAATAGGTGACCAGTAAGTGTTGAGTTTTGTTGAATATAAAATTATTTACAAATGATTTTTTGTTTTTTCCCTTTAAAAATTAGGCTTCCGAGAAAACTTTGGGCTTCAGAGTCCCTGCTTCCAAGCCCCTCTTTGTAACACTCTATGAAATGAAAAGCATCTTTGGATGGTATGGGGAGAGCTGAACAATGTGAGGTGGGAGGGCGTTGGCCTTTAATCAGGTTTCTGGGGACAGATCACTCATGCTGGTTCATGCTGGCCCAAGGCTGTCTTCTTTCTTGTTTGTGGATGTGGGTTATGTTCCTATACTGAGATGTGCTGGATGAAAAGCTAATAAATATTAATGAAGCAGTTACTTCTGTCAGGCACAGTATTGGCTAGAGAGATAGGTAGAAATAAATAGAAAATACAGTTCTTGACTTTGAGAACCTTATTGTGTAATTGGAAAGGTAAAATGTAAATGCCTTAAAAGTTAATTAACAGTAATTCTTAAGGATCCTTAGATTGTCTAATACAGTGGTTCTCAAACATTAGTGTCCCTCAGAATCTCATGGAGAGTTATTAAAATACAAATCACAGGGCCTTATCCCCATATATATATATATATATATTTTTTTTTTTTTTTACTCATTTGGTCTGTGTCATGAGAATTTGCATTTCTCAGTTACCAGATATTGCTGGTCCATAGACCACACTTGGAGAACTACTGGTGTGGTGCAGTTATTCTCAACCTTGGCTGTATGTTAGAATCACCCAGGGAGTTTAAAAAAAAACCCATGCCAAGACCCCACCCACTGTAGACCACTTAAATCAGAATCTCAGTGGGGTAGGACCTAAGCATTTTTTTAAAGCTCCCCAGATAGTTGTAATGTGCAGTAAGGTTTGGGACTTACTGCTCTAACGTGTCAGGGCCACAGAACTTTGGATTCAGAGATATGATGTTACCATGGGCTGCAGCAGTGTGGACAGACCAGAGGAGTTAGCCTGATCTTAAAGAATGATAAATAAAGAAAAAGGAATGATTTTTGTTCTTGTAAAGTTAATGCTGGGAACAAGCCAGTTGGTTTTCTAGCTGTTTCTTGGGACAGACTGATGAGTTTGTGAGCTCTTAGGAGTCAGCATGATTTCCCATTCAGCGTGAGCTAATGAGTGGGACTGAGGTGTGGGTCACCACCATCAATAATAAGCATTCACTGACCACATTCTCTTTTTCCTGATATAGATGAGCTTGTGTTTATCCTAACAAGCTTAGATGTGTGTGTGTTTGGGGTGGGGTGTGGTTGTGGACTGTGCAATAGTGAGAGGCTGAACTTTGAAAAATGACTTTGCCATTTTTACATTTCATCTCTTTAAGCCTCTGTTTATTCATGTATAAAAGAAAGTACTACACATAGTTGTGAGCCTTTTTTTTTTTAAAAAAAAAAAAAAAAAAAAAAAAAGAGTCTGGGTCTTGCTATGTTGCCAAGGCTGGTCTTGAACTTCTTGGGCTCAAGTGATCCGTCTCTGCCTCCCAAAGTGCTGGGATTACAGGTGTGAGCCACCGTGCCTGTTTGTTAGTATGTGTGTGAATACTACTACAATTTTAGGAACACTGTTTTATTTATTTAGGGACCCCCAGAATCTATCAGTGAGCCTGACACATAGTGTCTGTGCAGTGAATCCAGATTGGTTGAATGAATTGGAAAGGTTATCTTTTCACATTGACTGCCCAGGCATTAGAAAGGATGGGAAGAGCTTGTTTCCTGATCTTTACAAAAAATGCTGCCACCTTGGGTTTTCCAACTTAGGCAAGAAATCTGTTATGTTCAAAATAAAGGAGTATAACTTAAAAAATATATAGATAGAAGCCAGGCGCAGTGGCTCACACCTG